>NC_000011.10:102323939-102626970 GCF_000001405.40 Homo sapiens | reverse complement strand
GCTTACAATTTAGTTGAATGAATCTAATCTGTGGTTTTCTTTTTTCTTCTTCTGAGACACATGTTTTGTCTATCTCACAGTACATGCCAGAAATTCTGTTTGCCTGTGTGTATTAGTCCATTCTCACACTGCTATAAAGGAATACCCGAGACTGGGTAATTTATAAAGGAAAGAGGCTTAGTTGACTCACAGTTTTACATGGCTGGGGAGGCCTCAGGAAACTTAGAATCATGGTGCAAGGCAAAGGGGAAGCAGGCACCTTCTTGACAAGGCAGCAGGAGAGAGAAGATCAATGGAGGAACTTTCAAACACCTATAAAACCATCATATCTTGTGAGAACTCACTCATTGTCATGAGAACAGCATGACGGAACCACCCCCATGATCCAATCCCCTCCCTCCCTCAACACATGGGGATTACAATTCGAGATGAGATTTGGTTAGGGACACAGAGCCAAACCATATTAATGTGTGACAAACTCTTGTTCAGTGCCTGGGGTTGTACACTAGATACCAAACATTGGCTGTAACTCCACCATCTTCTCTTCCATGCAAAGAAAGCATATCAAAATGCAACAGAGTGAGAAAGACTATAGGAATTCACTGTATTCACTATAGGAATAACCTTGAATTTAGTCTAAA
Organism: Homo sapiens; assembly: GCF_000001405.40. Classification (NCBI taxonomy): domain Eukaryota; kingdom Metazoa; phylum Chordata; class Mammalia; order Primates; family Hominidae; genus Homo; species Homo sapiens. The sequence continues at coordinate 102,626,329 of NC_000011.10, read as the reverse complement.
ATCAAAATTAGGATTTGAATCCACATCTAGTGGATGCCAAGTGGTGCTTGCAGATGTCATGCTATATGTGTTACTCCATAACACTGAAAAGTTTATACATAGTAGTAGTATTGTCAGTCTTTTGTAGATTAAAAAAAACTTGATATTCAGAGATTAAATGACATACCCAACATCACACAGCTAGGAAATATCTTTTTAAATATTTAGTCTTGCTTTGTCTGACTCTAAGTGCTTTTCCCACCATATGACACCATTTCACCGTATCATCTCTGGATCCAAATCCATCTTAATCAGACCCAGGAAAAACAATATGACTCCAATTAACCAGAGTACACAGAGATTGGGGAGTTCTGGCTATTGTTTTGGTTAACGAAGACGTAACTCTTGCCTTAATTCATCCAAAAGCTTTCTAACAGTTACCAGTTCACTTTCCACCCTAAGTCAGCACAGTATAATGTAATCTTGCCTTGATGATTCAGGATCTTATGTGTCTCAGAGCCATCATTATGAACAGCAGTTGCTACTAAGAAATTTTGAAGTGAATGCAGGAGATACAGGCGATTGGGTTGAATGCATGGGGAGTTTGGGATTACTTGGAGGACAAATTCAATTATACTGTAATCATCTAACTTTTCTGTAATCAGAATGGAAAAAGGCCCCCAAATGAAGACTAATCAAATGTTTCAGTTGAGTTGGGTTCAAATCAATCAAGTTTACTTCAATTTTTGTAACTAGCTGACCAACTTCATTAAAAGTGACTGTTTTTCTCCTTTTGCCACTTGGTAAATAACAAAAAAAATATGAAGCTTTCCCTGATTCCTGTGTACAGTTGTGTTACCCCATCATCAGGGAGAGAAATGAGCTGTATAATTACTGTTTGAGACATGAATCATCCTTGCTCGGAGGGTCCAGACCTGTTTGACTCTATAAAAGGAGCTCAAGGTCGAAGTGCAAACGTGCACTGTCTGCCATCCCCCAGGCTGATATAATTACCAAGCTACTGTGAGGGGATGAAGGTGCTCCCTGCATCTGGCCTTGCTGTCTTCCTCATCATGGCTTTGAAGTTTTCCACTGCAGCCCCCTCCCTAGTTGCAGCCTCCCCCAGGACCTGGAGGAACAACTACCGCCTCGCACAGGTTTGTGAATTTTTGCCCAATTCCTTCTTGCTCCTCTGCCCTAGAAAACCTAAAAGGGCATAGTGAGAAAATAAGAAAAAAATTCTATTGTTCTTTTAAAATCATTTTATATAAGTCCATTGAAGTCTAACTGATGCTATCTTCTGTCCACCTAGATTGGTGTCTGGTGCATATTAGGTGTACCATGTTACATGACTGAATAAATACATGAGGATATATCTACCTAGCTATCTTGCTTCATAAAGAATTCCAGGTGGCTTGTGAAAACCATGCAATATAAAAGGAGCAAACAAGTACTTCCCGGGAATGATGTAGGAGGAAAAATAGAAGCAGAAAAATAAAAACCGAGGCATAATCCACACGCTAGAGGCAGGTTGTGAATTTAGTGCTAAGCTTTAGCGGTCACAACAAGGAGATTTCCTGTGTTTCCACTTTTTAAATGGCTCTTATATTCAAGGTAACCCTGATCAAAATTTAAAGTGGACTAAGTTCTTCCTGGGTGCCAACCCACTTCTCATTTGAAGGCCTTTTCTCCCTAAAGCATATTCCCCAATGAAGTAAAAGTTTATGTACAAAGTACATAACAAAGTTTATGTAGTAAGTACAAAGTACAACGTTTATGTACTTAAACTTTGTGTATTTTCCTCTTTTGAGATCTCTCCTCTATGACTGCTGGAAAGGGTCTGATAGAAATGATCCATATTCAAATATTTCACAAAGACTGCTTGACTCAAAATGATTTCTACATATATATATATATATATATATATATATATATATATATATATATATGCTTCCAAGCGTGTTTTGTTTTTAAAAGAAGGGTGGCATCCTTAACCTAAAGAAATGGATGTCTACGGATGGAATTTCCAACATTAGTGAAAGATATATAGAGGAAATGCTTTTGCACACAGGCCTCCCTTTCAAGAGTCTGCCAACATTACAGCACATCTGTGATCACCAGCTCCGCCTCAGGGCTGCTTTCCTGACTGCCAGGCTGCACCTGTGTACCGCTTGGCTGTCTGCATCGTAGAGCTGATTTGCACCCATGTGCAATGGCATGTCCCTACCGATTGTTTCTGCCACTCATCCTTATTAACTGGTCAGTTCCCCGGCCATACCAGTCATTAAACACTTAAATATCAGCCCCGCAGATGAACAGCACAGCTGATGCCCAGCACAACCATGTTGAACTGAACTTCTTTTGACTTTAGCCCACTTTTAGATGAACTAAATTCAAAATAACTCAGGATACTGGGATCCTTATTCAATTGTATTTTGTCCATGCCACCTAGCTTTAGGTGCCTTCTTCCCAAATGTAATTTTCCCTACCCTGCCTCATGCCACTGTGATTCTGAAACTAAAGAGGTTTTGTGACCTCCAGAAGGAGAGCCATGCTGAGGCCAGAATGGATCTGAGGTGTTGGGAGACCCCCCTTCTAATCCACAGTTCAGGAAAACTACAGTTGGCCCTGCCCCTTAGTTTACAGATTGTCTATGATTGCTTTTGTGCCACAATGGCAGAGGTTAGCCTAGAAGCAAAGAATATTAATTATTGGTCCTTTGCAGAAAAAATTAGTCACCCCTGACCAGTCTATTAAGGAATAAGGCTAGACCAGCCAAGCACCAGTTTCATAGAAGACAGTTTTTCATGGACGTGGGAAGTAGGAGGCTGGAGGGGTGATGGTTTTGGGACGAAACTGTTCCACCTCAGATCATCAGGCATAAGATTCTCAAAAGAGCATGCAACCTAGGTCCCTCACACATGCAGTTCACAATAGGGTTCTGCTCCTATGCGAATCTGATGACTCTGCTGATCTGACAGGAGGCAGAGCTCAGGAAGTAATGCTGGCCCGCCACTCACCTCCTGCTGTGGGGCCAGGTTCCTAACAGGCCACAGACTGGTTTCCGGGTGCAGCCCAGGATCAGGGGACCCCTGGGCTAGACACTCTTGGGTGGAGTCACTCTTGCTATTCTAGCTGGTCAGGAGTCAGCTAGGCACGTTTAGAAACAGTAGCATGGCCTGGGAATATTGGGGACCTTTAGTGATTCCTTACTTCTTCCTCTCCAAAATAAATCAACCCTTCTCTGTCTCCCTTATGACATACTCTCAGAAAGACCTTAGACCAAGGAGCAGGGAAACTTGTCCACATCTCCTCACCTGACACACAGCACCTTTGCTTGCAATGGCCCTGGTCCTCAGCTCTGGGCAGGGACACTCAGGAGCCTGGAATGATCTGGCTGAACCTCTAATGAGGATCACAATGACAGGAAACAATTATTTAATAACATCCCACCTTATAATTTATAGAAACATTATATAACAACCTCATCAGCCTCATAAAATCACAAACAAAAGCAGTAAAATAGGCAGCATAAGTTCATGTATTGAATGCTTACAGCATGGCATATGCTGGAGAAATATGAGAGAATCAAACAAATCAAGCCCCTGTTCTTATGCTCCTTCCATGAGGATGAGGGAGCTGGTGGGAAGGTGCTGGGAGAAGATAAACAAGTCAACCAATGAGTGCACAAGATGTTTCAGAAAGTGATCAGTGAGCCTGGAAAGAAGTTAATCAGGATGACAGAGTGTTGCTGACTGGGACAGTGGTCTGGTGAGGGAGTATTTTTAATGGCGTAGTCCAGGAAGTCCTCTCGGAGGAAGTGAACTTTGAGATGAACCTGAGCTGCATGAAAGAGCCAGTCACGTGAAGACCTGGAGATGGGGCAGTCCAGACGGAGGAAACAGCAGCTGCTTGGAATGCAATCATCAGGCCCATGTGACTAGAGCTCAGAGGTCAGGAAAGAGGGTCCCAGAGGAGTCCCAAGGACAGGTGAGGCCAGCAGGTCCTCTGGTGCCTGGTGGCCTGGGTCACGCTAAGCAGAGAGAGTGCTTAGGGATGCTCTCTTCTTGCTAAGTGATCTGTTAGGTCACTCGCTAAGAAAGAACAAATGGCTCCTGGAAACACCAGAGAGGCCACGTTTCCAAACACCATACACCTCTCCCTCCCCTAAAAAATCTACACTTGAAAAGATAAACAGCTTCTTGATTTATTTAATGTCCACTTGTGTCCTTTAAATTCTGATTTGCTAATTTGCCTAAATGCTTTGAAAATGGTAAGATGGCAAAATGCTTACCTATTCTCATAATCCAGGATTTTATTCTGGGTTTGTTTGTTTGTTAAACAAAATTAGTGTCAATATGACATTTAAAACATACTTTTTAAATTATGCTTAAAAATAAAAATTTTAACTACCACATTATTATGAACTCATAACTAAGGAAAATGAAAATACACACTGTTAATTCAGGTGTTTTTACTACCATTTTATTTTCTATGATAAAGACTTTTTAAAATTGTTACTGTCTTCAAAATGTGGTTTTTACTTTTCTAACTATTATGTCATAAGAAAATTTTGGTTTTATACTATTTTCATAACATCACTTTAAACAGTCAGAAATATTCCAGAATATGAGTTATAATTTATTTGACCATTTCCTTTAACAAATAGATTACTTCCATATGAATAAGGCTTCTATAAGCATCTTTGTACATCAAGCTAATTTAAACAATTATTTTTTCAGGATAGGTTTCCAGACATGGACTTAATGAGTAAAAGGGCATTTGAAAGTATTTTGTCACATTTAAAAGCATTCATATTGAGGACCTCATTGGATCCTCACACTCACGTAGCCAGTAGGGCAGAAACCACTCTATAGATGAGAAAACTGAAACCACAAGAAATTAAAAGAATTGCCCAAGCGTGTTAGTGACACAGCCTGGACTAGAACCTAGGATTTTTCAGACAGCTTTAAAAGTTCTCACAAATCTATTTGTGTGACTGTAAGGAACATGGCTGTGCTGCAGCCAAGCGGGCATAGGCCAAGGTAAACATCCTGCGTGACTCAGCGAGTTTAGGGTGCAGGCGTACATTTCCACTTGTTATCACAGCCATGTAGCCATAACATGGGAAGGCCATCACTTAGCTCTAAGCCACTATTGTCTGTAAAAGGTATAATTGCCCTGCTGACATTGTACAGGAGTCCTCTCACCCAGAGAAATAGAGAGAGAGCCAAAGGTATCCATCTTGCAGGCGGGTAGGAGGGAGCCAGGAACCGGCTTGTGCCCAGAGAGAGAAAGAGTTAAGCTGCTGACCCTGAAGGGTGGGCCAGCCACGCAGATGTGTGTGGGAGCAGCCGGCTCAAGCAGCCGAAACAGGGCGGACAGTGTGAGAAAGCTGCTGATGAGAGAGCTGCTGAATAAAACCATATTCATCTGCCTATGCCCTCACCCCCTCCCTGAGGATTCTTTCAGCTATCTGCCACCCACCCATTCCCCTCAGACCTCAGCATGGGCTGGAACCTGACACTGAGAATGACATTTAGTGTAGTCGTGGCCCCAAACCTGATCCTGGAACCTGACAGTGACTTTGCCAAAAAAGAAAAATGTTGAGGAAATGTACCTTAAGTTTCACCCTGTCCTGGAGCGTACTTAAACTGAGTTTTAAACTCTTAAGTCTCAGGAAGGACACTAGGAAAATGCACGGAATAAGGGCTTGGAAGGGAGACCTAAGCTGCTAGCCTGCAGGAATGGAACCCCTGGCCTCCTGTACTTTTATCTGTCAGATACCAGAAGAGAAGTGGAGAGAGGACCACCTGATAATTGACCCAAAAATCTACAATTTTAACAATGAGGAAGTGGGGAAGATTGGAGGGAAATGGGACAACTCTGGTGAATTCTGAATTCTTTGTCCCAGTGCCAACATTAAGTGCTGAGCCAACATATGCAAGTGTTAGAGCATCACATGAAAGCAATTCTAAGTACACACCTAAGTGCCTGATAGAATATTGTGACAGTGAAAAGTATGCCAAAACCTTGTCAGTAACTTTAGCAAGAAAGTGCCCAGAGTTCTGAGCTCTCAGTACTTCAGGATATCTGATAATTCTTCAAGGAAACATACTTTCATATTTTGCCTAAAGAAAAAGAGCTCAAACATTAACTGAGCATCTACTCTGAGCCTAGAACTGAGTCAAACACAGGGTTTGCATCTGTGAAGGCAAAACGGTGCCTGACTGGAAGGAGGTTGCAAACAAGCAGGTGAGAGTGATAAGAAATTGGTAGGAAGTGATGGTTTATGGTGCAATGAGACAAGTGTTTTACTAGAACAAGAATCACATCTTATGGAAGCACCAACTAGGGAGAGATTTTGTTTATATCACTGCAGTGATGAATTTTTGTTTTTAAGAAGGAATAGTTTCTAATTTTATTTTTACTTCATTAAAAGGTACTATTTCAATCCTGCCTATATGACCAGCCAGAAACCTTTTGTGCTCTAAGACTAACATTTTGTGCATATTTTAAAGAAACAAACAGCTGGTTATAAAAATTACGCAGGTTCATAGTAAAAAAAAAAAAAGTAAAAGCCCTATCTTTAAAAATACATCATCTTAAATCCATTATTAAGGTTTAACCACTGTTAGTCCCTTAGACTATATCTTTCATAATACTTTTCTATGATTCAGGGCCAGGATTAGTGTGAGACAACCAAAGCAGGAATGCATCCTGTATTTAAAATTTTGAAATTTTGTTTATCATGGATTTTTTTGGCATTTATTTTGTTTTTTTTAATTCTGCATTAAATTATGATTTATCTTGATTACGGAGTTTTTGGTAACCCACCACTGGCCTCATCTCAGCCCTGGTGATATGACTGGGATGGTGTGACTAGATACCACTTATGTTTATAAACATGGCTCATGTTGTAACAGCAGTGGTAAACACGGCAAACATGTTTTCCACTTAATTTATCATGAGCATCTTCCCTTATATAACCTATTTTGTGAAACAAAAACTAGAATGTAGAGTGTAATACATAACCTAACAGGAGAACAAAATATTTGAAATCAATGATCTCAGAGACACAGAGGACCTGGTCTTATACATGGAGCTTAACCCTGAGGAGTATAATTCAGACATTACCACAAGCATTGCATTATCACAGCATCAACTTGCACAGACAGGAACAATTCATCCCATCAACCTCATTTGCAAAAAAAAAAAGATGAGAAACATCAATACTTAAGGTGGTCTAACTAGAGACGGAATGGAACCAAATAGTCGCAGCTTTGTTTCAGAACACCTAGGCTAGGTTTCAGAGCCTGGGCACCCCATGTTCCCTCTCCCTTTTCCTCCTCTTGGCTTCTCATCTCACCTAAGGTTTTTACAAGGGACAACAATGGGGAAAGCGATCTTCTCTCACAGGAAGGGCAGGGAGTAAAGGATCAGCTGATCCTGCAGTGAAAAAATAGCGTACCCTCTCCAAACATGAGTGATACTTACTCCTTTTTATTTTTTCCCCAGCAGTAATGGTTCATGCTCATTGTAAAAACTTTTGGAATATAGGAAGGAATAAAGAATAAATTAAGTCATCTGTAATTTCATTACCCAGACATAATCAACATTAATATTCAGGCAGACTTCCTTTTATTATTGTATGTGTGTGCGTGTGTGTATATGCGTGTATATGTATGATTTATTCAGAAAATTATTATTATAACCTTATAAAGATTTCTCCTCTTCTTTTCTCAGTATATTGCCATTACATAAAGAGCATTCTTTCATACCATTAAATATTTATTTTTCAAAACTGATCTTAGTAGAGGCCTAGTACTGTCTCATATAAATATAGGATAATATATATAATAAATCCCCTGACATCAGACATTAAGGTTACTCCCAATTACTTATTATCTTTATATATATGTTAAAAATATGTGTGTATAATATGTAAGTAAACAATTTGCATAGTTTATATGTGGTAATATATGGTTAATATATAGGCTAATAATATGTAATTTATATCTAATAAATAAACATGTCTATACTATATAAATATAAAATTGTATATAATTAAATACAATCAGTGCTCTGTATCCATGGGATCTGTACACATGGAATCAAACAATTGTGGATTGAAAATATTCAGGAAAAAATCGACGGTTGCATCTGTTTCAGGGAAGACATGTTCAAAACAGACATTTTTTTTGTAGCTTTTCCCTAAACAATACAGTATAACAACTATTTACATAGCATTTATATTATAGTACATATTATAAGTAATTTAGAGATGATTTAAAGCATACAGGAGGCTGTACTTAAGTTGTATGCAAATATTATGCCATTTTATATCAGAGACTTGAGCATCTGTGGATTTAGGTATCTGAGAGAGGTCCTGGGACCAATTCCCCCATGGACATGAAAGGAGGACTGAACCCTTAGCTGCTCTTTGGTTATTTTCCTAAAATCAGCTGAGTAGGTGAAATTCCTGAGCCAAAGGCAGGCCTCAACCCTGTATTTGCATGCCCCTGCATCACTCGTTTTACCCTAATCCCAGCCCTGAGTCATAGAAAAGTGTTTTGAACAATATATACTGAGGGGCTTTATGTCTTTTTGTGCAAATGAAAGCCTTATAATTTATGGCTTATTTTATTTGCTTCAAGAGACAAAGAGCCTTGCCTAGGAAAGTTGTCTCATGGAAACAAAATCCAGCCCACATACTAAACACATCTGAACTCATTAAAATCCTCAGCTGAAAAAAAGGTGGACCCTCTGCCTTTGTAAAGTGTGAGAGGCTGGAATACAATGCCTTTAAGAGTTAAAAGCATACTGATCTTGCATTATGTACAATGGAAAGATGATACCAATAACTGTTTACCAAAGAAACCAGATAGCCTTTGTTTTGCAAATTGGGTAAAGAACTTCAGTGACAAATAAGTGATCCATGGAAATAATGTTCACATCAGCTTCCTTCCCTGAATTTTTTTCTTTTAAAAAAATTAGAAGCAAAAAGGCGTATTTGTTATATTCATTGCATTGTAGAAAAACTATAAAATGCAGGTGGACAAAAGGAAATAATTAAATAATCTATAATCCCCACTACCCAAAACCAATCATCGTTAATAATTTGGAGTATAGCTAAGCTTTATGTAAACAAATATGTCTACTTTTTTCATAAATGGGAAAATACTCTACACACTGCTTTTAATACATCAGGAATGCTGTCCCCTGCCTTACCTGAGCATGAGTATTTCCCAGACTACGCTGTAGACGCGTCAGCCTGCCTCTCCATTTCAGGCGTATCTTGACAAATATTACACAAATAAAGAAGGACACCAGATTGGTGAGATGGTTGCAAGAGGAAGCAATTCCATGATAAGGAAGATTAAGGAGCTACAAGCGTTCTTTGGCCTCCAAGTCACCGGGAAGTTAGACCAGACCACAATGAACGTGATCAAGAAGCCTCGCTGTGGAGTTCCTGATGTGGCCAATTATCGCCTCTTCCCTGGTGAACCCAAATGGAAAAAAAATACTTTGACATACAGGTAATGAGATCAAGTCTTTCCAAATTCAGAGAAAAACACCACCTCTCTCTTTTTCCCTTTTCTTGAAAAAATATTTTCCTTCTCATCCGTATAAAAATCCTGACACCTCACAACCATAAGAATAAGAACTTTTTACATCCATCCGTCAGGCAATGACAATGGGCAATTCACCAGAAAATACGGTTTTAGGATTATCATAATGACTGGCTATTTTAGGCATTCCAAACAATTTTACCAGCTAGAAACAACACAATTATCTTTAATCTAGTCTAGGATTAATGACCTGGCAGTACAAACCAGTTTTCTTAAAACAACCTGCTTAATGAGAAAGAAAAAAATAACCTACTAATAAAGTAATTTATTTCATTGATTCCAAAAATCTTTTATTGATGATTCAAGAAATGCATTCCATTTGAGGGTTATAAAGGTGAACAGGTCAACTTTCTTGACCTTAGGGAACTCACAGTCCTTTAAGGAGAGACAGACATGCAAACAGACAGCTGTAGCTCTGTGTGAAAAGTGCAAAAGCATAGCTCTAAGCAGTGAACTGTGGGACCACAGTTCACATGGACAGAGCTACCAAGTGGCCCAGGGACCAGCAGTAACATCTGAGCCTGATTCGAAGGCAAAGCAGAAGCAGTTCCACTCTTAGCCCCAAGCTCCCCTCACTCCTTCCCTGCCCTCTTTCTTCCCTCCCCTAATCCTCTGGCTTCATCCCTTATAAACCAAGGGGACACACCCAACCAGAACCTCTGTCCCTCCCTGCTGTGCTCAGGGTACGGAGTCTGGAATTCCCTCTCCCACAGCCAGACCTGATTCTGGGAGCCAGCGCAGACTTCCTCCCCAGGTTGGTCCAACCAAGGGCAAACTATGTATGGTACCTGCCCCTCAGCCTGAGGTAGGGGTGGATGGTGCCTGCCTGCGTGGGCCTCATGCATGACAGATGGGTGCAGGTCAGAAAAGAAGAGTGGACTCCACTCTTTGTGGTCCTGCCCCAGGCCTTGCACATGTAAGGAGTTTTCTAAGGAGAAAACCAGACCAAGCATATAGCAGCAGAGAGTGGACAGACTGGCATGTTGATGGGCAGCATTCCCACCACAAGTGCCTAGTGCATGCGGCTGCAGCAGAGGGTGCAGGAAGGGCAATGGCAGGAAATGAGCTGGAGGGGCAGCCTGAAGGGCAACTAGAGCGTGATGTCAAGGAGTTTGGACTTTATCCCCAGGGCGGTGGAGAGCCAGGCCAGGACCAGGATCAGATTTCCCTTTTAGGATGAGCACATCTAGATGATAACTGGAGATGGGGAAAGGCTGGACTCGTGCAATAGTCTAAGCAGTGGTATGGTAGAGCTGCCGCCTAATAGCTCACAGAAGCCAATCCTTAAAATGTCAGGAATTTTGCAGCCACTTGTTAAGCTCCCAAGAATTTTGTGAGCTGGTTGCTAAGACAGCCATTGTTAAATTATGTAAATTTACTATTAAATAAATCATATTACATTACATTAAATAAATTAAATTATATTATATTAAATAAATTATATTAAATAAGTATATTATTTCATATTTATATTTATTATTAAAATATATTTTTGTAGTAATAAATAAAATACTATTTATTAATAATATATTATTAAAACATTATTTTATAATAATAAATAAAATACGTTATTTATTATTATATGTTATATTATTTAATAGGTATAATTATTTAATAAATTACATTAAATTATATTAAATACATTATATTAAATAATTACATTAATATAATAAATTATATTAAATTATATTAAAAATAAAGGTAATAACATATTGCCTCTTATTTCACTACATTTTATTATTTTCTCTGTTCATGAGGCTATGTACATCTGTATAATCTGAGTGGTTCATTCATGCTCATCTCTTCACAACCTGGCATTCAGTGATGGTAAGTTGGTAGCTTGAATTAGCCATAGTGAGAATATTTACAACACAGAAATCAGCAAGTCATGCAAATCAAGTGGGTTTTTTTTTTTCTCCTTGTAGAGCCACTTGTTAACCTGTTCCAGCACACCAGTGAGTCCATTTGATCAAAGGAGGGGCCAGAATCCAGGGAACAGTCATGAATCCCCTAGGCCACTTGTTACCTGCTATCAGCCAATAAATCCATAAGGTGGCAGGCTGAACAAAAAAACAAAGCAATTGGGGGAGAAAAACCTCATAGGAGTTGAACACAAAAGTGATTCTGAAATAGTAAGAATAAGACAAGAAAAATGTGTACGCATCGACAGAGTCTTTTCATAGTTTTCTTAAAGTAAACTGTGTTCTGGAATTTTAGTCCATGACTATGTACAACAAAGACAAGAAGCCTGGGTCAAGATAATGTGATGCTTAGGGAAGTATAATATTCTTGTGATAAGCTGGGCAGTCTTAAAAACCCCTCAACACACACATTGCCTATCCACTCTTGCTCCCCAATAACTCTACCATCGCCTCCCCATGAAAAAGGACACTAGAGGCTATCACAGTACTCTGCCTGTGTAGCTACTGACTTTCAGAATAACTTCTTACAACATAACCCAGAGGATTACAAAAGGAAAAAAAATACAGCATAGTGCTTATATGCATAAGCTTTGGAGTCAGACAGAACTGGGCTCAAACCTGACTAATCATAACATGTAGATGATGATGATGATCTTCCTCTTAGGGGTCGAAGTGAGGATTAGATAAATGCCACATTAAAAAGTGCATACAGCAACAGCACATAGTGTGACTTCAAAGAATATTGGCTAGTATTACTATTGCTTTATCAAGCTCCAGACCCTGATTCGGGGATCCCTTTTTCCATGTTCTCTTCTTCTCTGGTGCTATCCCTCTCTCCTTCCTTGTCTTCTCCAGGCCAACACACAAAGTCAGCTCAAAGATATGGCTGACTTACCAAAAATGCGAGGGCATGTCAAAGTACTAAGTCCACCTAGTTGTGATAAATTGCAGACTCATATTATGCAGTGGGCTTGGCATATTTTGAAAGCATTAAATAGTCCCTTTAAGGGTCTGTCTGGTATCCCCCTTCAATTCTATAGCTCTCTTCTTTTGGCCCCAAACCTGGGGTTAAAGAGCTCCTTGTTCCTTCCCTCTCAAGTCCTGAATTGAGCTATTTGCTATCCTTTCTGTGGGCACAGTCCTTTCATTTGGGACCCTAGGATTACTGCTGTTGGTTTCTCATTGAAATTGCACCATCTGCATTATAATAACCTAAGATACCTTTCAAAACACAGATTTCTGGATCATACCTGTATTTTTAACAAGCTTCCTAGGTAATTATCACAGGTCCTAAACTTCGAGAGCCACTGAGTGGGCCCTAAAACAGCTAGCTTTAATTCTTTAATTCATTCATTTATTTATCAAGCAATTGCTAAGCATCTGCTATGTGCAAGGCACTAAACTAGGAGCTAGAGAGAGAGAGAGAAAGCAGGGCCGGTCCCTGCTCATGGGGTTGGCTCTCACAGACACAGCTTCTCACTTTGCATCATATTCCAGCCCAGCCCAAGGTCTCGGGTAGAAGTTGCCCTCCCTGCCTTTCCTTTGTGTGCTGCCAGAAATCCCCAGACCCTGGGCTTCAGAGCAGAAAGTTCTAACAATCACCAACTCTGACTCCACCCACAGTCCAAAAAGCACTACATTTTTCTGCCTTCAGGTGTCATCGTCACACCAGTAATTGCTGAAAGGCTCACCCTTTTTTCAATTCCAGTGAGCCTCCGTTTTTAAAGCTAGCCCTTCCTCTTTAAGAATGTATTATTTTGGGCTGGGGGCAGTGGCTCACGCCTGTAATCCGAGCACTTTGGGAGGCTGAGGAGGGCGGATCACCTGAGGTCAGCAGTTCAAGACCAGCCTGGCCAACATGGTGAAACCCCGTCTCCACCAAAAATATAAAAATTAGCCCGGCGTGGTGGCGGGCACCTATAATCCCAGCTACTCAGGAGGCTGAGGCAGGAGAATCAATTGAACCTGGGAGGCAGTGGTTGCAGTGAGCAGAGATCATGCCATTGCACTCCAGCCTGGGCGACAAGAGCAAAACTCCATCTCAAAAAAAAAAAAAAAGAAAGAAAAGAAAAAGAAAAAAGAAAAGAATGCATTATTCTGAGGGAAAAAAAAACCTTCCCCAATAGCCCTGGGGAAATCCTGAGGAGCTTTGAATAAGAATTAGCAAAACTTCAAAACTCCACATTTCTATTTTTTATAATTGAAAACATCCAGTCCCTTTGGGGAAAAAGAGGTCCTCTCTCAATGAAAACGACTTTAAGAAAAATTGACTACTTACTACCTGTAACATTTCACAAGTTTTATTTATCTTATTTATTTATTTAATTATTTTTGAGTGAAGTCTCACTGTGTCACCCAGGCTGGAGTGCAGTCGCCCGATCTTGGCTCACTGCAACCTCCACTTCCCAGGTTCAAATGATTCTTCTGCCTCAGCCTCCCAAGTAACTGGGACTACAGGTTTGCACCACCACGCCCAGCTAATTTTTGTATTTTTAGTAGAGATGGGGTTTCACCATCTTGGCTAGGCTGATCTCGAACTCTTGACCTCAAGTGATCCTCCCACCTCAGCCTTCCAAAGTGCTGGGATTACAGGCGTGAGCCACTGCGCCCGGCCACAAATTTTATTCTTTTAAGTCGGTGGTAGTATAATAACAATGAAAGCTAAATGGTTTCAGTACCGGATTATCCCAACTGTCTCTCATCTCTCCCTTTCATTTGTCTTGTTGTTTCATATGCAGAAATTTAACATATAATAAAGCAAAATAAGAATTATTATTTCAGAGAAAAATCTAAATTGTAGATTTACATTTAACATTTTTTGAATACAACATATAATTCTTGCCTTCTTCGGAGCAGTTACTGAAAAGAAAACATGTTCCTTCCGTTTTCACAGAATATCTAAATACACACCTTCCATGAGTTCTGTCGAGGTGGACAAAGCAGTGGAGATGGCCTTGCAGGCCTGGAGTAGCGCCGTCCCTCTGAGCTTTGTCAGAATAAACTCAGGAGAAGCGGATATTATGATATCTTTTGAAAATGGAGGTATTGTGGTACTTGGATTCCATCTACTAATTCAAAGGAGAGTTGTCCCAATACTGTTCCTTCTACATCTTTAATTCGAGTGATCACACACTCCTCCTTCGCACAGTGCTGTGATGGGCCAAGGCCAAGACCATGGCAAAGCCATGATCTTCATCTGGCCAGAAAATAGAACCAAAGGAGTTCTTAGCATGTCTTGTCATCATCAGACACAGCTGTAGAGTAGATTCACTGTAACAAACTTTCATTATGACTTTGCCCCACTAGGGGACAAATTCTTGCAGATTTTGCTTTCCCGTTAGCCACATGACCTCATCCATTCCCATGATAGTGTTTATCACTTATATAACCCCTTCTATATTAGCCAAGGATATCCTACCATGAATCCTCACTGAAGCAAATACCTTCCACAGTGACCTTGAAGCAGCTTTCCCCCTGCAGCAATGGTTAGGAAAGTATCGTTTCTGTCTTGCCCACACTTGCAGACCACCTTCTGGGAGATATGCAAGAGGTCTGCCTCCAACTTTCCCACTTCTTCTCCATTCCATTGCTCACCCTCCTCAGATAACATTTCTAGTGTCCTTGTCATTTCAAGCCCAGATCTTAATTTTAATCTGATGTCACTGGGGGGAAAACATGCTTAGGAGCTAGAAAAAAGAAGATCAAGCAAGTCCTGAGAATAAAGCCTTTAGAAATGGCCCTGGGCGTGACCTGGCCCAGGTTATGTCCTATTCCTCCCAGAAGAGAAAGGCCACCCCTGGTGAAGTGGCAGGGAAAGCAGTGTGACTCGGGGTAGCTTTGAAGGCCAAGGAATGAATGTCTGGCTCTCTCTTGATCTTTCAAGCTTACAGTCTGTCCCCTAATACACAAGCCAACCAGGGACTGTGCTGCCATTGCATGAAGTCCTCGGTGTGTGCACCTGAGTAGACTGCATTTCACTGAAACCTGAGAAATGCCATACCAAAACTTTGTTCTGTCGGCTTTTTAAAAAAAAAAAACAAACTAAAACTGGGTATCCTTACTAAGATTTTTTTAAGTGGTAAACTATATCCCTTATTTTGTTCTTCCTCCTCCTCTTCTATTAAATTTGTAATGAATTGTTAGTTAAAATAGATAATTAAACAAAAACTTAAAAAGCTTTAAAAGTTAGGATTTTATAAACACCTTTATGACTTTCATATGTTTTCCACATGAAAGTATGTCAAAATTACAGAGAGATTTTTGACACTTCCTTAAACTGTATTGTGCTATAGAAACAGAAAGCACACACTTGTTCAATTCACTATCACTGTCTCAGCTGAATCAAATTTGAAAGGTCATTCTGCTAACAGGTTCACATTCCAATCAGTGGGGTAGGTTTTGCTATCGAATGCCGCCCCCCCGCCGCCCCGCCCCGCCCCAGTCGTTCTCCTTTTGTAATCTGTGGCACATGCAAAGTCCACAGTATCCTATGTGTCAGTTAACAGATGTCATGATAGCAACAATAACCCAAAACAGGTGTTTTTTTATTGCTAATGCTTACTATCTTTGCAGTATGAATTAGCCTTTTTTATTTTTCAATGGGCTGTTACTCATTGACAAATGAACTTCCCATTATAACAAATAAATACTGAAAAGTGAATTTAAGTGTCAATGCTACTCAAAATGTCCCTTTTCTGTAATATGATGCGCCCCTCAGAATTTCTAGAAGGACTCAATCTTGTTGGCCTTTCTCCCCACTTGTTTAGATCACGGGGATTCCTATCCATTCGATGGGCCTCGGGGGACTCTAGCCCATGCATTTGCTCCTGGAGAAGGCCTGGGAGGAGATACACATTTCGACAATGCTGAGAAGTGGACTATGGGAACGAATGGTATATATGCACAATTCACCATAACCTGGAAAATATTGTACCTTCTTCTGGGCTCCATCATGAAACCTTGAGGTTCAACGTCCCAAGCCACCCTTTAACTAGGGGGGCTGGCTAGGAAAAACAAGTAAGCCAAAAATCCAAAAGGGATCACATAAGGGAAAAAAATCCACCCCAAATTGTGTTGTAGACTTGTCTGATCTGTTTCATAGCATATCATCTGAAGAACCAGTCATCCCCTTCTCAACGCACTGCTCTCGTTTCCTTCAACAACCTAGTATTTATGATTTCTTACTTATTCTTGGAAATGGGCTACATTCAGAAATGACCCAAGAGAATCAGTACTGTCCTGAGAAGTGTGTTGGGGATGGGAATAAAGTTTCCAGAATATCATACAGGTCATCTGGAAATCTTCAGTGTGAAACGTGTGGATCAAAAGGTGTAGGCTGTAATAGCAGGGAACTATTAAGGCATTTGTGGTCTAAATTTATGAATTATTGCCAAATAGCATTGCCACTATTTGTTCCAAGGCTCTGCTTTATCAGTCTACCAAACATCACTGATGATGAATAAAATGGATTGATGTGCATTTCTGTCCTCCCCCACCCCCAACCCCCTTCTAGCCAAGGGGGGAAGAATTAAAGTCACCAAAGCTAAGTGCCAGAATAACCTACCAACCTTTGAATAATCCAGTTAGGAGAAGGAGATGGGTTAACTGTAATGTGGGCATAAATTATACTATAAAGATGGAAGATGGAGAAAACAAAAACCTGTGTTGATACTGTTTTTTTCTCTCTCATATTGTCTAGGTTTTAATTTGTTTACCGTTGCTGCTCATGAATTTGGCCATGCCCTGGGCCTGGCCCATTCCACAGACCCATCAGCACTGATGTACCCAACTTATAAGTACAAGAATCCCTATGGATTCCACCTCCCCAAAGATGATGTGAAAGGGATCCAGGCATTATACGGTAAGATTATTACCTTCTTTGATGACTCACCCTGAAATTGGCAGGCATTCAGTCTCCGAATTAAAGAAAGTGCATTTTATCTGCATTGGTAAAGATCAATCTAGAAACCATAACCCCAACTATGCCTTCTTGTGAAGAGCTGATTTGCTAGTTATAAATATGTGTGTGATGTGTGATTAAATTTTGCATCTTTCCTTTACAGCATATTAGTCCTGGATAGCCTTAGAAAATATAGTCATTTGTCGGTTTATGTTTTTCCTTTGAGTGCAGGTTAGAATTTACACATTGGGAGAGGATGGATATAGTTTATAGTTCATATATGTGGTGCTTACCCATTTGCAGATAAGTGACCTTATCTCCCTAAAAATAGCAATCATGATTAAAATAACTCTGCACCCAGTCATGTAGCCAATCTGCAGTTTACAAAACAGGTTCATGTGTGTAGTCTTACACCAGCCTCACAACCAACCTGTGGGGTGTGAAGTGTTTTCCTCATTTGATAGCTGAGAAAGCTGAGGTTTGAAGACAGTAAGTATCCTAAGATATCCTAAGATAAGTTACCTCAAGTATTAATATTCTTCCAAAAGGTAATAAGGGATTATTAGAAACTCTGTATCCAATTTTCCTTAAGGGAAAAACAAACCAATTAATCCATCAGAAGGAATCTTGAAACATCCTTAGACCTTGACAATTTTTCTTTAATGGATAAAAGGCAAAAAGATCTAGGAAATTGCTTTTCCTTTGAGCCCTGGAGACCTGGTTATTAGGCTTCTGATTATCAGAGCTTCTCCCCATCTTCTCAGTGCCTAGAGACCCAGATCCCCCAACAGCTTCCTGGGGTGCTAGGAATCTGGCCCCAGGGGATCTGGAGGGTGGGAAGCCCAGAAATGGGCACACCATTCAAAATCAGTCAGATTTCACCTGAGGCACAAAAGACAAATTTCATCCCAAGAAGCTTTCAGCCAGCTCTATCCATTTCCAGGAGGGGGAAAGCACCAGATCTGCCTGACCCTTGAGGGACAGGAAAAATGCCATGAATGTCTCCATGTCACAAACTCAGCTCCAGAGCCTTGGTGGCAGTGTTCCAATGGGAAGCGATTCCTGTGGGCCACCGAGAAGGGCTGAGCTCAAACACTTGCCTTTGGAGGTCCTTGTGCCCTGGAAAGTCACTGCCTTCGGATGGCCACTGTCACTCAGCCAGGAGGCAAAGCACATATTTTGGCACAGCTATTATGACACAGGTGAACAAAATGTGAAAACATGGGTTTATGTTACAAGGGAGCATTCATATCACCCACCCGATCGCTTGCCGCTGCTGACCCTCTCCAATTTCCAGCTTCGATATTCTCCCAAAGCCTCACCCCGCCTCTGATCTTCGCCTTGATGCTAACCCTACTTCATCCCTGACCTCAAACCTCATCTGACCCTTATCAGAGGCCTGAACCTTTCCCTTCCCTGTGCCTCATTCCTTCCCTGACTCTCACCTGTAATTATGACGAGGCTTCATCAAAGAGCAGGAACCTGCCAGAGGTGACAGTCCAAGCTGTGCAGGCTCATTCTTCTGGAGCTGGGACACAGTCCTGAGAGATGCAGAGCAGGAGAGGAGACTCACTGATAGCTCTCGCAAGATTTGGGTCCATGTTTTCCAAGACGATCCACCAGAAGATACCTTTAAATAGCAAACACCTTCAGTGTACTTCAGTTTCACAAGAACTCGCTCAGTTTTTCCTGGATGCCTAGTAAAAGACAAAAGCACAGGGCAGGATGCCAAGGAGTCTATGAAAATAATAGGAAAACACACAAGAAAGTTTTCTTATTGAGAAAAAAAGAACTTAATTACAAACAAACAATCCATGCCAATTTTTAAATTACATTTCTAATTTGGAACACTTGTAGATATCAAAGAAGTTCTATAATAAAATAATAATCTTTAGAAGACTTACTATGTGCCAAGCACTCTGCTACCTGCTTTACAGGAATTATTTAATTCTCACAACAGCCTTCTGAGGTGAGTACTATTATTATCCCTCCCTTTTAACAAGTGAGGAAGCTGAGGCTTGCAAAGTTGAATAATGTGCCTCAAATCACACAGCTCAGCAACCAGGAGAGCCGGGACTCAAACCCATACCTGCCCTCAACAGCCATGATCATGATCACATGTCCAGCGTGAAAGTGTACAACCTCCCCTGGGGCTCTAGAGCAGAAGTGTGTGAACTCCAAATTCCCGTTACCATTTTGACCAACTCATTTTGAATCCTAGGACCTCGGAAAGTATTCCTGGGGAAGCCCACTCTGCCCCATGCCCCCCATCACAAGCCATCCATCCCTGACCTCTGTGACTCCAGCTCATCCTTTGACGCTGTGACAATGCTGGGGAAGGAGCTCCTGCTCTTCAAGGACCGGTAAGCCTCAGACACGCCACCGACTCTCATTGGGCCTCATCTCCACTCCCAGACAAACGTCGTCCCACAGGTCCTTGTTGCTGCCTTGTATGAAGATCATGCAGAAATGCTGTCCTATGCAGCAGAAGGGTGGTAGGCAGGGGTCTTTGGGGGAGATAGAGAACTGCCAAAACTACTGTTTGTGGTGCACCTACTGTGGTCTTGCTACTGTGCTAAGTTATGTCCATATATGGACAATATTTATTGTAACCTTTTTCACTGTAGAGATTAGAATCCCTAATGTGCAGATAAAGAAAGCAGCTCAAAGACAGCAAGCAAGTTTCCCAAGGTGACAGTTAAATGGCTGAGCTAGGACACCAGCCTGAATTGATCTGATGTCCATTTTGTTTACCACTTTATCCCTAGTGAGTGTGCATAGCAAATGCTCAATAAATATTTGGTGAATGAGGGTTGGCTAGCTGGACAGATGGACAGATAGGAGATTGGATAAAAGGATGGATGGATGGATGGATGATCAGATGGATAGATAGGTGGGTAGATAATTCCAAGGCCAGCATTCTTCCGAAACTGCTCCTTTTCAGTGCCTCCGGGCCTTTCACAGAGAAGGCAGATCCCTCTTCTCCCCCAACTCTGGTTTCTTGGGGAGTAAGGCTGTTGTCTCCATGATGCTGGTTACTCCAAATACTTCTTTCCATGGAGGCAAAGAGAAACATAGCAACATTCACCCCATTCCTCCCTTTGCTGGGGACAGAATTCAATCACACCAGAATAGGCAGAGGCATCTCAGGAGCATTCATGTGTGGCATTATTTTTTCTTCTTCTTCACTATTGCAAAAGTGTTTATGGAGCCCATTGTGGTTTTCAAGCAGTGTAGTCTCATGTATGAGAAGGTGTATGAGTAGGGGACTCCAAAAGCCCTGCAAGATAGTGAGACATGAGCTCTAAAAGTTAGGCCCATGAAACAAAACAAGAAGCAAGTACCTGGGAAGATCTAGAGAGAGTTCCCTGAGGAGCAGACGTTTGAGAAATGTGATGTTCCTTATCTTGTATGCTTTTGGGGATATATTGTTGAGCTACTATTATAAGAATACTTTTTGCTCCTTCAGCACAGAGAGAAAGTAACAAAGTATTTTTTAAAAAGCAAAATTTACCCAGAATCCCACCACCTGGAGTGTATCAGTCTGCAGGAGCTGCTATAACCAAGTACCATAGACCAGGTGGCTTAGACAACAGAAATGTATTCCTCACAGTTTTGGAGGGTAAGAAGTTCAAGATCAAGGTACTGCAAGGTAAGTTTCACCCCAAGGCCTCTTTTCCTGGCTTGTAGGCAGCCGCCATCTTGCTGTGAGCTCTCATGATCCCTTCATGTACAGAGAGAGAGGACTGAGATTTCCAGTTTCTCTTCTTATAAGTGCACTAGTCCCATCATGGGGCCCCCACCCTCATGACCTCATGAGTCAGGAATGTCCTCTTCCAGCACTAACCCTAATTACTTCTTGAAGGTAATACCATCCCATTGAAGGTAAAGGCTTCAGCATAGGAATTTGGAGGGCACATAACACAGAGCATTCCCATTGTTAAGCATATTGTTTTATGTCCCTCCTGACGTTTTCTCTGGATAGAGAGCTAGATATTGTACATATGGGAGTAGGGCGCAATGATTTCTAAAAAAATAGGATTTTACTAGTGGTGTTGATTTATAAACTTTTTCACTCACAAAATTTTATTTTTTCCTGTCAACGGATTTTAATTCTCATCCTTTATATATTATATGTTATTCCAATGAATAGATATATCATTACTTAATCAATCCCATACTGGATTATTTCTAATTTTTAAAAATTAGAAACAGTTTGAACTAAATCTTTGACAATGGACAGACATTCACTTTTCAAAGGCAAATTAGAGCTGAGCCCAGGAACCCAGGCTTTCACAGCAGAGTCAGTGGGTGGCCCTACTGCTTACTGATGAGGTGATCCCCAGCAAGTAATGTGCCAGACACATAGTGTCAATAAATGGCAGTTACTATTCTTAAGAGTGGGAATCAAAAAATATTTACAATGGCAGGGAGGCTTATAAACAACTTCAGGTATTTAGAGAACCCAATTTATTCTTTTGTGTTATTAATTTTCTGATGATTTTTTATTTTTAAGACACTGACCATTGACATTTTTCTTGAATATTACCAAAAAGTACACCAAATGGAATTGGTAAGCAATGACCCGGGAGTGGTAGACCAGGCAGGGCAGGAGGAGCTTGGAGCACAGATCTGAGTAAACTTGGCTTCACCTAAGGGATATCATTGTCAGGCTCCACACTCCCAGACACTGAAATAGCATGTAGCACTCATTCAGTGATAAAGCAGTGAGGTGCTAGCCATCATGCAGGGTGTAGCTTATTCTTGTGGTAAATATCAGAGGTTGCAGTGGGGGTAAAGGAGGTGGTGAAGTCAGACATATGATACCATTTCATTCAATGATCATTGTTTTCTTAAAAAAAAGCAAAAAAAAAAAACACCTCTGTTTATCAAACTGTGAGCATTTAGCAATTACTAATGACTACTTAAAGTCAATACATCTTTTGACATAGTCTTGATTATAAATACTGAGGGTGATAACAGACTAGTAAGTGAGACATTGGTGCAAGAGACGTCTAGAAATGAAAAATCAGCAGAGGGACCGCAGGAGAGATGGCCTGCTACAATGTACGTATCTGCTTAGTCACCACCTTCTCATCTTCTTCCATTTCAGATTCAATGAGCTACTGGGGTAGGGCAGATGATTCCAAAGAACTAGAACGAGCTATAAGCAGGATGGGGAGTCAGGAGTGGTCCCAGCACTGGACTTGCCACTAACTCACCGTGGCACCTGGAGCTTCTCTTCCTTTTCTATAAAGTGAGGGAGTTGTCTGTAATAATAGTGACTTAAAAGTGTTCAGTACTTATTATGCAAAGCACTATATTATCACATCCTTACAATTCCCCTGTGAGGCCTGAAGTATTATTCCTTTTACAAGTCATAGAAAGGATAAGCAACTTGTTCAAGAGTACATAGCTAGTAAGGGGTGGAGCTGGAATTCAAACCCAAACTAGCAAACTTCAGAATCCGTGCCCCTAACTACCCTGCCTCCTAAGGTGCTGTCCAGAGCTGGAATCCCATGACTCTATAGCTCTGATCCCCTACCAGCTGCCGCTAAAAGTCCCAGAGTGCTTGCTAAGCCTGGACAAAGAACAAAGAATTCTTTCAAGCCACAGTTCTAATGGCAACCAGGGAGCCACTGATTATGAAAGCGCTCCCAGTCTCTTCTCTCCCACTCAACAGCCTGGAATTCCCCGTCACCAACAATGATCTGTTGATGGGACATTTCAAGCTGTGGGCATAATAACCACATGGTTTGTTTCCAAAGCAAGATGGAATGCAGTACCTTTTAAAGTCACCGTGAGATTTGTCAGATATTCTCCATAGTGTATAAACGTACATTCAAATGTTCTGTGTGAAGAGAAATAAGTGTTAGCTATAATAAGTTGAGAGGCATATATATAGCTAGATATACTTAATGAACATACACTTACTTTTTATAATAGATGACAAATTTATTAAGGCTATATCACATTTCCTCAGTCACTTAGGGAAAATAAGAGAGAAATGACTGGAATTGTAGCCACACCAAAATTATATTTGCATCTATCATATTATGTTGGGTTTTGCCCAATATAATTTTAAGGGTAAAATCAAGAATATCACACACAATCATCTATAAATCTTAGAAGTACAATAGGTTTTACAAATAGAGTAAGCATAAAGGTTGATCATATCCAAATCCTTCAGTGTAGAGATAAGGAAAATAGGCACAGGTCTTTTAGCCTCAGCAGACCCTCCCATGAGACCCAGATCTTCTGACTCCAGTCCAGAATCTATCCTAGCACTAATATAGAAAGCTTTCTGCCTATGAAATGGAAATACCAAGAAAAGCACTGAAATTTAACCTGAATGAACATATGCCCATTGACTGTTATGCATTTGAGTTAGTAGGAAGAGCACTTCCGAGCTGTTCCTTTGCTTCCACACCCTCTGCTTGCAAGTGGGGCAACCAGCCACAAAGAGGAGGATGTTCATAGACTATCTAGGTTTCCCAAGGATGTCTAATATGTTTCTTCACATTTTTTTTTCCAAAATAGGATTCTATATATTTTTTTAATCTGTCACTAATTGTCACATTTTAAAAGATGTTATGTGTCTTAAATTAGAAGGCAAAGAAAAGCATTTTTGGCCGGGCGCGGTGGCTCAAGCCTGTAATCCCAGCACTTTGGGAGGCCGAGGTGGGCAGATCACAAGGTCAGGAGATGGAGACCATCCTGGCTAACATGGTGAAACCCCGTCTCTACTAAAAATACAAAAAAAAAAAAAAAAAAAAAAAAATTAGCCGGGCGTGGTGGTGGGCGCCTGTAATCCCAGCTACTCGGGAGGCTGAGGCAGGAGAATGGCGTGAACCCGGGAGGCGGAGCTTGTAGTGAGCCGAGATCGCGCCACTGCACTCCAGCCTGGGCGACAGAGCAAGACTCCGTCTCAAAAAAAAAAAAAAAAGAAAGAAAGAAAAGAAAAGCATTTTTAAGGGTTATGCAAGTAGGAATTGGAGAGAAGAATGGATGTATTAATAAAAGGCATTCTGAGGACTCACCAGTGGGATTAGGACACTAATTTGGTGAGAAGAACAATGGAAAAGGGAAAGTTAAAGCAGGTAGAAGCCTCATGGCTGAGAGTATAATATACAGCATTGTTCACTTAGAAAAATTCAGAGGATTTGTTGGGAACACGATGTAAAACAGGGTTAGATGTATCAGATTTAAAGCAATGACAATTTTCACGGAGTTTCATAGAAATAAGCTAGTGCTCAGGGAAGAGGTCACAGTTGGAGGCTTCGTGGGTTTTGAATCTCCCACATAAAGGAGACATTTAAAGATGTGGAGATGAAAAACAGCTCTGTAGAGAGAATGAGGAGAAAGAAAAAAAGTCTAAAGAATGAGCCTAGGAAATAGAAGAAAAGGATTTAATAACAACCAGAGAGATTCAGCACTCCGAAAATAATAACGATAAGAATAGCCGAGGCCGGGCGCGGTGGCTCACGCCTGTAATCCCAGCACTTTGGGAGGCCGAGGCGGGCGGATCACGAGGTCAGGAGATCGAGACCATCCCGGCTAAAACGGTGAAACCCCGTCTCTACTAAAAATACAAAAAATTAGCCGGGCGTAGTGGCGGGCGCCTGTAGTCCCAGCTACTTGGGAGGCTGAGGCAGGAGAATGGCGTGAACCCGGGAGGCGGAGCTTGCAGTGAGCCGAGATCCCGCCACTGCACTCCAGCCTGGGCGACAGAGCGAGACTCCGTCTCAAAAAAAAAAAAAAAAAAAAAAAAAGAATAGCCGACACTTCGTGGTCATTTGCAACGTGCTATGTGTTGTGCTAAGAATTTTACAGATATTCACTCATTTAATCCATACTGTCATTGTCCTCAGCTGGAATTATAACTTAGTTCTGTTTGACATCAGAGACAAAACCCCTGTGGTGAAATCCCAAATAAATCTGGGAAAAAAGGGTGTATTTTTTTTAAGTGATCAACAGTGGAAAATGTTGCCAAGGTCACCAGACTGAGGACTGAAGAAAAGGGACTGAGTGGCCAGGATAGTTTGGAATATAGTCACAGCAGAGCAGTGAGGAAGAAAGCCAGATCATGGAAAGGGGTTAAAGAGCAAATGGGGCCAGGCGCAATGGCTCACACCTGTAATCCCAGCACTTTGGGAGAGGCGGCGAGTGGATCACTGGAGGTCAGGAGTTCAAGACCAGCCTGGGAAACATGGTGAAACCCTGTCTCTACTAAAAATACAAAAAAAATTAGCCAGATGTGGTGGCAGTGCCTTGTAATCCCAGCTTCTCAGGAGGCTGAGGTGGGAGAATCACTTGAACCCTGGAGGCAGAGGTTGCAGTGAGCTGAGATTGCACCACTGCACTCCAGCCTGGGTGACAGAGCGAGACCCTATCTTAAAATAAATAAATAAATAATAAAAAGCAAATGGGGGGAAACAAAAGAGTTGAGATAGATCATTCATTTGAGAAGCTTGTTAATAACAAAAGAAGTTAAGATAATAGTTGGCAGTGGCAGCAGGGCCAAGACAGGATTTCAAAGAGGGAACTGTTCATGTTTGAAGACAGTGGAGAAAAAGAAATACAAGATGCTACAGGAAGGAAAACAATAACAGTAACCACTATTTCTGGAGAGTAGATTTGAAATTGGGAATTCCCAGGATGCCATGGGCTTGAGGTAAGCCCACCATGGAACAGGAGGAAGTCTTCCTCCTTCGCATTCTCCCTGGGAATGTGTCTTTTCTGGCTGTAAGATTACTTCCCTGAAAGCCAACAAATGGCATTGTGTTTACTTAGAGCGGTTCTCTGTGATCTATTAAGAATTCAGATAAAGAAGCAGAGGTGAAGTAACATCCCTGACTCATTGTCATTTCTTCTGAACCACCTGATTCTGAGAGAGGAGGGGCCCTTTACATGTTCACAGGTTATGGCTTATGAATATGGATTTTCACGGGCTCTTCAGATGGGTACAAACATTCTTAATTTAAGGGCACTATGCACAGCTTTGACTATCATTAATCCACAGCACTGGCTACAGATGGGTTTTTAGTTGTATGAACTATATTTTTCTTGGGTTCAGTGAGGTGGATGATTCATGGTTGATTTCTTGGCTTCTGACTCATCATGAACTAAGCAGCCCTGGTTAATGAGTCCCATAGAATGAATGGCTTCTCAGCCAATGACATGACAGTTTGTACTTCAAAGTTTCCAGTGAAGCAAACTAAGAAGGAAACTTGGCTATATTGATAAACTCTAAGTTTATATTCTGCATATCATCTATTAATAAATTTGTGGAGTAAAAACATGTCTTTTTAAAGTGTCTACAAATAAGAATAGTCCTGAATTTATAAAACACTTTCATATGCATTATTTCAATTGATCCTTTTAAGTGTTTGTGCAGATATTATTCTCACTCTTATTTGACAGTAGGAAATTGAGTCTCAGAAAAATTGAATGACTCACACGAGGTCACACAGCCAGTTATAAAACAAGGTTTCAAGCATTTCTTGTTCTGTTCACTGCACCACATCACCTGATCTCAGGGGAGTGAGCAGTAATTAAACAGAGAATCAAAAAGATAGAGGCCGGCATGGTGGCTCATGCCTGTAATCCCAGCACTTTGGGAAGCCGAGGCAGGCAGATCACTTGAGGTCAGGAATTCAAGACCAGCCTGGCCAACATGGTCAAACCCCATCTCTACTGAAAAAAATACAAAAATTAGCTGGGCAGGTGTGGTGACACGTGCTTGTAGTCCCTGCTACTTGGGAGGCTGAGGCAGGAGAATCGTTTGAACCCAGGAGGCAGAGGTTGCAGTGAGCTGAGATTGCGCCGCTGCACTCCAGCCTAGGCACCAAAGCAAGACTCCATCTCAAAAAAAAAAAAAAAAAAGATAGAAGAAAGACACCCCTTCCCACAAATAGGAAAGAAGATGACAGAGATCAGAATCTAAGAGAGTGTGAGACTAAAGACGATGAAAATTGGGCCACTCATTCAGCTTGTGCTGAGTTGCCTTGATTGTCCAGCAAATAAAGGGTGAAGGCATCTCCTGAAAATGAAAGTCTGATGGGGTCAGCTTAGGTAGGTGGAGAATGATGACTGGGTAAAACAAAAGAAGACCTTTAAGGCTCAACAACATGCATCAAGTCCCTGGATGCACCAGGCAGCATGCTAAGCCCAAGGATAAAAAGATGAATAATACATGATGCTGGAGGAGGAATTCAAGGAACTAGCAAAGAGCTGCAAGAGGCCAGGTGAAAGTTATCAGAGACCAAATCTCAAATTTGATGAGTTAGTTACTGTTCTTTGGTAAAAGTGAATGAAAATTTTAAAGAATATGAAACTTGTTGATCAGGTAAGTTCCAATCATCTCTCTGGCACCCGTTCATTTAGCCAACAAATGTGTATTGAACCCTGACTATGTGCCAGCATAGCATAAGATAGTGGGTACATGAAGATAAACAGTGCAGCTAAATATCTAATCAGCAGATCTAAAATATCAATAAACTCCATTGTTTTGCCTTCCTTATCAAAGATCAAATTATAGACTAGTGATATAATCTGTTTATTTTCATTCCAATACATCCTGCAGCTGTTCTTTTCCAAGAGGCTTATAGATTTTTTTGTTTATATTTTAAATCCATTCACAGATGTATAAGGAAGTTACTTGCTATCATTGTTTTTGTGAGTTTTACTTCACTTATTACTACAATCTATAGGTCTAAGGATGCAAATTGTCTGAGTATGTTACTGTTTTATTGCCACAAGACATCATTTTTTTCATTAGTTTACTGAAATTTTTCATGACTACAGATTCTTTTTGAAATTTGTGATAATTTGGCCAGGCATGGTGTCTACGCCTGTAATCTCAGCACTTTGGGAGGTGGAGGCAGGCAGATCACCTGAGGTCGGGAGTTCGAGACCAGCCTGACCAACATGGAGAAACCCCACCTCTACTAAAAATACAAAATTAGCCGGGAGTGGTGTCACATGCCTGTAATCCCAGCTACTCGGGAGGCTGAGGCAGGAGAATTGCTTGAACCCAGGAGGCGGAAGTTGCCATGAACTTAGATCACGCCATTGCACTCCAGCCTGGGCAACAAGAGTGAAACTCCATCTCAAAAAAAAGAAAAGAAAAGAAATTTGTCATAATTTATATAAGTGATGGATAGCATTTATTTCTATCCTATGTGCACATTATATACATTACACTACATCATAGTGGTGTTTAAAGCAGGGTTTCTTAACATTGACACTACTGGTATCTTGAGCCAGATAAGTCTTAGTTGTGTTGAGCTGTCTTTTGCATTAGGATGTTTAGTGGCATCCCTGGCTGTACTCATTAGACTCCAATAGCACTGCTCATCCCCACCTGTGACAACCAAAATTGTCACCAGATATTGCCTAACGTCCCCCAGGGTGCAAAATCACACTTGATTTACAATGACTACTTCAATTTAGTCCTCACGATATCCTACATCAATATTTCCTTAGTAAGGAATTTGAGAGTCTACCACTTGTGAAAAGTTTCAAGAGTACAGTTTTCCTTTGCCTGAGCTCGTAACTACTACCCTTTACTACTTCTCATGTTGAGTCATTCAAGATATCACTGTCCCAAAACTTCAACTAAAAAGTAGGACTTAGCTTTGCCTAGAGTTGCTTGTTGATTTTTAAGTGAGAAATGCAAGAAAATGCATCTGGCTTTAGAGTGATCAAAGAGAAAGCAGCTGGAAGTCTACTACACCTCATCAGAGACATCATTCAGACAGAGCCTAGTTTTGGGAAGACATATCTGCTCCTCTACCTCCCCACTTTCCCCACATGGCCTCATCATTATAATATTCTTAAATGCACACTTTGTGTCTTAGCACAGCAACTTATAAGAGAAAACATTTCAGAGCTATGTATTGAATTGCATTAATTGGAACACACTTGCTCTTCAGGTTTCATCCCAGGTTCCCAATTAATCCAAGAAGTAGTTGCGGGATTCTGGATACCCAAAACTGTATTCATTACGAGGTGGTGGAGAGAAAAGGGAAAAGGGAAGCAGTCCCTCTGGCCTTCAGAAAAGCCCAGGTCTGATTGGACAAAGGGTCAAAGTACAAACAAAGAAAAAACCAGAGGTCACGAGACTGAGCATGAGCAAGTAGGTGAGATCGGACATGTGACTAACCTCAAGGCAGCTAGAGCCTGAGCTGGGCCGTCTCTGCCCCTCACCACCAGTGACCTTTGGGCCAGCAGCCCTTCTGGATCTCAGTTTTTCATCAGTTAAAACATACGCTTTAGATAAGGCTGTGATGTTTGGGGCTTGTGTATTGTCTATGGAGGGTGCCCAATTACCAGGTAATTAAGGCCTAAGCAAATAATACCTTTTCAAACTAACAGTATCTATCCATATGGCACCTTACAGTTTATAATACACTTTCATATTCATTATCTCATTTTATCCTTATAATGGTCTCATGATATTGGCCAGGAAATTATTTTTCCCATGTAAGCTGATTAAACTGAGGCTTGGAGAGGCTGGTCAGCAGTGGAGTTAAAACTCTAGCCCACATCTTCTCAAACACAATGTGTTTTTCCTTCTGCACCATGATGCCTCTTACGAAACATGAGGAAATATTTATCTTTTCCCAATACATTCCTTTTTTGGATTTTATCATCAGCTTAAGTTGCCTCATTAGGGATACCTTTATTAAGCCCCTAAATGCAATGGGATATACTTCTTGTGTGTTCTCAAAGTATCCTGAACTTAACTCTTCGTAGCACCAATCACTCTGATCGTTACTAATCAGTCTCTACTATTAGATTGTAAACATATTGAGGGCAGGGCCGACATCTTCTTCAGTGTTTCATCCTTGATGTCCACCACAGTGCCTGATGATAGGTGCTCCATAAATATTTGTTAGATTAACTGAATAGGAAAACTCTACATAAAATTTGGAGAATTCCTAAATTAGCCACTAGGAAAGTTCAATGTCAAAATTTTATTACAGTTTCCCAGTCCCCAAATAATCCTGTGAAGTAATTCTGGGCTCCTAAGAAGACAAGTAAATTATTCGTGTTTTATAAAAAATGATTTTCATCTTCAAACTATAAAATAGAGCACATTACATTGTCAGTTTCAATCCAGTACCCTCATGGGTATACTGCCACAATTTTATGACTATAATATTGGGTAAATGGATAGATGAATTGCTAAGCCTTAAATCAATATGTGTGTACTAGATTTTCTGTTAACTAGCCATCAGACTCAAAGATGTAAATGCTTCCAGCGCACAATTATGTAGGCAACACCATAACTTATGATTATTAATGTTTTCGCTATTTTTACAGGGTCTAATCAGCATGACTCAACCATAGACTTCTGGTTCATTTACATACTATTCACAATGTCCACCTTCTGGATCATAGTTACCTTTGTAAGATTTTAACTTTTAAAAGATCAGAAAAGGAAAGAGAAATTTGTATCAAGTGATATTTGGAATGGGGGGGTGCATAGCTTAAATGTGTAAATAATTGATACTATTACTTTGCTATATTCTTTCATTATTTTGAACATCCTTAAATAAACGAAGGAGAGGGGATCACAGAAATGCTAAGACAATGAAAAGGGAGTAGAAACTGTTTACCAAGGTCCAAAAAGTTGTGTTTTTCCTTAAAAACATGGCAAGGGTGGAATGGACATGGTCATTCATGTCTGTAATCCCAGCACTTTGGGAGGCCGAGGCAGGTGGGTCACTTGAGGTCAGGAGTTCGAGACCAGCCTGGCCAATGTGGTGAAGTGAAACCCTGTCTCTACTAAAAGTACAAAAATTAGTGAGGCATGGTGGCACACAGCTGTAGCCCCAGTTATTCGGGAAGCTGAGGCAGGAGAATTGCTTGAACTGGAGAGGTGGAGGTTGCAGTGAGCCGAGGTTGCAGTGAGCCAAGATCATGCCACTGCACTCCAGCCTGGGCCAAACAGCAAGACTCCATCTCAAAAAAAAAAAAAAAGAAAAGAGAAAAAAAACAAGGCAAGGCAAGGCAAGAGCAAAGGGCATTTAGTGAGTGGCCTCTGAGTACATTTCAGTCAAAGTGCAATTTTATATGTAAATCAATCATTGATCTTGATTTTTTTTTTTTTTTTTTTTGGAATGTCCCATAGGATTTTCTGGAGACGGCAGGTTCACTTGCGGACAGGAATTCGGCCCAGCACTATTACCAGCTCCTTCCCCCAGCTCATGTCCAATGTGGATGCAGCTTACGAAGTGGCTGAGAGGGGCACTGCTTACTTCTTCAAAGGTACCCTACAGATCCCTCAAAGAAAGAAATGGCAGGGCTGCAGTGCCCCATTCATTTGGCATATCTAGCCCTGCCAGCATTTTTCCAGTCATCATGGAGCACATTTCAGTTGCTCTTTGTCCTCAGGTTGGGTATGAAATGCCACCCTACATTTGTTATACCCGACATTGTGTAACAATGGAAATGATGGCAGTGGCCCTGAGAACCAAGCCTGTTAGGCTAGTAAGGCACTGTGTTAGGTGATAGTGCCTAGGGAGCTAGAAACATGGTCCCTGCCACACAGGACCTCTGCTCAGAGTGACAGTGTATACTCTACTGACATCCTTTAATAAATAAAAGCCAGTGTGGAACTCAGTGGGAGGTAAACAATACCCTTACTTCTATGCTGTGGTCAGAAGCAGCCAGGAGAGGAGGACGCCTTTGACTTCAGGAGGTGGACACATATACCAATCTCTGGCTCTAGCCCTTTACTATTTGAGTGACTTTGGAAAGTTATCTAATGGCTCTGAGCTCCATTTCTTCCTCTGCAAAGTGATTATAGCAATATAAACCTTGAAGGTGCGTTGTGACAATGGCGAGCCAATGGAAGTTATCCAGTAGGTGATAACTATCAGTTTTAGCTTATATGTTCTTGATACTGAGGGATAAGGTTAGAAAGCAAGTGCCAATTTAAGTAAAAATCATGACATTTGCATGTCACTTGCCCATTCTCTCTCGTAGATCTATGAAGGTGAAATGAGATTATAAATGAAGGATATCTTGAAAGACATAGTATGTTAAATGTAAAACACAATTTTATCAATGTTATTGCTTTCTTAAGGCATAACTAGGGACTTTTGCCTCCAGGGAAGTTTGAAGTCTTTTACTGAACTGAATAGTTAGAAGCTTATATCTCTTGTTGGGTTATAGCCATGGCAAGTATCCCATAAACTAACCCCATTTAAGAGCCTTCATAGAAATCTTTATGAGAGAAGTGCATCACCAAGTGGTGCAGAGTTTTCGTAAACTTTAATTTCTGTTTTCAGGTCCCCACTACTGGATAACAAGAGGATTCCAAATGCAAGGTCCTCCTCGGACTATTTATGACTTTGGATTTCCAAGGCACGTGCAGCAAATAGATGCTGCTGTCTACCTCAGGGAGCCACAGAAGACCCTTTTCTTTGTGGGAGATGAATACTACAGGTATGGCTTTTTTCCTTTTTACTATCTATCTTTATTTAATGAGAATGATTTTAAAAAGATAAAAACCCTTCCACGAAAGAATGCAAAGCAAGTTTGCGATAGGCCCGTTGACTCTTCTCGGCCACTGGGGTGCGATTTACAGATGGTTGACTGTCTTCAAGATATGGAACCATCAAAATGATGAGTGAAACCTTCATTCAATAATCCCATTGTTTGGTCTGTAGGACTTGACACATCCTGATCTTTCAATGCACTCATTAACCGGACACCTAGTGGCCTAAAAGCGTAGATGCAGCATCACCAAATCCCTAACTACCCACTGAGAATGCCTGACTTTGCTGTTATGTGACCATCAAATGCATCCCACAATACTCCATGATTTGGGGCAAAATGGAGATGGTCCTGACCATGGGTCTCTTTGAAGGATAGTTCTGCTGGAAGGAAAAGGCCTTATTGCTTAGTCCTTTTATCCAGCCTAGAATATGAAAATCCTTCTTATCCAAAGGAAAACATATAATTTCAATTCCTGTCCTCAGGGGCTTCGTATGAGCAAGTCTGAATCAGATGTCATCTGTCATCCAATCACTGCACATAGGGTCACACCTTATCTTAGCTACTGAGTTTCTATCCTTAGTTGACTCATGTTGAGGAATGAGAGGAGCTCCTTCAAAGATCACCTCTGCCTCTGCACAGCTTTCCTCTGTTCCCAGTTTTCTCTTTTTTGCCTGTTTATCTAAACATCCGAAGAGAAAAGCAAAAGCAGATTCTAAGCAGGTGACAATGCTAGACACCTTAGGCTCATGAAAGGGTCTTGAAGAAAACAGGAGAGCACCCAACTTTGTTCCAAGAGCTTTCATTTTATTTTCTATCACGTATTTTAAATAATCATTTTTGTGGTATAAAAGAAATTTCAAAACAAATATTTGTCATCTTATTCTATCTGATTCATATTTTCTTCCCCAATTTGGAGTTGAGAAAATAATATAAGTGAGGCACATAAATATATTTCATAAGAAAGCAAATTTCTTTTATAAAGAAGGAATTGCAAACAAATATGGACTCTGCTGACTCTTCTGGGCCACTGAGAGCCCTGGAAGCATTGCTCAGTGTCATGCGGTGTCATGAGCTGTCACTTCCAGACCAGTGTTTAAGCCACTAGGCCAGCTATTTTTCTCTCAGACCTTCCTTTTTAAAACATGATGACAGGAATTCACTTATTAAGGCCCTAATATCTGCAAGACAGAGTATGATTCTCTAAAGTCTTTCTTTAAGATAAGGTGGCTGTAGTCACACAGCAGATATACAGGAAGATAGGTATTGAGAAATCCAATTCCCCTGGTGAATTTTCAGAGAATAAAATCAAGAGATGCATGTGTAAGCACGTCTGTTGGAGTATGAGGGCGTTTATGTTAGGATTATTCAGTTAATGTTTTAAAGGGTATTCACAGTGTGATTCTCAATGGGGGAATTATCCACTCTCCCATTGTCTCTCTTGCCCATTTATCACCTGATCTTTGGTCTAATCTACCACCCACCAGCACCTGCAGTAAAGCATATACCTTCAGCCAGGCTGGATTGAAACTTAACAGCTAAGTTAAGAGATGTGGGCAGAGGTTCAAAATTCTCTGTAAGTTTTAGGATGGGGAGGTCAAGGCTCTCTGATTTTAGTGATGCTCTTTGCCCCCAGAGAAAATCGTACTGTACCTTTCCAACTGGGCCTCTGTGAGTGTCTACTAAGGAGAAGTCTTTTGTAATCTAGATAAATAGATTCACCGAAAAGTTGGTCTAGGGCATTAACTAAAATGTTAACAAGCTCATTTTTCTGGTTAAGGAAGGAAACCATCGTAGGCACTTCTAACCTTCTCAGGTTACAGAGGGTATTAAGTGATGTAATGCATGCAGACACAGATACCTAGCAAGGTCTGCATAGAGCAGGTGCTCAAAAAGAGTTATTCTTCAGCAACAGAACTTATATGGTAACTAACAAATAATTTCTTAACAAGTTGTGATGCATAACAAATTGCTTAAACCTCAATATTTCTCTGAGCGGCGATTCAGTCAAAAATCTGGTCAAAGGGAATTTCCTTTTTAAATACTGAAGGCCCCTAACATTGGACTGAAATTGCTGCTTTTGGCAAAACATAGACAATCCCTTCAGCAATGGCAGTCTTCTACTTTACGCACTCCAACACATACACTGGTGTATGCAACAAGGAGTAAGACAACCCTCACCTATAGCTCAAAAGTTTAGAGAAACCTATTGTACTGGCCCTATTCATAAACACCCCTGAATTCTGCACAGTGTGCTTTACAGGGCCTCATATGTGTGACATCTTATTGTCATATGAAGCCTTCTATTGGTTTGAAATTTAATTTAGCCACTAGTATCAGAGACCCCAAAATAATTGTGGCTTAAACACATGAGGGTTTGTTTTTCTCATATGTGTAAAAAGTCTGACAGTTTAGAGCCAGTATGGCAGGCTGGTGATCAACAGGGACCCAAGTTCCCTTAAACATTTTGCTCTGCTATTCTTAACACATACTTGCATTCTCGTGGTTGCCTCATGACTCGAGGTGGCCAGGGGAGCTTTAGTCATTATGTCCCTACTGTAGAAGGATGGAACTGAGAAGAAAGGACAAAGGAGATAAATGAAGTTTTGTAGGTAAGCACATGGCCATACTCAAAAATATGGAAGGTCCCAAGCCTCAAGTTATGGAATAAGAATTTCACTACATTGACATCCACTGAAAGTGTGTTAGGTTTTATTTGTCTTAGACATTTCTCAAGTTCTTCCTTGCTCCTCATGCTAGTTCAGTCTGTGACGTAAGTAATGTGCCAAGGGAAGAAAAGTCTCTGGAAATTCTGCAAGAACTCCCAGAGTTTGGACCCAGTTTTAGTGAATGAAATGCCATGAGGAAATGACCGAGGAACTTCCTCCACAGAGGATTGAAGGTTGGCTTGGGGCCAGGTTGGATTAGGCTCTAAAAGGGAGGACCCATGTCTCTGTGTGGTAGTTACTTATAGGGGAGCAGCGCACAGAGGACCACAATGTCAAATCCAAATAGGAGGCTCTACTATGTTGATGCCGTTACATGCTACATCAGCAAATGACATATTGGTTAAACTTTGCCAACTAGAACCACTTCCCCTTACTTTTATTCCTTCCTATTCTCTTTCTAGCAGGCCCTAATGGTTCCATCAGTTTTTCATTTTTTACATTATTTCCACTACCTATGGCTGATTTCTCCTTTTACATATTCTTCCTTGCCTACCAGTAGCAGAGCAGTGGCTACATCAAGGGATTTCTGGCAGCAGGGGGTGTCACCACCTCCATAATTCTTCAAGATAGTCAATGATTTCTGAATTTTATGCAAAGTGACTTGCAAATCTGCAGATCCTACCCCTTTTCAATCATATTGCCCCTCTACCCTGAATCACTCTTTCTGTACAGTCAGACTCGGGGCATCATTGCTGCAAAGTAGAATACGTCTTCCACATTCTCTTCTTCCTGAATGCCTCAGAAATACTAGAAATAGATGTTTTTATTTGAGGATTTTATAGTCACCATAAATAAATAAATAATAAGTAATAAAAATAAGATGAAATAGGGTTCAAAAATCTTGTTTTTTCATGTTTTAAATTTTAAAAAACTTATGACTAAACTACCACATTCAACCTACATTTATTAGACATATTATGTGTCAGCCTGTGTACTAGTGACATTCAAGAGAAGGTGTAGAGTTTGCTGGTTAAGAATGGGCAGAAGTAAAAAGTCCTAGTGTTAATCTTAACTCTACCAACAATTATCTGACAATTTGGATCACCTTTCTGTCTGTTTCATCATCTGCAAAATGGGGGTAGAAATAGTATACACTTCCTAGAATTATGGCATTGAAAGGGAAAAATGTGAAATGCCTGTCACATAATAAGCATTCAGCTCATGTTGGGTGTTATTAATGCCCTCAACAGATCTTACAGTTGAGGGTAAATATATAGATAAATAACTAACAGAAATCCAAGTGCCAAAAGTGCTCTGATACAAGACTTCATGAAGATCAGTGGGTCAAAACAAAGAGGAAATGGCCAACTTAGCAAAATTATCAGGAAATAATTCTTAGAGGAAGTGATGGCTGAGCTCCACTTTGAGAGTTGTGTAGGAGTTTCCCAGACAGAGGGTGAGGTGCGGGTGGGTGGCTTCCAGGCAGAGAAAGCAGTTGAAGCAAATTTACTGATGCACAAAATAGCATGTGAGCATGGGGAAAACCTCAAACAGTTCAGTATGACTAGAATATAGACTAAAATCAGAACGATGGCCCAAGGAAACCAGGTTACAGATCATGTAGTGTCAATGCCTTTCTAGGGAGATCAGTGTTTATTCTGCAGAGAAGAGGGACATGTTAAATACCTTCCATAAGGGAGAAACTCAATAAGATTAATGTTATAAAAATAACACTCCCCTAGCAATGTGACTGAATTAGAGGGAAACGAGACTTGAAGCCAGATAAACTAGTTAGGCCAAAAGGCAGTGGAAAGCATACTCAAAGTTCTCAAAGAAAAGACTCAACCAAGAATCTTATATCCACTAGAGTTATCTTTCAAAAATGAAGGAGAAATAAAGACATTCCCAGAGAAACAAAAACTGAGAGAATTTGTTACTTGCAGATTGCCTGACCAGAGATACTAAAGAAAGTTCTTTAGGCTGAAAGCAAGTGAGCTTAGATAGCAATTCAAGCCCCCACAAAAATCCAGAGAGCATCAGTAGTAAGTGTAATTATGTAAAAGACAGTATAAATGCATATTTCTTCTTCTTTATTCTCTTAATTTAAAAATGGAAAATCAATTATATTAAACAATGTGCATATAATTGTATAATTGTATTGTTAAGGCTATGACATGTAGAAATATACTTGTCAATAATAATATGAAGGAAGTAGGTGGGAGCAAAACTGTATTTGGCTAAAGAAAAGACACTAGATGGTAACTAAAATTCACAGGAACAAAAGAACAGAACCAGAAATGGCAACTAAGAAACTTAATATAACAAAAGCTGCAAATATATACATCTTCTCTTTTCTCTTCTCAGCTTCTTTAGAAGACATTAAATTATATAAAATAATAATTATAACAATTAATTTGGGGCTTCAGATGTAGATAGATACAATAGGTATAACAATAATAACACAGAAGGAAGGGGAGAGAAATAGAGTTATATAGGAGTAATGTTTCTATATCTCACTGGAATTAATTTAGTATAAGTCTTAAGCAGATTTTTATAAGTTAAGATGTATATGGCAAGCCCTACATCAACCACTAAGGAAATCACTTAGGAAAATACAGTTAAACAATTATAAAAGAAATTAAAATGTTACATTAGAAAATTTTTACTAATGCAAAAGAAAACAGTGAGGATGAATAGAGGAACCAAAAAGACATGAGTTATACAGAAAACAAAAAGTAAAATGGCAAGCATAAATTCAACTTTATCAATAACATTAAATGTGAATAGATTAAACCGTCTAATCAAATGGCAAAGACTGCCAGATTGGATTGTAAAAAACAAGACCCACCTATATGCTGTCTACAGCAGATACATTTTAGGTTCAAAGATACAAATAGATTGAAAGTAAAAGAATGGAAAAAATATATCATGCAAATAGCAACCATAAGAAAGCTTGAATGGCTATACTATTATCAGGCAAAACAGACTTTGAAATAAAAAATGCTACTAGCAATAAAGAAGGACATTTTATAATGACAAAAAGTCAATATACCATGAAGATGTAATTATAAACATATGTGAATCTAACACAGGGCCCCAAAAATGTATGAAGCAGTAATTGACAGAAATGAAGGGATAAGTCAATAATGAAACAATAATAGTTAAAGATTTCAATACCCCACTTTCAGTAATGGATAGAACAACCAGAGAGATCAACAAAGAATAAAAGACTTGAACAATACTGTAAACCAACTAGACCTAACATATATCTATAGAATGCTATACCCAAAAAGAGCAGAATACACATTCTTTTCAAGTGAACATGGAACATTCCCCAGAATAGACTATATGTTAGGCCACCACACAAGTCTCAACAAATTTAAAACAACTTAAGTCGTACAAGTATCTCTTCTGATCACAATAGAATAAAGCCAGAAATCAATACCAGAAAGACAACTAGAAAACTTACAAATATGTGGAAATTAAACAACATACTATTAAACAACCAATGGGTCAAAGAAGAAATCACAAGGGAAATTAGAAAGTACTTAGAAATAAATGAAAATTAAAATACAACATACCAGAACTTATGAGATGCAGTGAAAGCAGCACTCAGAGAAAAAAATTATAGCTATAAAAGCCTATATTTAAAAAGGAGAAAAATCTCAAATCAATAACTTCACCTTCCACTTTGAGATAATGGAAAATCAAGAACATATTAAACCTAAAGCAAGAAGAAAGAAGGAAATATAAACATTATAATGGAAATAAATAAAATAGATGATAAATAAACAATTTGAGAAAACCAACAAAACTGAAGGTTGGTTCTTTGAGAAAATAAACAAAGGTGACAAACTTTCTACTAGATTGATCAAATAAAAAAGAAACAATTTTTTTTTTTTGAGGCGGAGTCTTGCTCTGTCCCCCAGGCTGGAGTACAGTGGCATGATCTCGGCTCACTGCAAGCTCCGCCTCCCGGGTTCACACCATTCTCCTGCCTCAGCCTCCTGAGTAGCTGAGACTACAGGCACCCGCCACCATGCCCAGCTAATTTTTTTTTGTATTTTTTAGTAGAGATGGGGTTTCACCGTGTTAGCCAGGATGGTCTCGATCTCCTGACCTCGTGATCCGCCCACCTCAGCCTCACAAAATGCTGGGATTACAGGTGTGAGCCACTGTGCCCAGCCAAAAGAAAAAATTTAAATTACTAAAATCAGAAATAAAAGAGGAGACATTGCTACTCACCTTACAGAAATAAAAAAGGTCATAAAGGAATACTATGAACAATTGTATACCAATAAATTAGATAAATGAAA
The DNA here is from genome assembly GCF_000001405.40 of Homo sapiens. Lineage (NCBI taxonomy): Eukaryota > Metazoa > Chordata > Mammalia > Primates > Hominidae > Homo > Homo sapiens. Next base: position 102,586,402 of record NC_000011.10, on the reverse strand, counting down.
TGGACAAATTCATAAGAAGACACAATCTAGTAAAACCGAGTCAAGAAGAAATACACAGTCTGAATATGCCTACAATAAGAAAAGATATTAAAGCAGTAATCAAAAACTATCCACAAAGAAAAGCCCAGGCCCAGAAGGGTTCACTGGTAAATTCTACCAATACATTGAAAGAAGAATTAATGTCAATTTTTTTACAAACTCCTCCAAACCTTAGAAAAGAACAGAATTAATACCAGTTTTTCACAGACTTTTCCAAAACATAGAAGAGTGGAAAACACTACCTAACTCACTGAAGTCAGCATTATCCTTATACCAAAACCACACAGAAACATGACAAAAAAATAAAGCTTCAGACCAGTATCTATTGTGAATATGGCTACAAAGATCCTCCAAAAACACCAACAACCTAAATCCAGCAACGTATGAAAAGAATTATACACCAAGACCAAGTAGGATTTGTCCCAGGAATTCATCCAAAAATCAATTAATGTAATGTCCCATATCAATAGAATAAAAACAAAAATCATATGATCATCTCAGTAGATACAGTAAAAGCATTTGGCAAAATTCAACATTATTTCATGATAAAAAAACATTCAGCAACCTAGGAATAAAACCTAGGAATAAAAATAACCGTTTTCAAATCAATAAAGAGCGTCTATGAAAACCCACAGCTGATGGCATAGTCAGTGGTGAAAGACTGGATGCATTCCTCCTAACATCAAAAACAAAACAAAAATTTCTGCTCTCATCTCTCCATTCACATTGTACTGGAGGTCCTAACCAAGAGAATTAAGCAAGAACGAATGAAATAAAAATTATCCAGATAGGAGAGAAAGTAAAACTATTTCTTTTTGCATATGGTATTATCTTTTATATAGAAAAACCCTAGAGAATACTCTAAAAAAACTTTTAGAACTAATAAATGAGTTCAGAAAGGTTGCAAGGAATGAATTCAATGTGTTAATCAATTGTGTTTTTATACACCTGAACAAACAATTTGAAAATGAAATTAAGAAAGCAATTCCAACTGGAATAGCATCAAAAAGAGTCAAATACTTAAAAATAAATTTAACAAAAGAAATGGAAAATGTTGTTTTGTAGTCTGAAAACTACAAAACATTGTTGAAAGAAATTAAGCAAGATCTAAATGGAGTGATATCTCATGTTCATGGATGAGGATATTTTTAAGATGATAGTAGTCCCCAAATTGATCTGTAGATTCAACACAATCTCTTTCAGAATACCACTGGTTTCTTTGTAGAAATTGACAAGTTTTTCTTGAAACTCGAAACTCACGGGCCTAGAATAGCCAAAATATCTTTAAAAAGAACAAAGTTGGAGGATTCATACTTCCCAATTTCAAAAGTTACTACAAAGAAACAGTAACTAAGACTGTGATATTTGCATAAGGATAGCCATACATGTTAATAGAATAAAATTTAGAGTAAGGAAATAAAGCCATGTATCTATGGGCAACTGATTTTTGACAACGATATAAAGTCATTCAAAGGAGAAAAATGGTATCTTCAACAAATGATGCTGGAAGGAGTGGATAGCCACATGCAAAAGAATGGACTTAGACCCCAACCTCTCAACATATACAAAAATTAACTCAAAATTGATCAAATTCCTTAAATATAAGAGCTAATCTGACAAAACTCTTAAAAGAAAATGTAAGATAAATCTTCGTGATCTTGGATTTAGCAATGAATACTCAGATACAACATGAAAAGCATAAGCCAAAAAGAAAAAAAGGACAAGTTGGATTTACTCAAAATTAAAAACTTTTCTGCTTCACAGTACACTATCAACAAAGTAAAAAGACAACCCAGGGAATGGGAAGAAATGTTTGTAAGTCATATATCTGATAAAGAACTTGTGTCTAGAATATATAAACGACTATTCAATTAATAACAAGAAAAATAACTCAGTTAAAATATGGGCAAAGGATCTGAATAGCCATTTCTCCAACAAAGATATACAAATGGCCAATAAGCACATGAAAAGATGCTCAACATCAATAGTCATGAGGAAAATGCAAATGAAACCCGCAGTGAAATACTTCTTCACACCTACTAGAATGCCATAATCAAAAAGTCAGATAATAATAAGTGTTGGTGAGAATATGGAGAAATCAGAACCCTCATACATTGGTAGTAGAAATGTAAATTAGTATAGCCACTTTGGAAAGCAGTCTCCTGCTCCTCAAAAAATTGAACATAGAATTATCATTTGACCCAGAATTCCACTTTCTTGAGGATATACCCAAGAGAAGTAAAAACATAAGTCCACATAATAGCTGTATACAAATATTCATAGCAGCATTATTAATAATAGACGAATGCTGGAAACAACCCAAATCTCCATCAAGTGTTGAATGGATATATAAAATGTGATAAATTCATACAATGGAATATTATTTGGCCACAAAAATGAATGAAATGCTGGTACATGGTACGACATGGATGAATCTTGAGAGCATTATACTAAGTGAAAGATGTCAGTCATGAAAATCTGCATATTGTATAAAATGTCCATAATAGGCAAGTTAAAACAGACAGAAAGTAGATAGTGATTGTCTAGGTCTGGTTGAGATGGGGGATGAGGATGTGGAGTATGGGGACTTACAGTGAAAAGGCATAAGGTTTTTGTGGGGGCGGGTGATGGCAACATTCTAAAATTGATTGTGTTGATGGTAGCACAATTCTGTGACTATAGTCATGCATCGCTTGCTTAACAATGGGGCTGTGTTCTGAGGAATGTGTCATTAGGTGATTTGGTCAATCAGTGAACATCCTAGAGTGTACTTACACAAACCTAGATGGTATTGCTTACTACCCACTTAGGCTATATGGTATACCCTGTTGCTCCTATAGCTCCTACAGACCTATACAACATGATACTGTACTGAATACTGTAGGCAATTGTGATACAATGGTAAGTATTTGTGTATCTAAACTTAGAAATGGTACAGTAAAAATACAGTGTTATAATCTTATGGGACCACTATCATGTACATGGTCTGTCATTTCCTGAAATGTCAACATATGGCAAATGACTGTGCACTAAAAAACCACTGAATTGTTTAAATAAGAGAGAGAACTATTGCAAGAATTCTGCCAGAGATGATGGGTTTGGGAGTTGGGGTAGATTTGATTGTTCTTCAAACAGTAGAAAACATAGGTCTGGATGACTGACTAGTTGGGGGTCATTTCCTTAATAAATGGGTTTTCAATTTTGGCATTTATCAAGACAGTAAACTTAAGAAATGAAGCAGATTTAGGGGAACAAGAAGCAGCTTCAATTTGTACATATGGAGTTTGACATGCTGGTGAGAACTGAGAAGAAAAATATCAGAAGAGATTTGGACATACAGGTCTTGAACTCAAGAGCAGTCAGGCTGGAAAGATAAGTTTGGAATTCATCATGTAATCAGATGGTGATTGAGGCCATGTGAGGATATAAGACTGCCCAGGAAGATGGGGTCCAAGGACAGCATGTGATGTTTGTTATAGAAAACACAGAATGTATGAAAAGGAAAGAAATTCTTCAATGGTCAACACTTGCAACATCTTTTGATACTCATTTAATATTTTTCTTCTATTTTTTTCCTGCAGTTTTCCCCATTTTTAAGTAATTATGTATGAAATTTTGTGTCCTGACATTCTTCTACTTAATACTATAGGATACATATTTTTCTATGTTGTTACAAATTATTTGTCCCAGAATCTCCTCACTATCATTTTCCTCATGGGGTCCTGTTTCCTGACCCTCATCTGGGATTGTACATGGCAGCTTCCTCCTCTCCTGCCTTCTCTTCATTCCCGATCACTGTCCTACCTGCCCTTCTCTAGTATAGATCACAAAGCCCACTTCATTCATGAAAGTCATGTGATTTCTGGCTGAAATCATTAACTTCAAAATGGAATTTCAGATTTCTATTTCATTGTCCCTCCTGACCCACACTGGAAAGGTCACCTTGAGAAAACTTCCTGAAACCATCTTAGAAACCTTATCAGTAAATTCCCCTTTTTGCCGCCCTTTCTTGCATTCTCTTTAAGCATCCTTTAGCTGACTCAGTTCCCCATTTAGTGCTTCTAAGAGGGTAGAATGGAGTCAGTTATGCCCTTGACATGTGACTGAAATCAGCACAATCAAAACACCAAAAATACCTAACAAATCTAAGTTCTAAGCATGCAGATTAGGTTAAACAAAAATGCAGGCACTTTATCAAAACAGTCCCTGAGTCCTTAGAATACAAATGTGGAGAGTAAGATAACGTATCTGAAAAACTACATCAGATATCTGTTGCAGGCAATGATTTATTTAATATATATTAAATGTAAATACCTTGAATCAATATTAAATGATGTAACAAATGCCCACAAAGGAAATAAACATAATTCAGATCACTATTTCTAGTTTGGTATTTAGGTTTCACAAACAAGACCTCAGTGATGAGAGGATATATGCAATGATTTTAGCAGATACTCAAGATATAGTTGATTCTCAATAAAAATTGTATTTATTTCCTTAATATTGAAATTCAGTTACTATTTCTTGATGGCTGGCTTACTGTGTGCCAGGAATCATGCTGAGCGTTTTCTCATATTCTCTCATTGTCCCATCCACCTTTCAACAATCTTGAGAAGTAGGTATTTCTTTTATTTTCATTGAACATTGTGTCTCTGAGGGGTTACATGATTCACTCAAGATCACACAGCTACAGTGGTCCATCTGAAGCTGTATTTCATGTCCTCTGAATTCAAATTCAGTGGGCCTTCCCAACCACCACATATTTTCATTCTTCAATTCTCTTCATCATTTATTTATTATTGGTAAAAATCCCCGTGATCTTCATCCTATCATATAATCTCCTTTTCTGTTACTCTCTCAGTAAAATCCTCACCACACCAGCAGACCTACTTCATCTTAATCCCCTCTCTGACTTGGTTCTCTGGACTGCCTCCAACACTTTTTAGCCCTCCTTTTTCACCCCTTCTCAACCTTGCCTACCACCGCAAATATTATCTTGTAAAGTAAGTTTAAAGATTAAACTCCTTAGTGACTTAGAATCTCAGATCAAACCATGAAGTTCACTCAACCTTACACTGACAAGTCAGAGTTAATTGTTCTTGGGGCCAGAATAAATGACAAAGACTGCTGGCTTGGGCCTACTCTTGGTGCTACATGTGCCAGGTGTGTGTGTGTGTGTGTGTGTGGTGTGTGCGTGTGCATGTGTGTGTGTGTAAATTGTCTCTTACCCTCATGACCAATGTTTTCCAGATGAGAAAAACCAGGGCTCAGAGCTCAAAGTACGTTTTCCTGATCACGGAGTCAGCAGGTAACAGAGTCAGAAATTCAAACCCAGTACCATCAGACTGTATCTGTTGAGCTCTTTGGACTATAACAGAAATCCTTAAATATCTGTCCACAAACAAAGGGCTAGATCATCACAAAGTTCTCACCAGTTCACAGCTAAATAAGGACAGCACAATATTATAAATCAGGGAGCTGCAGTCTGTGTCAGCATAAAAACAGATTATTGGCGAGAACCATCTTTTATTCTCAGTTTATGTCCTTCCTGCCTTTTTGGTGTTAACGTTTCTTTGTCTTTGTGAAATGAGTGTGAAAACAGGTGGTAGTAGTTCTTTTGATGGTTAAATGGTAATGTTCTTACTTAGTAAAATGAAAAGTAGGTAACCTCGTGTTTGTTATGCAGGCCCCTGCATAATGTCTACACATAAGGTCCACATGAAATATTAATGGTTATAGTTAATATGGATAATATGCTGGGACAGTTAGCTTCCACCCCTAGCTCCAAACATTCTGTAAAGCAGCTCAGACTTGCACTTAGTTTCAGCCTGAGTACATCTTTTTCAATGTTTGCCTTTGGCTCAACATCACTAGAGAGTTATCCCTGGCCTGTGTAGTCATAGCCACACAAGAGGGACATTTCAAGAGATGGTGGGTGGATCTGCTGCCACAGGAAATTTTTCAGTAGCCCAGGCACTGGGAGAAATTGTCTGACCTTTTGGTGGGAAAGGAGTGGGGTGTCCACCTGGGAGTGTCCCCATTTGGAACTCTGTGCTAATGAAGAAGGGACTTTCTCAAACTTTAAATGAAGTCTGATTCTCATACAAGTCATGCTGACTCACACAGTCACAGTCTTTTTTAACAATGAGTAGTTTAGATCACAAAGAGATATATTAATCAATCTTCAGAGTTATCATTGAATGCTGGTTGCTGATCCAGAAAAAGAAATCAGGTCTACTATTCAGTCAGTCATATAAGCTTTCCAGGAAACAAAAGCAATGGAATTCAAGTAAATTGGTTTAAAAGGCAGAAGTTCAATTATTACATATTTACTTGCTTCTTATTTACTTATTGTTCACACATTTCTTTATTCATTCAGTGTGCATTATTTGTTCAACCCTTTCTCCATGGATACATAGCACTAAGTTCATGAATAAAAGCACCTATGAAAGGCTTTCAATGATTTGATGAACCAAGGAATTGATAGAGAAATAATTACAACAATAAATAAGGCAATAAAAAATATAGAGAGTTCCTTTCAAATGGCAAGTTTTTTTTGAGTTAACAGAACATGTTGCTATAATATATAGAATGAATATTTCTAAACAATGTATGTGGAAACTTTTTGGAGACTGCTTTAAGCAAGTGACTTCCAAGCTTGTGGTACCAGAATCTCAGGAACATGGGAGCATAGTGATAAAGGTCTATAATCTCTTTTAGGTATTTTAAGAGCCCGATTTAAACAACAAGGGCCAGGCCCAGTGGCTTATTCCTGTAATCCCAGCACTTTGGGAGGCTGAGGTGTGGGAGGATTGCTTGAGACCAGGAGTTTGAGACCAGCCTGGGCAACATGGCAAGACCCTGTCTTTATAAAAAATAAAAATTAGCCAGGGTGTGGTGGTACATGCCTGTAGTCCCAGCTACTCAGGAGGCTGAGACAGGAGGATCGCTTGAGCCTGGAAGGTCAAGGCAGTGGTGAGCCATGATGGCACCACTACACTTCAGCCTGGGCAACAGTGAGACCCCATCTCAAAAAAAAAACAAAAACACAACAAAGAAAAAATAAATAACAACATAAATGCATGTGTATGTGTATGTGAAACAGAGAGAGAGAGGAACACCTAAATAAGTTATGTGTCCATATGCCTGACCAGTATAGTGTCATCTACAACCAGTAAAAACCTCTTAGTAATATTATTTATGAAATAATACTTTTTCTAGCTACGACGAAAGGAAAAGGAAAATGGAAAAAGACTATCCAAAGAATACTGAAGAAGAATTTTCAGGAGTAAATGGCCAAATCGATGCTGCTGTAGAATTAAATGGTAAGTGTTTCCACTGAAAACTTTCTTCATGAAAACTATCATAAGAAATCTTGGCTTTGCTTTAACACAACAGAAAGTGGATTTCCAAGTGGGAGTCCTTGGTTTTTATATTTGGTCTTAGGTCCTTTCATAAGTTTATCTAAACAGATTGTCCACTAGAAAGAGTAACTGTAAAAGTTCTGGTATTTTAGTTCTCTCTTTCCTAATGGAAAGTTTTTGTTTGTTTGTTTGTTTGTTTTTGTTTTTGTGTGTGTGTGTTTTGTTTTTTGTTTTTGTTTTTTGTTTTTTGTTTTTTGTTTTTTTTGAGACGGAGTCTCGCTCTGTGGCCAGGCTGGACTGCAGTGGCGCGATCTCTGCTCACTGCAACTTCTGCCTCCCAGATTCGAGCGATTCTCCTACCTCAGCCTCCCAAGTAGCTGGGACTACAGGCGCTGGCCACCAGGCCCAGCTAATGTTTGTATTTTTAGTGGAGATGGAGTTTCACCATGTTGGCCACCTAATGGAAAGTTTTTAAAGTATAGCTTCAATCGATTAGTCAGCTAGATCATAAAGTCTACCGGGGTCAAGATTACCTTTTCTATCTTTAAAATACACATAGTCTTGGTTGGGCACAGTGACACACACCTGTAATTCCAGCACTTTGGGAGGATGAGGTGGTAGGATCACTTCAGCCCAGGAATTCAATACCAGCTTGGGCAATATGGCAAAACTCTGTCTCTACAAAAAAGTTAGCTGAGAATGATGGCACACACCTGTAGTCCCAGCTACTCCGGATGCTGAGATGGGAGGATTACTTGAGCTCAGGAGGTCGAGGCTGCGGTGAACTGTGATTGCACCACTGCACTCTAGCCTGGGCAACAGAGTGATACCCTGTCTCAAAAAAAAAAAAAAATCTGTCTCAAGCTTCTCAGTGCTTTTTCCCACTCCATCATCCAACTCCTGCAATTTAACACATAGCTAGGAAAGTTGAATAGAACTTTGTTGAATACATTTAATTAAATCTTCTGAAGTAGTCAGTTAGCACACTCTTCTTGAAAAAATAGCACAGGGCTGGACACTGTTCAGAAGTGCAAAGACCATTCCAGATGTGGCCACTGCTCTCACAGAATGGTTCACCCAACACAGATGAAATGACTGGAAAACAGACAATCTATAATTTAGTGTTGAGTCATGTGGTAGACTGCACAATAATTGCAAGAGCTGATCTGAGAATTAAAATATCAGAATCGGCAGCAGTCATTGGAAATTTTATAGTAGGACTTCAGATGGGTTTTGAAGATTGGCCGGAGGCTTAACTAGGGAAAGAAAAGGGGAGTGGCTTCCTGGAGGAGAGCAGCCTGAGCAGAAGCACAGTACATAACTGAGCATGGCACATTGGATGACCCCAACAAGAAGGCCTTACCCCGGCTGGAACAAGGAGAAAGCTCAGAAATGACTGAGAAGTTCAGGAGTCAGGTTCTAGGGCATGAAGACAGAAGACAAGCTAACTGCCACCTGACAAATTCACAATTCCTCTTTGGTGACACTTTAAGAAAGTGACAGTGACAAATTCTTCCATTTATATATGTGCTGGACATCTTCAGTAACCCAATTTCAACTTTGTCTCTTTTAGGCTACATTTACTTCTTTTCAGGACCAAAAACATACAAGTATGACACAGAGAAGGAAGATGTGGTTAGTGTGGTGAAATCTAGTTCCTGGATTGGTTGCTAAATAGAAAAGCCTAGTCTTCTCAAGCAATGAGGATGACTACAAGCAGCCTCTAACTGGATCTTAAGGACTAAAGCAGAATGTAGGAGAGGGATTCTTCCAAAGGCCTTCAAATCAAATTAGAATTCACTGAGAATAATAATACTTCCAATTTTTTTCATAGTTGTATAATCAGAATTTCAATCCACATTAGAAAAGTTTTTATATGGGCAACTTTATGCGAAATCCAAATCAACACAATGCACTCTGCAGTTAGACACCATTATTTTTTCTTACCTAATATACTGAAGCAGATTGATCCGTTTGATTTTTATTTCCAGGAGGAAGACTAGTGGTGGATTCCATGACATATATTGTAATTCTTTTCATAGGAAATGTCATTACAGTATGAATTATAATTATTTACAAGCAATGGCTTTTGTGGCCATCATTTGGCCATCATTTGTTATAATAAATATAAATTTCCCAATTTTTACTTAAAAGACATCACAACAAAATACTGCATAAGAGTGGTTTCTTGTGTGTTTAACTTTGTGTCTACTCACTGGTATCTGATGTAGGCTTAGGTGGATAAACCTATTCAAACAAATTTTCATAGTAGGCAAGAGATGGGCACTTTGCAACAGAAAAATTTTTTAACAATAGCTAATAAAATGTTTTAATAGAACAGTTCCTCATTTCTTTTTTCTGTTAATATTTACTAGCTTCTATAATACTTTAATTGGCTACCCACACATCCTGTGTACCTATAGAAAAATTAAACCGTAAGATAACATCATAAGTACACAGACCCGGAAAGAAATAACAGTAACTCATTCTACTTCCTGCTTCCTGAAAACAGCCTCAGTGAAACTATCTTTTACCCAGCTAAGTGAGTGTCTTTTGAATAGTCTTCCATTCAGGGGAGTTCATCTTTTTGTTTTAGTTTTTCTTACGTCAAGCTAAACCTTTTTCCCCTACCTAGTCATCAGAATAGATAAAACTATGGCTCTGTCATTCTTATAATTTTGCTTTAATCTTACTCTCTAGAATGTAAAGATTCTAAAATATTTTAGTGATTCTAAAATTGAATGATAAGATACTTGTAATACTTCATAGACCTCCTGATACATCTACAGTGTTTAACAGATGCTACTATTGTTACCATCATTTATTAAATTTGTTTCATATAGTCACTTAAAAGACCTAATATTAAGAAAGGATGGGGTAGTTACTCAAGATTATTCTACACTTTCCATTTGGTTTCTGTTACTGAAAGTGGCCACTTATAGTCCACCAGATGTTGAATATTTGTTGAAGACAAGGTCTGGCATCCTTGCCTTCTAATGTCAAGGTGCTTCTATAGAGGAGAAAAGTCACTTTTGCAAAAACTGCTAAGAAGGACTTCTTACTATCAATAAGCAAGGAGAAAAACAGGCTGGCAATTTCTTAAAATATTTAACGTAGACTTACCCTATGACACAGCAATTTCACTCCTAAGTATATACCTATGAGAAATTAAAACATGTCTACACAAAAAACTTGCACATAAATGTTCATAGCATCGTTATTTATAATAGCCAAAGAGTGGAAAAATGTCCATTGAGTAATGAATGAATACGTAAAATGTGGCAAATTCAGACAACAGAATGTTATTCGACAATAAGCAGAAATGAAGTCCTAACACATGCTGTAACATGGATGAAGCTTGAAAACATCATGCTAAATGAAAGAAGCCAGACAGAAAAGGTCACATATTGTATGATTCTATTTATATGAAATGTTCACAATAAAAAAATCTATGGAGACATAAAGCGGACCAGTGCTTGTCAGTAGTTGGGGGAGGGGGTTATAAGGAGTGACTACTAATGGGTATGGGGTTCTTTTTTTTGGGATAATGAAAATGTTCTAAAACTGATGATGGTGATGGTTGCACAACTCTGTGAATATATTAAAAGCCATTAAATTGTACACTTTACATGAGTGAATTATATGTTATGTTAACTATATCTTGATAAAGCTGTTACATTAAAAAAAAGAAGGAGATCAAAGTAGTGTGATGATCCATGGAGGTCATGCATTCTGGCAACTGTGTCAGGGACCACATGACAATGAAGCACCAGCCTGAGGACATCCAGTGCTGCACGCAACCAGCCAGATGTCCTCCTCATGTCCAGCACTAGCCCAGAATCGTGCATACAGAAGACACTTCACTAGTCAATGAATTCACTGAAAGCAATAAAGCATATGCTCTCAGGTCTGACTGATGGATTCAAACTCCAGATCTTCTATTTTCAACTGTGTGATGTTGACCAAATTCCCTCATCCTCATTCTCTGTCTCAGTGTCTTCCTTTATAAAATTGGAATAATGGCAGTTTTTATCTCCTAAGGATATTTAGAGCCTTAAATATATGAGTCAAAATATGCAAAGTAGTCCCTGGCACTCTACAGGGGCTCTATAATTGTTGTTTTTGAAGCCATTAGAGTTCATTTTGTTTGGTGATATTTTGGAGAATTTGTATATGTCCCTTGAGATAGCTAAACATCTGATGAGCTATAATATCACAAGAATTGATAATCAATGACCTGAAATTTTTCTCTTCCAAATGTCAAATTAAATCAAATAATTAAAAATACTATGTTTATCCCCCATCTCCAAAAAATAATTCTTATAAATCATTATTTTTTGTTGAGTTAAAGAATTCTTGGCTTTTAGGCCAGGCATAGGGGCTTACACCTGTAGTCCTAACACTTTGGGAGGCCAAGGTGGATGGATCACTTGAGCTCAGGAGTTTGAGACCAGCCTGGGAAAGATGGTGAGACCCTGTCTCTACTAAAAATACAAAAAATTAGCTAGGCATGGTGGCGCATGCCTGTGGTCCCAGCTACTTGGAAGGCTGAGGTGGGAGGACCACTTGAGCCCAGGGGTCAGAGGTTGCAGTGAGCTGAGATTGTGCCACTGCACCAGCCTGGGTGACAGAGCAAGACCCTGTCTTAAGAAGAAAGCTCTTTGCTCTCAGATATAAAATTAGTATGTATTTTGGAAAAATACAGTCTCTCTAAAGCACAAGAAGGTGTGATTGTGTCATAACACAGAGCACTTATCCTCATATGATACAAGAACGTTGTGCAGAAATAATTTATAACATAAACTACTCATTTGACTTCAGAGTAACTGAGTGCAAACATGACTTATTAAATAACAGTTTTGGACAAAGTGTGGTTGAAGTACTCCCTTGAGGATCACGAGGTAGCAAAACAGAGTTCACTTCCTGATGAATTCTATGCATTATCCTATTAATCTCAGTGATGACTCTTTGTGGGCTGAACCTTTGAAAGCACTACACAGGCTACTAAGGATGAATGGATTCACCTCCTTGGGGAGCTTTCCTAACAGCTCCATATTAAATTTTCTCTGGTATAAACCAAGCCCTCTTCCATTTAGCCTAGTCCTAAATGAAAGACCTAAGTTTGCCTTTGGGTCTTCTGTTTCTTTTCAAATGTTTATTGCAAAACACCTTAGATGTCCATTTCACAAAGCAAATGGCAAAAAAACTATGCAGTTTTTCATTCAGAATTCTGTGTATAATATTTTTAAATGCTCACAGGGTCTTCAGGGTGCTTTTATTTATATATTATCCAGATGTTTTTCTTTATTCCTGTTAGTTATTTTTCTTCTACAGACAATGATATTGAAGGTTCTTTGTGAATATTCATAGCTAAAATTACCCAATGAAGTGCCATTTGAGAGGAAATGCATACTGCTGGCCAATAGGTTGGTGTTTTAGACTACCATAATGGAGCTTAGAAGAGTCCAAGCCAAAAGATCGTCGGCATTTCTCCCCAGTAGGTCTGGGTAAAAAGTAGAAACAGCATCTTCTGATCATCTGTCATCTGCCAAGTCTCCTGTCTTTGGTCTCATTCCAATCCCTACGTGGCTTGTCAACATGATCAGTTTAAAAGGTATCCTGTTATACTCAAAATGTCATAATTTCAGGTTTGCTCCCAACACCTAGACCCTTGGAATTGAACTAGAAGCAGAATTGGGAAGCTTGCTGGTAAATAAATTACAATGGGAAATTAGTGAATGGCTTTGGGATCCAAAATAGGACTCTTTTTTTTTTTAATGCAACATCTCTTCATTTTAATGTCTTCTCCATTAGTCTTAACATTCTTTCCTTTAATCTAATGTATCATTTAACATGTTTGGAGATGAAAGTAAACTTTTGTTGCACAATGCAGCATGTTGTTCTGACAAGAGTTTGAGGAGAGATGAGAAGAGAAAACATGGGAGGGAGTTAATGAGAAAACAATTGCAAAACATCAGTTAAGAAATGTAACGCTTAAGTCCATCTCAGATCATTTGCAGTGAATGTCCATAAAAAAAAGAATGTCTGTATAAATAGTTAGCAATTTGTTTATTCTTGGAAAGTCCCAGGTCTGTAATGCAGTGATAAACAATGTGAGTTTTTGAGTTGGGTATTAAATGTGTTTACAGCTGCCTCTATAGAGAATGGATGTCAAAAGTCCCATTACAGCCCATTCCACTTGAACTGCAGACTGCTCAATGATTGTAGCATGTCACTTTGCCAGATTTTAAATGTATTTCCATATATGAATCAGCAATTTCTGTGAGTAATTTTATCAGTGGTTTCTTTTGAAATGCTTAATTTCTAAAATTAGTTCATCTTTACAAACAGCCAATTCAGCCTTTTTGAAGGATCTAGCTACCCCCCCATCTCTATCCTTAATATTCACTCTCAATTCACTAGAAAATAATTACTAAGCGCCTACTTTGTGCTGGCACCAACCTATGCTCAGCTGCTTTCTTGCATAAACTCCTGCCCTCAAGGAGCTTACATTCCATTAAAGAGACACACAATATTCAAATGAATAGAGATCTATAATGAAAGATAGTGAAAGTGCTTTGAAAAAATAAATAAAGCAGTGCAAGTAATAAAGAACGTTGGAGTGCCATTTTATAAAAATATGTTTAGGAAAAGGACATACTGGGTCCAGGGTATTCATGCAGAATAACTAAAGGGAGGGAGGAAGCTGTGGAAGTCTCTAGAAGTTTCAGGTAGAAGAAGCAATAAGCGCAAGACCTTGAGGTAGGTAGGAAGGATCTGCACCTGTTTTAGGCACACCAGGAAGGCCAGTGTGGCTGGAGACAGTGAGGGAGAAGGAAAGTAGAAACAGATCAGATCAGAGAAGCAGCTAACCAAGCTATGGAAGCCTTGCGGGTCCCTGTGATAAGAAGGGTTTTCAGCAGGTTCATAACATGATCTGACTGCTGAGTAGCAAACAGATTATAAAAGCACATGATGGATTCAGGGACACTAGACAGTGCCATTTGCCAGGGTAAAAATGATGGTGGCACTGACCAAAGAAGTGGCAGTGAAAATGCTAAGATTGTCAGATTGAGGAATATTTTCAAGGTAAAGCCAACAGTATTTGTATCTAAAGTGCATGCAGAATTTAATAAAAAGAGAAGGATCCACAATGACTCCAACGTTTTTGGCCTAAACAAGTGAAAGAGTAGTGGTGAAATGGAAAGACCAAAGTAAGAGCAGGTTTACGGGGGCTGGAGGTCAAGAGTGTAATTTTGAATTCATTGAGTTTGAGATGCCTATTACACATCCAAGGGGAAATGTCCATACATAAAAAGCTTAAGTAGGTAGATAGATATAAAAAGCTTGAGTTCAAGGAAGAGTTTGAGACCCAATAGAAATTTAGGACTTAAGCCTTAAATTGTTATCTACATTCCTTTTGATTTCCTCCACATTCTATGTGGAATTTAGGACAACGTAAATCATTAAAATATAAGAAGGCAGGTGAAAAATGATCTCAAGATTTTAATTATTGTCCGGTGTTAGTAAGCGCATCCTTTCCCACCTCAAGAACATAGTTTAGTTTTCAACAAAAGTTGCACACTTTTTTTGAAGTTTTTGTTTTTTAGTCTTCATTTTTCTATTTCTTGTTTCCAAAATCAAAGAAGAAATCAGAAAAGAAAATATAAAATCTTCAAGATTGTTCTGAATGAAAGTTGTTGAAAATCTTAAGGATTGTTCTTCAGGAACTAACAAGATCCTATGCTAATAAGTATTACTTATTAATACAGTAATAAGTAGCCTAAGAACTTATTAATACTTTAATAAGTAGCTTAGGAACTTACTAAGAAGGATAAAAGAATTTTTGAGATTTAAAAACATCTGTTTTATTCTTACAGTAAAAACAGTTCTGTTTGTTATCTCATCACGTCCTATAGAGAAAGTGAGTAGCAAGTTCCCTTAATAAAGTTTTCAAATAAGGCAGTTTTTTCAATTAATTTTTTAATTAACTTCTAATTTAATTGCATTATAGTTTGAGAATGTGGTCTGAATGATACAAGCTTTTTTAAATTTGTTGAGACTTACCTAAATTTGTCTTCTGACTTACCATATGATTACAAATTTTTGTAAATGCTGTGTGTTCAGATATACGTTTTCAGTAAGTGAATTTTCTTTTGCACAACTTGTTCTCCTCGGATGTCTCACTTATTTCCCCTGTGAGCTCACATTTTCATGGAATCATCAGTGTCCCCAGCTAGGAGAAGTGTGAAGGCCTGTATCTTTTTTGTTCCCTGCTTGATGAGCGCAGAGGCTGGGATGGGATTGAAGCACCTCTGGGCAGCATTCTTGGTAATGAGGTCTGGACTCAACCCCTGTCATTCTCATTCACTCTTATCAGTGAATCCTCCTCTCAGGGACCCCTCAGAAATTCAGTCTTAGGCTTTGAGTATTTCTGGGGGCTGCTACTATGTCTATAATGGCCTCCCCAGCCATGAGGAACAGTGAGTCAATTAAACTTCTTTCCTTTATAAGTTACCCAGTCTCTAGCCTGGGGAGGAGTGAAGGAAGGGATCTCTCAGGAGCTGGTGAGGCTGACTACACACCTTGTTATGGACATCCCATCTCTGCTGACATCCAACATCAATTTCACATTAATTTATTCAAAAATATTCATTGAATCCCTATTTGACCCTTGGGTTACATCAGGAAACAAAACAAAATCCCTTGCCTTTGTACAACTTCCAGTGTACAAGGAGAAGACAGGCAATAAGCAGTAGACATAATAAGTCATCAAATTATACAGCATGTTAGAAAATAAGGCTTATAGAAAACATAATAACTGTAGGGCAGTGCCCAGACATTTGAGAATCATGAGCTGGGGAGGTAGCTTGTAATTTTAAGTAGATCAGCCAGGAAAGCCCTCACTAAGAAGATATAAAATAGCTTCTTAATGAGAAAGAAAATCCATTTTCTTTTCTGGGTGGCTCTGTGTTCCCATCCAAATCTCATCTCAAAAGGTAATCCCCAGGTGTTGAGGGAGGTACCTGCTGGGAGGTGACTGAATCTTGGGGGTGGTTACCTCCATGCTGTTCTCATGATAGTGAGTGAGTTCCCACGAGATCCGATGGTTTTATAAGTGTTTGGCAGTTCCTCCTTCTATTGCTTTTTCTCTTTTTTTCCTGCCACCTTGCAAAGAGGTGTCTGCTTCCCCTTCACCTTCTGCCATAATTGTAGGTTTCCTGAGACCTCCCCAGCCATGAGGAAATGTGAGTCAATTAAACTTCTTTCCTTTATAAGTTACCCAGTCTCTGGTATTTCTTTATAGCAGTGTAAAAAAGGACTAATACAGCAAATTGTTACTGGTAGAGTGGGGTACTGCTACAAAGATACCCAAAAATTTGCAAGTGACTTTGGAACTGGATAACAAGCAGAGGATGGAACAGTTTGGAGGGCTCAGAAGAAGAAAGGGAGATGTGGGAAAGTTTGGAACTTCCTAGAGACTTGTTGAATGGTTTTGACAAAAATGCTGATAGTGATATGGACAATGAAGTCCAGGCTGAGATGGTCTCAGATGGAGATGAGGAACTTATCCGGAACTGGTGTAAAGGTTACTCTTGCAATGCTTTAGCAAAAAGACTGGTAGCATTTTGTCCCTGCCCTAGAGATCAGTGAACTTTGAACTTGAGAGAGATTATCTGAAACTAGAACTTACATTTGAAAGGGTAGCAGAGGATAAAAGTTTGGAAAATTTGCAGCCTGATCATGCAGTAGAAAAGAAAAACCCATTCAAGCTGGCTGCAGAAATTTGCATAAGTAACAAGGAGCTGAATATTAACAGTCAAGATAATGGGGAAAATGTCTCCAGGGCATGTCAGAGATCATCACAGCAGCCCCTCCCATCACAGGCCCGGAGGCCTAGGAGGGGAAAATGGTTTCATAAGCCAGGCCCAGGGTCCCCACTGCTGCTCTGTGCAGCCTCAGAACTTGGCGCCCTGCATCCCAGCTACTTCAGCTCCAGCTGTGGATGGAGGGGCCAAGGTATAGTTCAGGTTGTTGTTTCAGAGGGTGCAAGCTCCAAGCCTTGGTGGCTTCCATGTGGTTTTGGGCCTGCAGGTGCACAGAAGTCAAGAATTGAGGTTTGGGAACCTCCGACTAGATTTCAGAAGATGTATGGAAATGTCTGGTTGTCCAGGAAGAATTTTGCTGCAGGGGTGGAGGCCTCATGGAGAACCTTTGTCAGGGCAATGTGGGAGGAAAATGTGAGGTTGGAGCCCCAACACAGAGTCCTCACTGGGGTACTGCCTAGTGGAGCTGTGAGAATAGGGCCACTGTTCTCCAGACCCCAGAAAGGCAGATCCAACAGCTCACACTGTGCACCTGGAAAAGCTGCAGGCACTCAATGCCAGCCCGTGAAAGCAGCTTCAGAGGCTGTTCCCTGCAAAGCCACAGGGGTAGAGCTATCCAAGGCCTTGGGAGCCCAGCCTTTGCATCAGAATGCCCTGGATATGAGACACAGAGTCAAAGGAGATCACTTTGGAGCTTTAAGATTTAATGGTTACCCTGCTGGATTTTGGACTTGCATGTGGCCTGTAGCCCCTTTGTTTTGGCTAATTTCTCCCATTTGGAATGGGAGCATGCTATCTGATACTGTATCTTGGAAGTAAATAACTTGCTTTTGACTTTACAGGCTCATAGATAGAAAGGACTTGCCTTGTCTCAGATGAGACTTTAGACTTGGACTTTTGAGTTAATGCTGGAATGAATTAAGACTTTGGGGGACTGTCAGGAAGGCATGATTAGTTTTGAAATGTGAAAAGACATGAGATTTGGGAGGGTCCAGGGGCAGAATGATATGGTTAAGCCTTGTGTCCCCACCCAAATCTCATCTTGAATTATGTTCCCCAGGTGGGAGGAGCCTGGTGGGAGGTGATTGAATCATGGGGGTGACTTCCTCCATGCTGTTCTCATGACAATGAGTGAGTTATCAGGAGATCTGATGGTTTTATAAGTGTTTGGCACTTCCTCCTTCTTTTGCTCTTTCTCATTTTTTCCTGCCGTCTTGTGAAGAGTTGCCTGAATCCCCTTGATCTTCTGCCATGATTGTAAGTTTCCTGAGGCCTCCCCAACCATGAGGAACTGTGAGTCAATTAAACCTCTTTCCTTATGAATTACCCAGTCTCAGGTATTTCTTTATAGCAGTGTGAAAATGGACTAAAGCATATATTTTACCCAATATTGATAAATCAAATAAAAGCTTCAGCTATTTAAAAAAATTACTAAATCAGTCAGATCTGCCAAAGATTTCACGTTACTATGTAAACTTAAAGTCTTATCATTTTTTTGAGCTAACAGTCTTTGTAAAAAGAATTTTTTAAAAAATCAAGTACATTTAACATATTAAAAATTCAATTTTCTTATTTTCTGTGAATTGGGGAAATATTTGAATTATATAAGGGCTTACTTATCTCTATAAAAATAAGATGAGAGCTTCTTTAAAAGACATTATAATCTAATTTATAAATACTTTCTAGTATTAATACTTTCTGAAAGCTGAAAAACTTTTCCAACTCTTACAATTAAAGGGCAGTATCTTTCCCAATGACAAATACTAATACATATAGACACATTGATATGTAGAGAGCTTGTGGCTTCAGTCTTTCAATTGTGCCATGAGTCAAGAATAAACACAGAAATACAAACACTAACTAGGCTCGATATAAAAAATCTAGTCTTCTTCCCAGTGGGCACAACGTTCTGAATTGATTTGAGTTCACAAATAGATGAACATAAAGAAAAACAAACAAAAACTTACCAGATTCTCTGTTGTTTTTTACCCAACAAAAAAATCTTCTCCATCATGTACGGCGATCACCAAATGGTTACATCATAAAAACCAAATTCCCAATCATTGCAACAACCAATTGAGAATAAGTTGTTGACTATAGGCAAACCAGAAACAAGAACTAAACACAAAATTACTAGAGAGAGAGGGATAAAACTAGATAAACAGAGAGTGAGTTAGCAAAGCCAAAGTTCTACTATTACTTGGAATTTACTCTGGCAATCAAGAAAAGATGTGCCGACGTTAAGCAACCATTGGTAAACTTCTCCAGCAACACAGTGTAAGGTGAGAAAACCTTCTTTTCTGTAACCATCCTAGGTTCACAGTTGAGACCTCTTAACAAAAGACAGATTCTCAAGACAAAAATATACAATTTATTTAATATAAGTTTCACATGACACAGAAGCTTTCATTAAAAAAATGAAGACCAGAAAAAAAATGGTAGAATCTGCATATTTTTATATTAAGTTTGATGACAAGTGAACTGTCATGGAGAAATATATTTGGACAAAATGTATGATCTAATAGTAATAAAATGGGGAAAACAGCAAATCTTTGCAATCTCCTGATGAGTTCTTCCTGCCTGCTGCACAGACAAAACTGATTCATGGAGACCATGGCACTGCAGTAAAGAAAGAGTTTAATTGACACGAGGCTGGCCCTGCCATGCAGGAAACAGAATTATAATATTACTCAAATCAATAGCCCCAAAGGCTCAGAGTTTAGGGTTTCTGTGGAGTTTGGTGGGCAGAGGGCTAGGGAATGGGTGCTGTTGATTGGCAGGGGATGAAATCATAAGGGTGTGGAAAACAGTCCTCAAGCCCTGAGTCCACATCTGAGTGGGGCCACAGGTTCAGTTGAGTCATGAGTCCATGTTGGGTCTGTCAGAAAGTGTCTCAAAAAAAAATAATCTTAGGTATTACAATCGTGATGTTATCTACAGGAGCAATTAAGGAAGTCACAAATCTTGTGACCTCTGGCCACATGACTCCTGAGCAGTAAAGGATTATAGAAAGATGCCTACATCTTAGCAGAGTTCAGCCCACCACCCCACATAATCCTATTCTTGGGGCCTTTCATTAGTCTTACAAAGATGGTCTTTGGTCCCTAAACAAGGAGGGGATTTGTTTACTGAGGGATTATTCTCATCCTTGCTTGCAAGTTACATTATAAACAGGTTGGGTGCAGTGGCTCACGCCTGTAATCCCAGCACTTTGGGAGGCCAAGGCAGGCAGATTACCTGAGGTCAGGAGTTCAAGATCAGCCTGGCCAACAAGGTGAAACCCCATCTTTACTAAAAATACAAAATTTGCCAGGTGAGGTGGCGGGCGCCTATAGTCCCAGTTACTTGGGAGGCTGAGGCAGGAGAATGGTGTGAACCTGCGACGCAGAGCTTGCAGTGAGCCGAGATCGCACCACTGCACTCCAGCCTGGGCGACAGAGCGAGACTCCATCTCGAAAAAAAAATAAAAATTAGCCTGGCGTGGTGGCAGGCACCTGTAATCCCAGCTACTCAGGAGGCTGAGGCAGGAGAATTGCTTGAACACGGGAGGTGGAGGTTGCAGTGAACCAAGACCACCATTGCACTCCAGCCTGCGTGACAAGAGTGAAACTCCATCACAAAAAAATAAAAAATAAAAAAAATAAATTTCTCCCAAAGTTAAGTTGGCCTATGCCCAGGAATGACCAAGGACATCTTGGAGGTCAGAAACAAGATGGAGTCAAGTATGTCAGATTTCTCTTATTGTCATAATTTTGCAAAGGCAGTTTCATCTTGTTTGTACAGATTATTCTCAGTGTCATTTTATCTTCAAAGATAAGGACATTCCTTTCCTCCAGGTATTGGGAGGGCACCCGGCCTCTTTCTTCAGGGAAAGATCAGAAAATCCTTCCTAGGTTTCATGGTCTGCTTCAGGAGAGAAAGACTGGGAGGAAAGTGGAGTGAACTTCCTGCTTTTCAAATGTCTTCAGCTTAAAATATTTAATATGCCAAGGTGCTATATTTTGGAGTAATGTGTCCTGAACCCCATCAGAAGTTTACTTTGTCAGGAAAGCCCACTTGGGCTTTTCAGTGGAACCTTCAAAATTGCTAAACTATAATTTTTTACAAAGTAAAATCATGACTCTCAAACACATGTAAAATGAACCTGTGTCAAATAATTTGTTGATTTAATTAATTAATGAGGAAACAGAATTTGGAGAATGAGGAGAATTTGGAGATGTATACATGCAACTAGGAATGCTAAAATGGTTTTGCTAATAAATGCAAAACTGATTGATATCCCATAGGTCAGTAAACATTTTCAAGTTTTATCTCTATAATGTTTTATAAAACATAATAAAGTTTTATCTCTAAATGCAATATGCCTTTGCATTTCTGTGAACAAGAATCAATTGCGGCCGGGCACGGTGGCTCACACCTGTAATCCCAGCACTTTGGGAGGCCGAGGCGGGCAGATCACAAGATCAGGAGATCAAGACTATCCTGGCTAACACGGTGAAACCCCGTCTCTACTAAAAGTACAAACAAAATAGCCTGGCATGGTGGTGGGCGCCTGTAGTCCCAGCTACTCGGGAGGCTGTGGCAGGAGAATGGCGTGAACCCAGGAGTTGGAGCTTGCAGTGAGCCGAGATCGCGCCACTGCACTCCAGCCTCGGCGACAGAGTGAGACTCCGTCTCAAAAAAAATAATAATAATAATAAAAATAAGAATAAAAAAAAGAATGATTTGCATTACTGTGGACAGGAAAAACCTGCATTGTTATCAGTTTTCTACAACTTAGTTTCTATTTCTAGGGAGCTATAAAATAGCCTAGTCATCAGAGAAAGTCATAGGTGAGTCATCAGAGAAAGTCATAGAATCAGATACTCTCTGGAAGAGACTTACTTTCATGTATGTGTCAGGGCGATGAAAAACCAACACAGGTACCTTGTAAGCATTCCACTAGAGTTAGCCATTATTTGAAAGTAAGCTCTAATATTAGTTCCTAATATGCTGGGACTTGGGGTTTCAATTCTTTAATTTCCTTTTGAAGTAACTTCTACAATTAAAAACTATACATTGAAAGTTAAAATTGAACAGAAGAGAGTCCTCTAAGTCAAAGCACTGCTTTCTCTTCCCATTTTGAAAAACACTATTCTTCATAAAACTGGTTACTGGGTGAACCTACTGAGAGAGGGGACATCTGAGAGAAGGGACACTGCTTGGGTCAGGGCTTTTGAGGACAGGTGATATGGCTCAGAAGTTCATCTGAGCACCTAAAGGCAGTGCTTGGCATCTGGTAGTTGCTGTTCCTTCAGGTCTGGGAAAGTGCGGGTGGGTCCAGAGCCTCCAGGCAAGAACTAGAAGATATTCCTCTGTCTGTATTCACCCTGGAACCACCCTTCAAACCCACACCTGATAGGTAATCGGAGATGAGTACTGAGGCAGTACAATGCCAAAATAATGGGCTAAATAAAAAATTTTCATCAAGTACTTTTGGGTACAACCACAGTTTTATCAAAAACATAAGAAACTCTTGGCATTTGAGGTTTTGACAGTTGAGGTTTCAGCTTTTTGCAAGCACAAGATGTCCAAGGACATGAGTTTGCCATTTTGCTAAAGGGCAAATTTGGTGCACTTGCATCATGAGGATGGTATAGATGGGAGAAGTACATGAGCAGTAAATCCCTCTGGCCCGTGGGCATCCACATTATAGCATGGCTTACCCATATCCCTCACCAGTGTCAAGTTTCTGCTGTATTTTTAACTATCTTTCATATGCTCTACACTCTAGGGAACAGAAAAATACAAATACCATATAATTGGACAGGAGGTTGTTATTTAAAAAAAAAAAAAAGAATGCAAAGAAAGAAAGGGAAAAAAGACAAATTCCTTACCATCAAAGAACATTCATTTTCATTGGGAAGGCAAGATGAAATTAATAAAATGGTCAACACCAGAGATAACATAGCCAAGAGCTGAAGTAGTTCTATAAGAGAATTCCAGAAAAGTCAAGGGGCCCATGAGTGATTTTGGAGGAGTGAGGTTTTGAATTTCATCCTGAAGGAAGTACACAATTTGGGCAGATGGAAAAGGAAGAGTGGGCATTGCATAAATAAAAAGGGGAGTTGGAACAGGAAGATAGTACCAGGAAATGGAACTAGTTTAGAATGTGCATGGTGTAGAACAGGAAAAGGATAGCCTTTGGTGTCAGAATTAAAGTAAATAGAAAGTAAAATTTTTTCATAGGCGACAAGAAGAAAATAGCATTGAATAAATTCTACATTGTGCCAGCTTCTTTCATCTTATTATTTAATATAATCTTTTTTAAAAAATCCTTTATGAAGGAAAGATCAGCATCATACCCACTTTACAGATGAGTACACAAAGGAGACCCAAGGAGTTAGGGGTCGTGACCAGCTAAGATTTATATCCCAGTCCCCAATCCCTGTGACTCTCAACTCTTCTGACAACTCTTAGTGCTTTTTTTTTGAGACGGAGGCTCACTCTGTCTCCCAGGCTGGAGTGCAGTGGCGTGATCTCAGCTCACTGCAACCTCTGTCTCCCAGGCAAGCAATTCTCCTGCTCAGCCTCCTGAGTAGCTGGGACTACAGGTATGTGCCACCATGCCCAGCTAACTTTTTTGTATTTTTAATAGAGACGGGGCTTCACCATGTTGGTCAGGCTTGTCTCGAACTCCTGACTTCAAATGATCTGCCCACCTCGGCCTCCCAAAGTGCTGGGATTACAGGCGTGAGCCACTGCGCCTGGCTCTGCTTTTTCTAATTACACCTCATGGAGATGCCCCCAAAGAAGAGGTAAGTATTTGACTACGTTCTGGATGTTAAACTCCTGAGTGGCAGGAACTTATTGCCCAGCATTTAATTGATGCTAAATACTCATTAGATGGGTGAATCAAATTATAAATCAGCGGAGAATCCATTCTTAGAAGATAAATGGTATAAATACACAATAAAGGGGAAATCATCATAATTTTTAAGGGAATTATGAAGAGTTAGGACTCTTATATTGGGCTTACATTGGAAAGATCCTGAAAATCAAGCTGAAAAACTGGAATTTATTCCATAAAAAAAATGTAGGTTACAAAATGCAGTTTTTCACTGGAGCTATAAGATAAAGGTGGTGTTTAAAATAATATTTTAAATTAATTAGTTCTCCTCAAGGTAACTGAAAGGAACAATTACTTACATACCTTGTGTGAATATAGTGGACTTTCATATCTAGAGGAGGAGGAGGAGGACAAGGGAGAAGAATCACAAGGAGCAGGAAGAGGGGGAAAGGAAGGCAAAAAGAAGAATAAGAAGACAAAGAATAAAGTCAGGAAAGAGAAGATGAGCAGCAGGGGCAGTAACAGTAACAGGAGAAAGAGAAAGAGGAGTGGAAGAAAGTAAGAAGGAGGAGAAGAAACAGCAAGTGACAAACCACATCCTTCTCTTAGGAAAACATTGTAAGTTTATTCAACAGACATAAAATTACTCTGAGAAATTGCTTACAAAAGTTTACAAATGCTTTCAAGTTCTGTAGAAATCTCATTACAGACAGGTAGTAAACAGTTTGCAGGCAGGCCTTGGCCCATGGACCACATTTTCGGTAACCCTGGGCCATAGGACACAGCCATTCAAAATAATGTGCCTTCATTTCAAACTTGTCATCATATGAACAATATTATTCAGCAGGTTTCCAAACTGAGGATGCTGTGACTAAAAGTTATCATCTGTAAAGTGTGTTAATATTCTATACACTAGTTTTGTGAAATATTTTAAAATACCACAGAGAAGGAAAAGAAGGAAGGAGGAAAAAATAAAATTGGCGATCCATTTCATAACTGCACCAAAAATTATTTGAATAGGGCTTTTTCATAAAATATCACAACCAAGTGTCAAAATTCCACTGAGGAGGGAATAAAAGAACACTAGGTTAAATTTACCAGGTGAGAATTTAGTGAGGTGCAGCAGTCCCCCTTTATTCACAAGGGTTGCATTTCAAGACTCCCAGTAGGTGCTTGCAGTGGGGGGATAGTACCAAATCCTATATATACTATTTTTTTCCAATATATACATACCTAGGATAAAGTTTAATTTATAAATTAGACACAGTAAGTGATTAACAATAATTAATATTAAAATAGAACAATTATAGCAATTTACTGTAATAAAAGTTATTTGAATGTGGTCTCTTTCTCTCTGTCTCTCTCTTTCAAAATATCTTATGTTCATAAAAATAACCTACTGCGGTTGACCGTAACTGAAACTGCAGAAAGTGAAACCACAAATATGAGGGAGCTACTTTATAAATAAGAATGTTCTTTACAACGAAAACTGTCAAGTACTTCAATGTAATAGCTGTCATGCCAAGAAACCCTGCCTAGTAGCCTAGCATCATGAGACTTAACCTTGCCTATTAGGAAGTCAGCCAATTTCTGCCTAAGATTTAATTATTCTTCTAACAGAACCCAAACTTCTAACACAACCCAAACTCCAAAACATGACCACGTGGCTAATCTGCCTATGGTGTGCCAAGAACTTCAAGGCAGTAAAGCTTAGGAATTTAAGTACCAGAGAACACGAAACCACAGACTATTAAAAAATATAGTACAGACAGTCCCCAAGTTAAAATCGGGTGTGTTTCAAAACTTTCTTCATTGGCTCTTCAGAACTCAGAATACTTTTCCCATAATGATGATATTATAAACTAACAAAAGGCTAATACATGCATATGTAAGAGAACTACTGTGTACTAGGAATGAAAAAGTATAGAAAATTGCCAAAGTATAAACTTTTTAATGTTCAAAAATATATTTATGAGAATACATAGTGAGCACATTTCAAATATTTAAACTTAATGAGGGAACCATTAGGATGGTAAAGGCTGTTTAAAGAAGTATATGCAAGACTGGTGTATCGAATTAGTAAAAGAAAAGATGCTAAAATAAGATTGCTAAATTAGATACTGGGTAGATTAACAGCTCACCAAAGTGGTATAAAAATTATTTTAAACTGAGAACATCTTAATCTACAATCACCAAAAAATAAAAATAAAACATTATCTACACTTATGCAGGTACTCCCAAAAATACACCTGCCTTTGACACTACCCACACCCCTTCACCCAGGGAGTTTCCTGTTTCAGAAAATACTGACACTCAGCACCAGGAAGTATGAATTTAGCTGCCTATTAGCATCAAAAAGCCAAATAGAGCCTTTCATACTTTCCTATTGATGCCCTAAACCTCCCCTCCATTTTTGCTAAATTGGAATACAAACCTTTATCTCTGGCTACTAAACAAGTTACTCATTACTGAGTACTTCTGTAGGCACAAAAACTTTTGTTCTGTTAATCTATTCTTAGTTAATCCAAAGGCCTAGACCATTCAAACCTAAGAGGGTTAGGGGAAAGTTTTCCTCCCAACAGAGCAAAACCGGCTAATGTCGTAAAGAGCTATAAAATCATAACCTCTGGATTATGTTTTCTACTGAAGGGGTTCAAAACATGCTACCCTCAAAATATGCCACTTGGCATATTGCTTATTTCAAGCTAAAGTAAATTAAGAAACAGCCAATGCAGAAAAAGCTCTTCACTTCCCCCTCACCTGTTTAAAATAATGTATAAACTTCCCCTTCTGTAAGGAAAATTTACATTTACAAAGAAAATTTCTATTAGTAAAGGTATCCATACCAGGAAGAGAACAACTCTAAGACAATTTTTATTGCCTGAGAGACTCTTATCCACATAAGAAGGTAAACTATATTCACCCTACATTTCCTCCTCTCACCTTCCCATCATTTGCCTCCACCACTCCCCAGAAGTTCCAAAGCCCTATTTTTTCCTATAGCTTATGCTGACATATGTCTCAGTTATCTGGGTACTTCCTTGAGTCTCATTTTTAGTGGGATTCCCACGCATATGTCCATAAATTAAAGTTATTTTTCTCCTACTAATGTTTTTTATGTCCATTTAATTCTTAGACCAGCCACAGAACATAGAAGGGTAGAAGGGAGCATTTTTTCCTCCCCTACACAATCACACAGAAATCAATTTCATCTCTACCAAATGAAAATTATTTTCAACTCTGTAATGATAGATGTTAATTCCTAGAATCTAGTCCTAATCAATAGTAAATAGTAATTTTAACAAAAGAAATGACAGGATTTTTAGGTGCTGCTTTCCAGGTGGAAATTTCTGCGGCCGGCAGCACTCCTGCCCCAGCTTCACTCCACTCAGGGCTCACTGCTAGACTTGCCCCACATACTCGGCCCAGCAGGCTGTGCTGTGCTCATGCTGCCAACCTGGATCTCACACCCATCAAGGGCAAGCCAGGAGCACCAGCTGCTACAGCAGTAGGGGGCAACTCCAGGGGCCACCTCTGTACAAGTCTGCAGCTGGACCAGGAATACTGCAAGTGGCCTCCACCTTGGGCACCAGCATCTGGATGAGAGGAACATGGTGGTGCCTGAAAAACTCAGAGACATCAGCAACCGTGGAACCCAAAGGGGGTGTTACAGCTCCAGCTTGGGGAGTCCTGAGGTCTGGGCTCCAGAAGGGTTGCCGCTCTTCTCTCCCATGGACCAGAGAATGGGAGCGTGTCAATGCCCACAGCTCAGTGAGCCAGCCAGGAACATGTTACAGTCTTTTTTGCACCAATCATTCAGCAGGTCCCAGGTTCTTGTCCTACGTTCGAGAAGAATGAGTTATGCAGCCAACCAGAGGGTGACCAAGGCAGAGAAGAGTTTTATCAAATGGCAGAAGAGCTCTCCACAGAGAGGGTTCCCAAAGTGAGTAGCCCCTACCCAAAGTTGGGTAGTCCCTCCATGTGGCTGAGTCTGGGGTTTTTATAGGCTCAGAATGGGGGAGATGTGGGCTGTAGGTACCCTTGGAAAAGGCAACATTTGATTGATTAAAAGGAAGTTTTCAGAAATAACCAATCAGAAAAGAGCGGGCACACAGAAATAGTTCTCGCTTAGGTTGTGGACTCTATCTGGAACCCGGAGCCAGGTTTTCAGGCTTCAGGCTGTTTTTGGCTTGAGGGTCAGGTTTCACTGCAGACCCACCCCTGTCTGCCTAGGAATATGTCTGCCTCCTGCTGTTATCAGTAACATCATTCTAAAGCATCAGATGTCCCTCAGGTCAGCTTATTAGACAATGCTTTTATATGAGTTTGAAAGGACACAACTATCTCTACGTTTTCTAAGTCTGGAATAGTTTTCCTTAATGATAAATTTCTAAACAGTAAAATTCATTGAAAAATTTTAAAATTTATCCTAATTTAGCATCTTTTAAAATGTAGATTATTTAAATAAGATGGTTGGGGCATCATTATTTTTATTGTTTTCCTAAGTTGGGCTTATTGAGGTACATATGGTAAATTTCACCCATTTTAAGTGTACAGTTATGAGTTTAGGAGGTCAGGTAACCAACACCACTATCAAGATGTAGAATGTTTCCATCACCCAGAAAAGTTCCTTTGTGCCCGTTTGTAGTCAATTCCCTCAGCTTTCTCTAGTCCGTGGTAACTACTGATCTGTTTTCTGTTCGTATATTTTCTCTTTTCCAGAATGTCACGTAAGTAGAATCAGTTCTCATCAATGCCAATTTTTGCATTTGTGCTTTAGCTTTGGTTAGTCTATTCATTCTGCAAACATAAACATATCAGAAATATGCATATGCATTACACAAATAGGCAGAAAACTAGAGGCAGCATTTTGGTTGTTGGGTTTTTGTTCTTGTTTTTGTTTTTGCTTGAGACAAGTCTCATTCTGTCGCTCAGGCTGCAGTGCAGTGGTGCGATCATAGCTCACTGCAACCTCTGCCTCCTTGGCTCAAGTGATGCTCCCACCTTAGTCTCCTGAGTAGCTATTACCACAGGTGCATGCCCCCACATCTGGCTAATTTTTAAATTTTTTTTGTAGAAACAAGAGTCTCACATGTTTCCCAGGCTGGTCTCTTTCTCCTGGGCTCAAGCGATCCTCCTGTGTCGGCCTCCCAAAGTGCTAGGGTTATAGGCATGAGCCACCATGCCCAGACTAGAGGTAGCATTTTGAACTAATTAGTCAGAATGCAAATACAACTCTGTGAAATAGCTGAAGTATTGTCACTAAATTTTTATCAATAAAATATAAAGAGGATCATCCCTAAGAAAAAATCTAATTTAATAGTTGCATATAGCAGGGAATACAATTCAAGTAATACCTGCAATGTTAACTTAGTAAACTAAATCTCGTTAGGAAGATTCCCCTCCATGACACTATTATGGTCACTGTCCTCTGTACATACTGCCACGGCCACAGACACCACGTAAACCTGCCTGATACCCTTACCATCTTAGGCAGCAACCATACAGCCTTCAGGGATGAGCCCCAGGAAGAGGGCTTCCAACATGGAATTTCCCACCCTTGCTTTATTACATGGCTACTGCAGAGCCCAATATGAGAGAAGTCAATCAAGTGGTACCTGAAGGCAGCAAGTACACTACATTTTCTGAACTCTCTTGTCATGAATTTTTCATTGCCTCGGTCTAAGCTAGTCCTTGTACTGGAAAATAGGCTGCCTGGGAGACTTCCCAGAGCACTGACTATGCCCAGAGCACTGACATAATGACATAAAAGAGTGCATTTGTATTGACTGCCTTCCTACAGCAGGCAAAATGGTTGTCGCAAAGTCACATCTTTCCTTTTTCTCAGAGTTGGCAATCTCTGAAAAGTGGTTTGTGAAGCTCGCTCCACCTAGAAGCAGGGTGATATATGGGAAGAATATAAAGTTGATGGTCACTCCTCTATGTTCAAATCCTGTCCGACTTTATAAACTTGCTCAAATTACTCCTTGAGTTTGTTTTCCTGAATGAAAAATGGGGATGCTAAACACAGTAAACCGTTTGCAGAAATGGCCACAGTAATTCTTACCAGCCCTGTACATGTGCCCACTTAAATGTGAATTTGCCACTCCTTTTATATTGAAGTGGAATTTATTTTTTTATTCCTTAAATCTAAACTTCAATTTGGGCTTGAATAGG
Source organism: Homo sapiens (assembly GCF_000001405.40). Classification (NCBI taxonomy): domain Eukaryota; kingdom Metazoa; phylum Chordata; class Mammalia; order Primates; family Hominidae; genus Homo; species Homo sapiens. Next base: position 102,556,166 of record NC_000011.10, on the reverse strand, counting down.
GCATTATCAAATGTAATGCAAGCAGAGGATTGAAAAATATGTACACATTGGAGCTTGAGTTGTCTTGCTGTTAGAAACCCTGAGACCACCATGTGAAGAATTATCAGCTAGTCTTCCAGAGAATGGGAGGTTATACAGAGAGAAGTCAGCCATTTAAGCCATTTTAGCTGCCTCAAAAGTCCCAGCCTTCCCAAACATCCCAGCCAACCATAGATACCCAAAAGCTAGATAAAATGTTTATTTTAAGCCACTGTGTTTGGAGTGATTTATTACATAGCAAAAGCTGATACAATAAAATAATGATTACTAATGTGCATAAAACGTGTTACATGGTGTTAGTTCAATAAATGACTACACAAATAAATATTAAGTGACTTAGTACAATTTAAGCTTGTTGTAGAAAAGGAAAAATTATCTCTACCACTGAAAATATTTCCTATCACATAATAGCCTCCTAATAATTTTTTGAATACATTGACAGAGACTAGTTGCCATTCTTTCTCACAGCACAGAATTGCTTTAATGTAATGAAGAATATATTTCAAGATCTCTCAAGGGCCTGTAGGGTAAAGAAGGAAAGCTTCACCTTTGCCCTCTGAAGGTTTGCTGAAAATAAACTGACAAAAGGCAGATTAATAGGAGAAAAAGTCATAAAAAATGTATTTAATGTGCATAAGCATGGGAGAATCACAGGAAAATGATTGCCCAATAATCCAATGAGGTCCGGATGCTTATATAGCCTTCTTCATACAGCACGGAGTAAATAACAAAGTTCCTTTGAGCTCGGAGGGAGGTGGTGAGAAGGCAAGGGGCAGAACTTCACAGTGAACAAAGGTAGTCTTATTATCCAGTTAAAGCTTCCCAGTTAATCTCCTGGAGCTGCCCTCAGAAGAATAGATGGAAAGTCTGTTTAGGCATGGTGATGACTCCCAGTATCTCCTCTTCTCTAGTGGTTAATCTTTTCTGGTTATTTCATGTGATTCTTAGGAGGGATATTTTAAGACAATTGCAATTCTCCTTGTAAGAAGCTTTCTTAGTCAGAGAAGAAAATTCCACAGAGTCCCTTCTTTCTTCATGAAGAAAAAGGATCAGAGAGACAGGGAGGAAGGGGAAGGTCAGAGAAAGACCTTGGTTCTGAGGCTTATTTCTAAGCTCCTTCAATTTTCTTTAATTCCAAGCACTCAACATGCCAAAGCACCATATTTTGGGGTATTGCTTTCTGTACCCCAAAAGGCCTCACAACTAAATTTTCAGTATATCTAATATTTTTTACTTAGATTTTCTGTTCTTTAAAGGTACACTGTGGTCTAGATCAATGTGAGTTACTAAATCCATATTGTTGGTAAAGTCTACTATTGCTATTTTATAATAGGATAGAAAAAGATTATAAAGTATCACCAAAGTTCTGAAATGGAAGTCTTAATGGAAAGGACTGCTTCTTTACCCAGGAAGAGGGTAAGTTTTGAAGAGTGTCTCTGTCTCTCAGAAATAAGATCCAAGGGGAAAAAGAAGTTCGGTAAGGTTTCCAGTAACTTCCAGCTATAACACAAAATGGAGGGAGTCAGGATGTTAGATAAGCCAACTGCTTTGTAAGATTTTACTTTGTTAGATTGGGAACATTAGTAGTTTTCCCAAGCTCGTTATCTATGCTATACTTATTTCTAAATAAGAATAAAACCCTTGAAATGAAACAAGCATGTATAATATACATTCTTTTTTGTTTGATTCCTTTTGCTCATCATTATGTCTGAAAGTCTTATTCATACTGCTGCATGTAGGTATAATTTGTTCATTCTCACTGTTGTTTAGAATTTAATTGTATGAATATATTACAATGATTTGTAATATGTTTGTCCATTCTGTTGCTAATGGACATTGGGTTGTTTCCCTGCTTTAACTGTTGCAAACGGTGCAACTATGAATATTCTTGTGAGTATCTATTAGTGAAACTCCATGTGGTAGAGAGCTTCTAAAACAGTTCTTAATGGTTCCTGCCTCTGGCTATTCTTGTCCTGTGTAATCCCCACCCTTGTGTGTGAAGTGGATGTAGTGATTCATAACAAACAGAATATGGCAAACATGATGGAGCGTTGCTCTCTAAGATTAGGTTATTAAAGGCCATGACCTTGGACTTGCTGGGGATCTCTCTCTCTCTTGCTCATTCTCACTCTCACTCTTCTTGCTTGCTTTCTCTGATGAAGCCGCTGCCTTGTTTTGAGCTGCCCTATGGAGAGTCTCAGTGGCGAGGAATTGAGGACAGACTTCTGTACGGACCTGAGGTCATCATTCCAACAACACATGAAGAGCTGAATCCTGACAACAACTTCATTGGTAAGCTTGGAAGTGGATTTTCCCCCAAACAGGCCTTGAGGTGACCACAGCCCTGGCTGACTGCAGCCTTGTGAAATACCCTGAGACAGAAGACCCAGCTCAGCCACACCTGAACTCCTGACCCACAGAACCTGCTATAATAAATGTTGTTTTGGCTATTACGTTTTGGAGTGATTTATTATTAGATAACTAATACGTATGCATTTGGGAAAGTAAAGGCCTAAGAGTATATGGAAGTGGAATTGTTTGGCCATAATCTATGCATACGTTCAGCTTTAATATATACCACTAAATTGTTTTCAAAAGCAGTCATTGTCATGTACACTCCCAACAGCAGTGTGTGAGAGTTTTTATTGAGTTCTACTGAATGATCTTTGTTATTAAGCTTTTAGTATATGCCAGCCACTAAGTGCCTTACATGTGCTGTTTCATTTAATCTTCACAACAGTTCAGTGAGGTGGGTATTACTGTTTTCTCCATTTTCAGATTAAGTGAACCTGCCCCTGTCATTTACTAAAAAGAGGCAAGCCAGGATTTTAACCCATGTCCAATGCTCTTAGCCATTAAGCCTCTCCTGAGACAGATTTCAATGCAATTATAGCCACAGAGAAAACACATGTGAAAAATAACCATCATAGCGCACTAAAGGAAGAGCAGCATTTCATCTTGTGCATAAGTTAACCATCAGCACTGCACAGGGCTGATGAGGAGAAGAGGCTTCCAGACGGAGTTAGCAAAGGAAGAAAGATAGGCAATTTGGAAGGAGGGAAAGGATGGCCCAGGAAGGCTGGGAGGTAAAGAATATGCAAGCAAGGTCAAGAGCTCTATGCATTTGGCTCACTCTGCCCTCTGCATTTCCAGCCTCATGCAGCGATGTCATCCTTAGCAGTGAGTTGTCTACTTTTTCCGTAGCTCTCCCCAGAATAACACAGACCCCAGGGTCTTAAATGAAGGAGTGATTTTTCCAGATATTTCACCTTTCCCAAGGGAGAACACTACTCAGTTGTCTCTCCTTGGAACTCCTTCTTTTGCTGTTTATTGTTTCTGAGTGTGATTTTTTCCTTTCTTCCTCATTCCGCTGGTGCTTGTCACCACTCTGATGGGAATTCCTCTTAAAATGCCGGCAGTCTCTTTGATAAGCCTCGCCTTGCAGACCTAAGGTAAACTCCTGGAAGGATGCCCTGAACCTCTGGCTGTCTACCCACCTTCCACAACCCACAAATGGAGTGTTTCTGTGTACAGATCATCGGTTTTCCCCTCTTAAAACACTTGGACCTCCCCTGAGGGAAGAAAACCCTGGGAAACTCAATCACCCTCTTTGAGATCCAAGACAGGGCCTGGCCTTACTTTTTGGTGGACACTTATCTGAGCCAGCTTATAGCGTTACATTTTAGCTCAAGCGTCTCCAGATTTCCGCCTTTGAGGCCACACATTTCTCTAATATCCAAATACAATGACAAAATCCCCCATCCTGACTGGTTCTCTCGTTATCCCCTTCCTGCCAAAACAACACCAGCACCCAAATCCTTCTGAGAATACCTCTGTTAGGGGGATGCCTGCATTCTCTGCATTGTGTACACCATCTCCTCTCCAAGCTCCACCCCTGAGCATTGTCATGATTGTCTGTGCTTGTCACCCTTCCTGAGTCTGGAGTTCTTCAATGTGGACACAGCTCCTCCTCAACTCCATCTCACCTCTTCACAGTGTTGATGAGGGCAGCAGTTTCAAGAGGGAGATCACAGCAGAGGAGAGGAAACAATTTACAAATGAGTATCAGACCTCACTCTTGTAACCTTGCCTGGCCGTTCTCATCTCAATATTGTTTGCTCCTGTTTCTCTTCATGGGCCCTAGTCCCTAACAGTTGCTGTGGCCTCTTTTCTCTCCTCTTGTGTCTCTTCTCCCTTTTCCTAATTCTCCACATTCAGTGACCCTATAATACTCCTTGGGACCACTATGAAGAAGAGAAAAGGCCTATTGCTTTATTACATCAATCAATTTTACTTCCTTTGCCTCCATTTCCTATTTCCTGGATCATGACTTTCATAATCCCAAAATGCCATAAATTATATTCTCAAGAGAAAACTGTTCACTCTAGTCTTCCAACTTCAGTGGTAGCCTGGATCTCTGAAATTATTATTTTTTTAACAGCTTCAAATTTCCAGTTCCAGTTTCTTAGCTTCTTGGTAAAAGTACCTAGGCTTTCCCCTCCCAGGAGTTCGTAGGTAGAAGGAGAACTGTTAACACTCTAGTCTCCCCGTCTCCCGGGAGGCAAACACAGGGGCTAAGGCTCTTGTTTTATCCTCTTTCATGGGTAATACTGTGAAGGAAGGGCAGGATTTCCAGCCCAACTGTTGTAGCCATGAGTGAGAAGAATGTCAATTGAGAAGTGAGAAGAAAGCGTCAGTGTACAGGGGATGTAGACTGCTAAGCAATGCATTGTGACCAAGCACCACATGCCTGAGACAAAGCAGCTTCAAAGTCTCCCTGGCTATCTGTGAAAACTCCAGACACAAGCAGGATTTTGCAGCTTGAGAGAGCTGCCTACACGTTCTCTGGACTCCATTGGAGCTGCTATGGTCAACGTGCTATTATAAGGGATTCATGCTTCACTCCCAGAAGGGCCCTTGATGACATCTGTCCCACTTTCTTGCATCATTCATCAGGCAGTGAAAGTTAAATAACATGTCTGTGATCCCACAGCTTCTCAAATAGAGTCTAAAACTCAGACCCAGCGTATGTTCCCAGAATCCAAAAGTAAAAAGGCAAATTGCTAGATGGGTGGAGACTGGGGTAAGGTGGCAGTGGCTACAGCAGGAGCTCACAACGTTAGGCAGTTAGTTATGTGATTCTGTTATTTGTCCTCCTTTACCTTTCCAATGACACACACCTTATTAATGCATCACTGGCTATGGGGTCTGTAATCAGGCCAGTAAGAGCTATGTGATTTGGAACAAATTATTTACTTCTCTAAGCCTCAGTTTTCCCAACTGCAAAATGGGAATAATAATTATAGAATTACTGTTACGAGAATTGAGATAATCTAGATAAAGATCTTAGCACAATGTCTAGTTCATCAAAAGCAATCATTTAATAATTGGTATAATATTAGAATAATTTGTATTTTTATGTTGCTTCTAAATCCCTAAGGACCTGCCCCATGTAGTGGTGCTATCCATCTTGTTACTTGGTGCCAGGTAATAAGAAATCTGGGTTCTAGTGCAGTTCTCCTGCTGATGAGCTCTGTGTTCTTGGATGACTTGCTGCATCTTTTCAGACTAACTAAAACTCAGTCTGTATTTTATAATCACCATATGCCAGAAATTCTAAACAATATCATTGACCAAATCTTCCTTCCCAACTAATCTTGTATAGGTCTATGTTCTAAACAAATGCTGAAGTGACTGTGGAATTTTGCTAATATATATGTATACTTCAAACTAGCACATATTTATCACTTAATAGATATTGTGTCCCACATGGAAGTTAGTTTGGAGGACTTCTAGCTATTCAGTTAGCCTCGGACAAATGAGGACTGAGCTGCACACACATCCTTTGAATGTGTGTCCATAATGGCTTCTGCTCACTCTGGCACAATTTATTCTGCCAATTCCTGTGCACTACACATGCCTGCATTTAAACAGTTGATTCAAAATTAACAATAGAAGCATGGGATTATAAAGATGGGAAAACAGATCTTGAATTTCACCAATTTTGCCATTGTCTGTGACACATAGAGCTTTTATTTGTATTTAAAATTTTTCCATTGTAGAGAGAATATGAAAATTGCATGATAGCGTTGTGATTTCTGGAATTGAGGCACATGGGATTTATTATGACTTTGACAAATTTAATCTTATGTTTAAGACTTTTCTTAATTATTTATATATTGCTTATTCCATGTGAAGAAACTTTTCAAAATTAAAATTAATAAAAAGTGTGTTCTTCAATTAACCATGAGTCTAAATAGATTGACACATTGTTTAACATAAATACATAAAGATCAATTATGATGAAGTTCAGGCTCAAAAATAAAAACTGTAACATTATTTATTACTATGATGATTGCTAGGGGGCATACATTTTTTCCTTTTTTCAACATTAATATAATTTTCCCTTTTGTACTTGAATATGTATTTTATTTTCTATTTGTTTTCCTAGCATGCTTATCTATAAAATGTTCACTAACTGAAAATTTTGCTTCCTCCATTCTTTTTCAGTTTATATATATATATTGAGACAGGGTCTTGCTCTGTCTAATTTTTGTATTTTTAATAGAGACGGTGTCTCCCTACGTTGCCCAGGCTGCTATCGAAGTTCTGAGCTCAAGCAATCCTCCCACCTCAGCCTCCCAAAGTGCTGCAATTAGATGTTGGGCCATCCCACCAAGCCAATAACTTCCTGATTATTATACGAAATAACTTTGTTGTATAGAGAATGGGCTGTCAAAAGATGGTCCAATCCATGGGCCGTATATGCTAGGTTTGCTGCTGCCTCTGCCAACCAGCAGTAAAGGGATTGGACTGGTTCCAGGGTTGAAAAGGAGTGGTCCCTGGGTGAAAGTTAACCTAAATGTATGTGTGTGTGTATGTATATATATATATATACACACACACATATATATACATATATATATATATAGGCATGGTGTTTGACCACACAGTAGTGTTCTTTTAAAAATGTATTTGTTTTAATTAGTTGATACTTACAAATCAGGGTTCTCATGCAACGTTAACATTTTCTGACATCTCTTGAAAAATCAGACAATTCCATCACAATCAATTAGAGCTGAGTAGCAATTGCCCCACTCAGCATGGCTGTGGCTCTCCAGCTGAATGCAGTCACCACTTCTCCCTTATCACCACCCTGACCCGGAGGCTGACACTTGGACACTTGGTTGCCAATTAGCACTTGGTTTGCCATGAACTACTGTACAAATTGAAGGTGTCCCCAACTTGTTCTGTTCTCCCTTGAGGCTCAGGGAGGCCATATAATTTCCCCCAGATTACTCAACCACCTCAGATCTTCTGAGGTAGAATTCCCAGGTTCTTTCCAGTGCACTACCTGCCTATTGCATGCGTGCATGCATGTGTGTGTGTGTGTGTGTGTGTGTGTGTGTGTGTGTGTGTCAAAGAGACAGTACCACCTCATAGCCCATGTCAGTGCAACAGCAAGAGGTATACATAGAAGACTTGGTCTCGGCATATTGAGATTTTATTTTTCAGAGGAATCTTTGCTGGATCAAGTTATGAGCCATATTTTTCTGAGTCCTCTATCCCTTGCTCCCTCCATTTCTCCTCCCTTCCGCTTCTCCTTCCATTTCTCCTCCCCTCCCCTTCTCCTTCTTTCAACAAGCACATGTCCTTAGCTGCTTTATTGGGCACCTATGATGCATCAGGTACTGCCTAATCACTATAACATTCATTCTCACAACATCCCTGCACATACGTCTTCTCAATTCTATGCACAGTTCTCAAACTGCATGTTGAGAAACCTGAGCTGCAAATGTGAACCCACAGAATACTTCAAATTTTCAAGGGAAATACAGTGACACTCGATGTTTGCTGGACACTTCACAAACTGCTCGAAGTAGTTCACAATTTCAATAGTAGATGACGCTATATTCCATTAGATATCACTGAATTTTGCAAAGCTGGGTTTTCTGCTGTTGCTGTAATAAAAAGCAAACACTGTGAGGCCGGGTGCGGTGGCTCACGCCTGTAATCCCAGCACTTTGGGAGGCCAAGGTGGGCAGATCACGAGGTCAGAAGTTCGAGACCAGCCTGGCCAACATAGTGAAACCCCTTCTCTACTAAAAATTAGCTGGGCATGGTGGCAGATACCTGTAATCCCAGCTACTGAGGAGATTGAGGCAGGAAAATCACTTGAACTCGGAAGGCAGAAGTTGCAGTGAGCCAAGATCGCGCCACTGCACTCCAACCCAGGTGACAGTGCGAGATTCCGTCTCAAAAAAAAAAAAAAAGGAAACACTGAATGAAAATCAATTGACCTTATTCCAAAAATCAAGAAATTGTATGGTATCCAAAAGGCACACAAATTCCATCCATAAGGAATTGTGACTATTTAAGAATAAAATTAAAATTTATTTTTTCTTTCAGTTTATGGGTATTTTTTTTAAATAGCTACCAAGTTGTTGGGACATACTTAATAAGTTGATTTAGACCTAATTAAATAAACAGGACCGTTAATAAACAGGATTGTTGGTCATTTTTCTGGCCTAAGGGCACTATGAAAAAAATCACTAAGACCCGGGAGGCCAGAAACAAGAAAGTTTTAGACCTTCTATATTAACATGTTTGAGGTAAGAAATTAGGCCCAGGGAAGTTAATACCCTACCCACATCTAAATTTTGAGATTTCAATCCAGAGGTTCCTTATTTCAAAGTCCATGTTGTTTCTACCACCCTACATTGCCTCCTGCATGTCAGGCCACAAACCAGTTCTGTGAACACAAACCAGGGTCATGATCGGTCACCGCCTCAAGGGACTCATAAATGTGGTCAAGTGCGTTGTGGGTGCTGTACCAACACCTCCAGCATCATGCTACCCACACACATTATTTATAACCAACCAGGAACTTCAATTCTGCTTCCCCAATTCTCTGTCTGGCTCATAAGCATACTCCAAACACAGGTCCCTAAGGAAAAAGAATGTCCCTTATACAAAATAACTCTGCTAATAATGTATGGCAATGTGACATCATTTTAGGCAATCTGTGATGAGGCTACACATGCAGGTTGGGGAAGTTCAGTCAATGAAGCAGGCCCTGAAAAAGAAGAACTGGTGGAGTTTTGTATTTACCAAGCAGAACACTTCTAATGGTACAAACACCTTAGGAAATTCTCAGACTGAAATAACTAGTATGTAACATGATGTCAGACTTCCTTCCAAGGAATATATAAAACATTAGAGAATTCTTTCCTTCACCACAAATGAATACAACTTCCTCAAAACAAAAAAGTAGGCAAAAGAAAATCCTGATGGCAAAAGTATTGAATCGATTATTAAATGCCACAAAAAAAAATGTAGTGGCATGCTATATAATTTAATCATGATTTGCATTGAGAGGAAAAAGACCAAAAATAATCAAATGCAAATTATCAAAAAAAAAAAAAAAAAAAAAAAAACAGCTATTGAGTTTAAGGAAACGTAGGAGACTCTTCACATGACCAAGTAGCCAAACCTCTCACGTCACCTATGTCTTTTGCACCAATAGCTCTTCCCCAGCCCATACTTTCAGCCCTGTGGGAGTTCCCTATGACTAATGTAGGGTAGAAAAAATATTATTCCCTCTACCCTCCTAGGTTCTCTGGCTGAGGCCCTAAAAATTAGACCAACAAAGACAAATTCACAGTAAAAAGACAAACGTTGATTAACATGTGTTTACACAAAGGAGCATTCAGTGATGAGTACCTCAAAGCAGTAGTAAGAACTTGGATTTAAATAGCATCTTAACAGAAGAACAACAAATTTTTAGAGAAATGACAAAACAAAAGAAAAGGGCTTTGAGTTTCTATAGCTGCAAATTATGTGAAGGGAAATGCACAAGGGAACTAACTAATGGAAGATAATAGCTAGTTTACAAATTTATGTCACACTTTTAGGCAAATAGGGAAAAGGCAGAGAGCTTTTCTTGTATCTGCTTCTTCTCAATTGCCTTCAGCTTAATATGATCCTTATGCCAAAGTGGCATGTTTTGGGGTGGGATATTATGCTGCCCCTCATTCACTAAGTAGGAAGAAAAAGTTCATGCCTGGCTGACTGAAAATAGGCTACTGCTGCACTTTCACCTCACACAGGGGGACTGTGAAAGGTGATGGGGAAGAGTACTGCTTCCAGTAAGCAGAGCGCTGAGTACATTTGGTGTTGATGATGATGATGATAAGCAGTCACCAACCCGGCATGGCGGGGGAAGTGAAGTGATCATAGTTAAGAGTGCACATAGATTACTGGGTAATCACAAGTTGCTGAGCTGGTTTGTCACATTCTGGATGAAACAAGATACCAAGATTATAAAATCAGAGACAGAGATGTTTGGGAAAGTAGCGCCTGAATGAATTTATGGAATTTTAAGCATAAAATGTGTGGATCTTTGTGTCTCAGATCAATGCCCAAAACAGAACATCTCCTGAGGAGGAAGCACTGAACACCTGTGTGGATAGGATGAGGCATCCACTGGGGGTCAGCCGGCCTGTGTCCTCAGCTACCCAAGGAACAACACTGGGTCCACAAACTGCATGGCCATGGTAATAGGCATGGAGGCAACTCATGAGCCCTGCTACAGTTGACCTAGCCTCTGCTGCTGCGGCTGCTGGAGGTCTGACTTGGCAGCATTAAGGATTGAATCTAAACCCTCAATATGGTACCATCCTTCAATGGCACCAACCAGTCACTTGGTTACAAGTTAATTAAGTCAGAGCCCTTCTACCTTGTAGGGGACAGCAAATCATGCTTATTAGGACTGACAAGGATTACAGGCATGGGTCTGCCTTCATTGCCCTCAGTGCATCCGTCAGAGAGCCCCTGCTAAATGTTTAAATCCTCTGTATATTTCTTTACCTCAGCAAATACCTTTACCATTGTGCAGCCCACATTGCCTTCCAGTTTTGTATGTCTGTAAAATCCAGGTCTTATTCTTCATGAGTTCCCCATTCCTACCACAGGGCCAGACCACATAGCATAAGCTTTACAGATATTTGGTAAGTAAATGAAAGAATAAAAAGTGCATGCAGCTGGGCACAATGGCCCATGCCTTTAATCCCAATGCTTTGGGAGGTCAAGGTGGGAGGGTCATTTGAAGCCAAGAGTTCAAGACAAGTCTGGGCAACATAGCAAGACTGTTTCTACAAAATAAAAAAAAGAAAAATAGCTGATTTGGTGGCATGTGCCTGTACTCTCAGCTACTCGGAAGGATCCCTTGAGCCCAGGAGTTTGAGGCTGCAGTAAGCCATGATCACAGCACTGCACTCCATCCTGGTGACAGAGTAAGATGCTGTCTTTTAAAGAAGGAAGGAAGGAAGGAAGGAAGGAAGGAAGGAAGGAAGGAAGGAAAGAAGGGGGGAAGGAAGGGAAAGAGAAAGAGAGAAAGAGAAAGAAAGACAAAGAAAGAGAAAGAGAGAAAACTCATGCAAATACCCAAATGAGGGATACTAAGAGCTGTAAGTAGGGCAGTAGCAGTGGGTTTGGAGAATCCTCTGTCCTTTGACTCTGAGGGCATGCCCCCTCACAGTTACCACACCAAGAGTGGGGGAGCCTTTCATAACTATAATGGGCTCAGGATACAGGGAGAATCAGAACAGGTAGCAATTTGGTTGGCGAAACCATTATATTATATATTCATTATTAATAGCCATGATTATCACAATGACACAAAAACCTAGTGTTAGAAATCTCGGCAGGGTGCGATGGCTCATGCCTGTAAACCCAGCACTTTGGTAGGCTGAGGCAGGTGGGTCACCTGACGTCAGGAGATCAAGACCAGCGTGGCCAACATGGTGAAACCCCATCTCTACTAATAATACAAAAATTAGCTGGGCATGGTGGTATGCGCCTGTAATCTCAGCTACTCAGGAGGCTGAGGCAGGAGAATCCCTTGGACCCAGGAGGTGGAGGCTGCAGTGAGCCAAGATTGTGCCACTGCACTCCAGCCCAGGCAACAAGAGTGAAACTGCATCTCAAAAAAAAAAAAAAAAAAAAAAATCTGTCATTCTGTCATGTGTCTCTATAGTCCTAGCACCTGGCATGAGACATATACTAACTATATGTTTGTAGAATGAATGAAAAATGTCTGAATTACTGAATGAGGAGTAACATGGAATATTGAAAGGAAAATGAGCTTAACAGAGAAGCAGGCTTGAATTCATACCCAAGCTCTACATGTGTTAACTACATAACTTTTGGGATGAAATAGATACAATCATAACCTCCTGTATCACACAGAACTTATTTGGTTGAAAGTGTCAGAAAACCAGCCCAAACTATCAATAACAAACTAAAACTGTGGGAAATTTTATTGACTTGCATAATTGGGAAATCCACGTAGTGTAACTTCCATTAGGTCTGATTGAAAAAAGGGATTCAAACTCTGCTACTGGGAATCTAATGACCTCTGCTTGGTTTTATTTGCATACAGATTTTCTCCAGGTGCTAACAAGATGGCCACTATGTGTTCCAAGTTTGTATAGTCCTTATAACTCACATTGCAGAAAAAGAGCAAGACTGGCTGGATGCAGTGGCTCATGCCTGTAATCCCAGCACTTTGGGAGGCCAAGGTGGGAAGATCGCTTGAGCTCAGGAGTTGCATATCAGCCTGGGCAATATGGCAAAACCCCGTCTCAACTAAAAATACAAAAATTAGCTGGGAGTGGTGGCATGCACCTATAGTACCAGCTACTCAGGAGGTTGAAGTAAAAGGATTGCTTGGGCCTGGGAGTTTGAGACTGCAGTGAGTTGTGATCACACCACCGTACTCCAGCCTGGGTAACAGAGAAAGACCCTGTCTCAAAAAAAAAAAAAAAAAAAAAAAAGGAAAGTGACCTTCTCTCAGGCATTGTCTACATCAACCCGGGAAGCAAATACTGTATGTATCACGCATGGGGCAGAAGAAATGATATGAGACAGCTCCTGCCTCAAGGATTTCAGAGTCTAGACAGATGTGCTAAGGTGTAAATTGTGCTATAGTGAGAGACATGCAAATATTGAAACATGAATAATGTTTCCTTGGGACATGAGAGTGATTCAAGAGGGAGCAACATCTAACATGTTGTAAAAGACAAATGAGATTCTCCAGACAGTTAATTTTTCTGGTTAGGGTGCAGTGGGTAGGGAACTCAGGAAGGAGAGTAGGAAAGGCACAGTGTGGCGAGTTCAGGAAGCCAGATGTAGCTTGGTATAATTAAAGCATTAAGTGAGAAGAAGTGACAGAAAATGAGGCTGGAGAGGTAAATGGTTATCAGATCCTAAAACTCTTTTAATGCCACATTAAAATAATTTTGTCTTTATTGTTAGGTTTCAGCTTCACAAATGTAGGTCACTTATACCTTCAAGGGTGAATGGGAGGTGGAAAAAGGGTCGGTAATGGAGAGACAAGGTAAGGGCACAGAAAAGTGGTTCAGACCCTTAACCAAAAGTGTTTAAGAGCATAGAAGTGATTAAGTCTAGATTTCTAGACTCAGGCATCAGATTTTGTCTGGTTTTAAATCCCAGCTCCAATATTTAGGAGCTCATGAGACCTTGAGCAAGTTACTAAATCTCTCTGTGCCTTGTTTTCTTCATCTGTAAAAATGAGATTAACAATAGCTACCTCATAGGATTGCAAAGATTAAATACTCATAAAGCATTAGAACAGTGCCTCAAAAAAAAGTTCCTGAAGTATCTGTTTGTTAATTCTTTTATTGTGTTTTTGCTTAAAGACTTAGTAATGGAAGATTTTTTAATTAAAGATATTATTAATTAAAATGCAAAATTGGCATGAATTATTAAAAACGAAGCCTAAGATATCAAAGAATTTTCCCCACCTATGGAGAGATACTTCATGCCACACCCTTAGGATAGCCAAGGGCACCTGAGTAGAGAGGTTTGAGAGGCACAATTATAGGCAACAAAAAATTAGTAACAAGACCCTCATCATGTAATAAAGGCCAGAGACAGACTAACACGTCCCTAGGCATTGGCAAAGCAGAGGGTAACTGAATGAAAAAAGTAGGGAGATGGGAACAGTTAGGAAGAGCTCTTTTTCTCCAAAATGACTCTTATGTATTCCCTGATGCTTGACATCTCTTGAAAAGGAGATGAGCATCCTCGGTTATAGACATAGAATTAAAATCTAAGTGGGAGTGTTAATGGAGGCTAAAGATCTCACTGAGGCATAGATAACCTATATAGATCCTAAGAGCTGATGAAGGAAGAATGAGTCTTGGGGAGCTTGGAAATTGAAGAGAGGAGGGATAATACACTTCAAGGAATGACTAGGATGTGACATAGTGTTAGACTTCCTTCTGAGGAATATCATTCAGTTCAAAGAATATTTTAACTTCCATCTTGATTTCATTGTTGACACAATGATCATTCAGGAGCAGGTTATTTAATTTCCAGGTATTTGCATGGTTTTGAAGGTTCCTTTTGGAGTTGATTTCCAATTTTATTCCACTGTGGTCTGAGAAAGTACTTGACATAATTTCAATTTTCTTAAATTTACTGAGACTTGTTTTGTGGCCTATCAGATGGTCTATCTTGGAGAACATTCCATGTTGCTGAATAGAATATATATTCTGCAGTTATTGGCTAGGATGTTCTATAAATATCTGTTAAGTTCATTTGTTGTAGGGTATAGTTTAAGTTTATTGTTTCTTTGTTGTCTTTCTGTCTTGATGACCTGTCTGGCGCTGTCAGTGGAGTATTAAAGTCCCCCACTATTATTGTGTTGCCATGTATCTCATTTCTTAGGTCTAGTAGTAATTGTTGCATAAATCTGGGAGCGCCAGTGTTAGGTGCATATATATATAGAATTGTGATATTATCCTGTCGGACTAGTCCTTTTATCGTTATATAACGTCCCTCTTTGTCTTTTTTAACTGCTGTCGCTTTAAAGTTTGTTTTATCTGATATACGAATAATTACTCCTGCTTGCTTTTGGTGTCCATTTGCATGGAATATCTTTTTCCACCCCTTTAATTTAAGTTTATGTGAGTCCTTATGTGTTAGGTGAGTCTCTGAAGACAGCAGAAATTTGGTTGGTGAATTCTTACGCATTCTGTGTCTTTTAAGTGGAGCATTTAGGCCATTTAGAGTCAATGTTAGTATTGAGATGTGAGGTACTGTTCTATTCATTGTGCTATTTGTTGCCTGATTATCTTGGTTTGTTTTTTTTTTTCATTGTGTTATTGCTATATAGGTCCTGTTAGATTTATCCTTTAAGGAGTTTCTATTCTGGTATATTTCAAATATTTGTTTCAAGATTTAGAGCTCCTTTTAGCAGTTCTTGTAGTGCTGGCTTGGCAGTGGCAAATTCTCTCACTATTTGTTTGTCTGGAAAAGACTGTATCTTTCATTTATGAAGCTTAGTTTCACTGGATACAAAATTCTTGGCTGATAATTGTTTTGTTTAAGGAGACTAAAAATAGGACTCCAGTCCCTTCTAGTTTATAAAGTTCCTGCTGAGAAATCTGCTGTTAATCTGATAGATTTTCCTTTACAGATTACCTGATGCTTTTCCCTCACAGCTCTTAAGATTCTTTCCCTTGTCTTGACTTTAGATAGCCTGATGACTATGTGCCTAGGCGATGATCTTTTTATGGTGAATTTCCCAGGTGTTCTTTGAGCTTCTTGTATTTGGTGTCTGGATCTCTAGCAAGGCCAGGGAAGTTTTCCTTGATTATTCCCTCAAATACGTTTTCCAAACTTTTAGATTTCTCTTCTTCCTTGGGAACACTGATAATTCTTAAGTTTACATGTTTAACACGGTCCCAAACTTCTTGGGGGCTTTGTTCATTTTTTTTTTTTTTTCTATTTTCTTTGTCTTTGATGGATTGGGTTAATTCAAAAGTCTTGTTTTCAAGCTCTGAAGTTCTTTCTTCTGCTTGTTTGATTCTATTTCTGAGACTTTCCAGTGCATTTTGCATTTCTCTAAGTGTGTCCTTAATTTCCAGTTGTGACTGTTTTTTATTTATGCTATTTCACTGGTGAATTTTCCTTTCATATCCTATATCATGTTTTTGATTTCTTTAATTTAGACTTTACCTTTCTCTGGTGCCTCCTTGGTTAGCTTAATAATTGACCTTCTGAATTATTTTTCTGGCAATTCAGAGATTTCACCTTGGTTTAGATCTATTTTTGGTGAGCTGGTATGATCTTTTGGAAATGTTAAAGGACCTTGTTTTGTCGTATTACCAGAAGTGTTTTTCTGTTTCTTTCTCATTTGGGTAGACTACATCAGAGGGAAGATCTGGGAATCAAGGGCTGTTGTTCAGATTCTTTTGTCCCACGGGGTGCTCCCTTGATGTGGTATTCTCCCCCTTCCCCTAGGAATGAGGCTTCCTGACAGCCAGACCTCAGTGATTGTTATTGCTCTCCTGGGTCCAGCCACCCAGTGTAGCTACTGGGCTCTGGGCTGGTAGTGGGGAGTGTCTGCAGAGAGTCCTGTGATGTGATCCATCTTCAGGTCTCTTAGCCATGGATACCAGCACCTGCTCTGGTGGAAATAGCAGGGGAGTAAAGTGAACTCTGAGGGTCCTTGGTTGTGTTTCTTGCTTAGTGTGCTGGTTTTGTGTTGGTTGGCCTTCAGCCAGGAAATGGCACATTCAAAAGTGCATCAGCTGCAGTCCTATAGGGAGGATGCAAACATGCCCTAGGGACACCTGGTTAAGTATTCAGGTTTCTCAGGTGGTGGGCAGGGCCATAGAGCTCCCAAGAGATTATGACCTTTGTCTTCAGCTACCAGAACAGGTACAGAAAGACCACCAGGTGGGGGCAGGGTTAGGTGTGTCTGAGCTCAAAACTCTCCTTGGGTGGGAGTTGCTGCAGCTACTGTCAGGGATGGGAATGCGGTTCCCAGTCTAATGTATTTATATTCCCAGGGGGATTATGGCTGCCTCTGTTTAGTCATAGGCTTCACCCCACTCCCACTCAGCCTTCAGTCCTAAAGACTAGTCTCACTCCCACCATGTCCCCTCAACAGCACTATTTCCAGGCAGCCGGTGACCAGGGCTGAGAACTTGCCCCAGATCATGAGCCTCCTTGTTGAGAAAGCAAGCCGACTCACAGTTTTTTGGCGTGTCAGGGAGTTTGCAGAGGTGATCCAGTTCCTTCAAAGGGTCTGTGGATTCTCTCAGCTTTCCTGATATATTCCTGCCATACTTCTTGGAGCAAAAGTTCATGATGTGAGTCTCCACATGCTCTGTCCATCAGAGTGGGAGCTGAAAGCTAGTCCTGCCTCCTACCTGCCATCTTAATCCAGTATCCCTGGCTTAATTTTTTTTTTGTTATTTGTGTAGAGACAGGAGTCTCCCTATGTTGCCCAGGCTGATCTTGAACTTCTGGGCTCAAGTGATCCTCCCACCTCAGCCTCCCAAAGTGCTGGGATTACAAGCATGAGCCACTGTGCCCAACTTGAACCCAGTCTTAAACCTGCAAATTCCCTCAGCCATAACCACATGAGAAAAATGAGTGAAGATACCACCCTTGCTGAACCACAGATCTGGCCTCAAAAGAACCAGAGAGTGTGGTGGTGTGGTCCAGCCAGAGTCCAGGGGCTGCCCTTTCGACAGATTAGTTAGTGGCAAGCTGATTCGGTGTGTTGGGTATCTCTATCCCTCCTCCTCCTGAGTCAGCCCAAGCTCTAGGTGCTTGGATTTCTTCAAAAATTATTGCTGATTTTAGCTTTGTAAACTGCATAAAGCTATGGATATAAACAATACAATAAAAAGTCCCAATAAATATTTTGGCTCTAAGCATCAATCTAATTCGTTTTCAATATTAATCTAAACATGAGAAAAGAGAGGACAGGGAAGGTCAAATATTCTTAGAGTAACTCATTGAAAGACAAAAATATTCTCAGATAGTCCAAGTAATTACTCAGAGAATTTTTGCCATCACAGTTCTAGGCATGATCTGAAGTAAATTATTTGCTTCTATTTTTTTAATCATGAAATAAAATATAGTCATAACTATGATTACCTCTATACAAACTCTAAGGGGAATTCATGTTATCTGATGTAGCTGAGCAGCTAAGTTCTTGTTTCACCAGTAGGCACAGAGTTTCTCTAGAGAAATAACTGTCTTTGTTTAAACAACAACAACAACAAACCTAACTAACTGCTTGACAATGGAAAGGAAGGCCTTGAGTGCTTGGATTATAAGGAGACAGCCTAGAGATTAGTAAAGGGCCCCTAATTTTAAAAAAGGAATGAAAGTTCATTGGAAGGACTGAAGGAAAATAGAATAGGAAAAGCCAGGGCAGGATCAGAAGATCTATTTGGTGAAAGATTTTTTTTTTTTAAGAACAGGGAAGCTTAATATTAATTTTTAAGTTATCTACAGTATGATCCTGGGCTGAAACTTGCCTCTCCCTACTCCCTACTCACCAGTAAAATCTATTATACAAAGCTACTTCTGTGAGTCTGTATGGAGGAGGTCAAGCATACAGTTACATCCCACTTCAGAGTTCAGGCTGGGACAAGGATTATTACTTCACTTTCTTTCTGAAGTGTAACTTGTAAAAATTGGCACTGATGGAAAAAATATCTAGCCCCATTTGAAAGTTTCCCTGCCCTTCCTCTTGCAAGCAGGGGAGAGGTACTTAGTTAACTAACGTCTAAATTCTTCATAGGCTGCAGTTTGGGGGGAAACGAAGGAATAGACAGAAAGGAAGAATAAGTGGTTTTGATTTTGCTTCCTCCCTTTGGTGGTGGAGAGAGCTAGCTTCTGATAGCATGGCATCTGAGGAAGGCTGTAGTCTCTCAGACCATCCTCTCCTTCACTGTCCTTTCCTCTTTATGCTCCTTCTTCCTGTAGTTCTAGAACTTTCCATCCACTGATGCATGAGCCCCAGGGCAATGGCAGCTGCACTGAGAGGCAATGTTGCTGCAGCAGTTCACACTTGCCTTGCAAAAGGCTTAGATGTCACCTTGTTATTTGCCCCTCACCCAAATAGAGGGAGGGCCACCCATATCAACAGGTGTGTCCACTAAGGTGCTCCACCACCTTCCCTTTCTCTGCATAAATCCTGCTGTTGAATATAAAATGTTTCCATTTGAAATTAAAATCCTGTTACTTTTCCTATCTGATTTACCCTATTTCAATTTTCGTGACTTTTTCCCGTGAATTTGTTCCATTGTTCATACTGTACACCCAAAGATTTTATTGACATAAAGACGATGTGCTTTTCTTGTTTAAAAGCTTAATAGCTTCTATAGTAAGGAGATTAGTTTGGTTGATTATTATAACAAATCACATTGAAATATTTAAGATAGTTACTTCCTTGTGTCTCAGAAAACATTGGCATCAATAAAAATTATTGGAACAGAATCATTTAAACCTTGTATCTTTCCTTTATACATGTCTGATCTCCACGCTAGGTTCACAGATGGGGAAAAATGATATTATATTACATACAAACTTTCAGCATAATAATGACAACAATGACATCAATACTAGCCAGCATTTACTGAGCTTTTACTGTGCTTCAAAAACACTGCTAAGTCTTTTATACACTTAATCTTCTCATTTAATCCTCACCACAACCCTAAGGAAAAGTACTATTTCCATTTTTCGGATAAGGAAGTTGAATTTCATAAAGGTTAAATATTCAGTCACTGTAACACAGAAGGAATCTAACCGGGGCTGAATAACTCTCCTTTAACATAATTACAAGTTAAGTCAGTCTGCTCAGATCACCAAAGCAGAAAATCACACTACAGCAAGAAGAAATCAAAGGTATGAAAAGGAAAGCTATCAGAATCAAAGCATCTGGAACAATGACCTAAATATAATAGCTAAAACCATAAAACTCTTAGGAGAAAATGTAGAAATAAATCTTCGTGACCTTGGATTTGGCAGTTGATTCTTAGATGTGACACCAAACGCATGAGCAACCAAGGAAAAAAATAGATAAATTGGACTTCATCAAAATTAGAAACCTTTGTGCCTCAAAAGACATTATCAAGAAAGTGAAAGACAACCCACAGAAATTTGCAAAATGTTTGCAAATCACATATCTGATAAAGGTTTGATATCCAGAATATATAAGGAACTCCTACAACTCAAAAAAAAGACAAATAACCCAATTAAAACTATAAGCAAATGACTTGAATAGACCTTTCTCCAAGGATATACAATGCACAACAACCATGTGAAAAGATGTGCAGCATTATCCATTAGTCACTAGGGAAATACAAATGAAAACAACCATGAGATACCACTTCGTGCCTACTTAGATGGCCATGATCATTTTAAAAATTAAAAATAAGATAAAAAATAACAAATGTTATTTTGAATACAGAGGATACAGAGAAATTGAAATCCTAGTACATTGCTGGTGGGAATGCAAAAGGGTATAGCCACTATAGAAACCAGTTTAGTGGCTCCTCAAAAAGTTAAACCTAGAATTACCATATGACCCAGCAATTCTACTCCCAGGTGTATACGCAAAGTAACTGAAAACAAAAATTCAAACAGGTATTTGTACACCAATGATCATTGCACAATTGTGCAGAGCAGCCAAAAGCTGAAAACTACCTAAGTGCCCATGGATAGATGAATGAATAAACAAAATATGCTATATCCATACAATGGAATATTATGTAGCCATTAAAAAAGAGTGAAATTCTGATAAATGCTACTACAACATGAGTAAATCTTGAAAACATTGTGCTAAGTGAAATAATCCATACACAAAAGGACAACTATTGTATGTTGACATTTATAGGATGTACCTGGAATAGTCAGATTGATAGAGACAGAGCAGAGTAGAGATTACTAGTCTGGAGGGAGAGGGGAGAAGAGAGCTATTCGTTAATGGATACAGAGTTTCTCTTTGGGATGGCAAAATAGCTCTCGAAATGGATATTGGTGATAATTATATAACGTTGTAAATGTACTTAATGAAACTCAATTGTACACTTAAAATGGTTAAAGTGGTAAATTTTATATGATGTATATTTTACCAGTTAAGAAAACATAGTTTCCTTCCTTAAAAATAAGTCACTCATAACCTATGGACCAGATCACTCTCATTAGCTCCAGACCCAATTTCCAGCTGAAACCTTGAACCCGATGTCCAGGATGTCCATGATGTCTTTACTTTCCCACGACCACATCTGTTTCCCTCACAAAATCAACTCCTAGTTTCTTTTCCTATAAGCCATGTTTCCATATTAACAGCTTGACCACCCACCAAGTCTATTAGGCTCAGATCATCCTTGATTTTCTTCTCATTCCTGCAGCCAATCATCTCCCCAGTTTTGGTTTTGTTTTGTTTTGTTTTTATCAATCCTACCTTCTACATACGTCTTGGATTTCCTTCCTCTTTTTCATCACTATGGTCACAATCTTAGTTTAGGGACTCATCTTCCCCCTGTCTCACCTGGATTATTGTCATAACTTTTTGCTTGGTCTATCTGCCTCTCCAGTATCCCTCTAGAGGGCATCATCTCATCTTCCACAATCTGTCTTTACAACCACCAGTAGCATTTTCTTACAGCATTTCAAATCTCATCATGCTGCTTTCTTCCTTTAAAACATTCCCTGATGCCCTTGGGATAAAGTCCAAACTCCCTGGCACACGAGGCTCGCTCTCAACAACTTGACCCCCACCTGCTTTTCCAACCACTCACCATCCCGGACCACAGCCACATTGACTGCTCGCTCTACTGTATCCATGCTCTTTTCCCATGTCTTCTTCCTGGAATGCCCTTTTCCAAGGGAACTCCTATTTACCCTCCAAAATCCAGCCAAAATGCCACCTCTTGTATGGATTACTCCTCAGTTCCCACAAGAAGGATTAACTGTTCCCTTCTCTTTGGTAGCTTTGCATATTATAAGCGAGTGTCATTTTGTTTTAAAAGTATTTACCTCCCGATATTGCCACCCTAGAGCACGAGCTTCTAAAGGCTGGAACTGGGACTTGATTCCACTGGGTCTTTTTTCCTAATTACAATTTAGATGAACAAGAGATTTCTTTCTCCTTATTCAAGAGTGAATATTGAAGGAAGTCACTAAAATTAATTTAAAGTGTTTGTAATTTCTAATGCTCTTTGAATTGCTAAAAGTAAACAGAAATGTAAAATACAAAATCTAGAAAATACCTTTTTTAAGACTTTATTTTTTTAAAGCAGTTTTAAGTTCACAGCAAAATTGAAAGGAAAGTACGGAGATGTCCCATATACCTCCTGCCCCCACACATGCATAGCCTCCCCCATTATCAACATCCCTCACCAGAGAGGTACATTTGTTTCTGTGTGTGTGTGTATTTTTTTTGTTTTGTTTTGTTTTTTTGAGACAGAGTCTCACTGTATTGCCCAGGCTAGAGTGCAGTGGCGTGATCTCGGCTCACTCCAATCTCCACCTCCTGGGTTCAGGTGATTCTCCTGCCTCAGCCTCCTGAGCAGCTGGGATTACACGCACCTGCCACAACACCTGGATGATTTTTGTACTTTTAGTAGAGACAGGGTTTCACCATGTTGGCCAGACTGGCCTCAAACTCCTGACCTCAGGTGATCCGCCTGCCCCGGCCTCCCAAAGTGCAGGGATTACAGGCGTGAGCCACCGTGCCCAGCCTATATTTGTTACAATTGATGAACCTACACTGACACATCATAATCACCCAAAGTCCATTGCATTTGTGTTCACTCTTGATGTTGTACATTCTATGTGTTTGGACAAATGCAAAATGACATGAATCCACCATTACAGTATT
Source organism: Homo sapiens (assembly GCF_000001405.40). NCBI lineage: Eukaryota > Metazoa > Chordata > Mammalia > Primates > Hominidae > Homo > Homo sapiens. The sequence continues at coordinate 102,533,407 of NC_000011.10, read as the reverse complement.
GTACAGAGTAGATGCACTGCCCCAGAAATTCTCTGTGCTTTGCCTATTCATCCTGCCTATCCCACGTCCAGCCCACACAACTACTGATATTTTTACCTATTTTTGCCTTTTCCAGAATGTTACATAGTTCGAATCATACACTAAGTAGCCCCGCAGATTGCTTCTTTCACTTAATAACATGCATTTAAGATTCTTCCATGTTTATTCATGGTTTCACAGCTCATTTCTTTTTAGCACTGAATAATATTTCATTGCCTGGATGTCCCGCAGTACATGTATTCATTCACCTACTGAACGACATCTTGGTTGTTTCCAAGTTTGGGCAATTATGGATAAAGCTACTATAAACATCTATATGTATGTTTTTGTGTAAACATTTATTTTTATCTCCTTTAGGTAAACACCAAGGAGCACCATTGCTGAATCATATTGTAAAAGTATGTTTCATTTTGAAAGAAACCATCAAACTGTCTTCCAAGGTGGCTGTACCATTTTTCATTTCCACTAAAACATCCTGCAATTGCCACTGTCAGCGTTCTGGATTTTGGCCTTTCTAATTGGTAAGTAGTGGTATCTCATTACTGTTTTGATTTGCATTTCCCCAATGACATATGATGTGAAGAATATTTTCATATGCTTATTCACTATCTGTATATCTTTTTTGGTAAGATGACTGTTAAGGTTTTTGGCCCATCTTTAAAATCAGATTGTTTGTGTTTTTATTGTTGAGTTTTAAAAGATACTTGTATATTTTGGATAACAGTCCTTTATTGGATATGTCTTTTTTTTTTTTTTTTTTTTTTTGAGAGAGAGAGAGAGTCTCCCTCTGTCACCCAGGCTGGAGTGCAGTGGAGTGATCTCAGCTCACTGCAACCTCTGCCTCTGAGGTTCAAGCAGTTCTCGTGCCTCAGCCTCCTGAGTAGCTAGGACTACAGGCACGCATCACCATGTTTGGCTAATTGTTGTATTTTTATTAGAAACAGGGTTTTGCCATGTTTCCCAGGCTTGTCTCAAACTCCTGACCTCAGGCAATCCACTGGCCTCAGCTTTCCAAAGTCCTAGGATTACAGGCGTGAGCCACCGCGCCTGGCCATGGATGTGTCTTTGCATTCATTTTCACCCAATTTGTGGCTTGTGTGCTCATTCACTTGAGGAAATGCCTTTTGATTTTAATTCAATGCAAATATTACCAAAAACGTGATATAATTCCATTTTTAGCTTATTCAAGTAAAGTTCATAAATATTCATTATTCTACAAATATTTATGGTGCACCTTATCACATGTCAAACTCTGACTAAGGATACCAATTACTCTAGTTAAACTGTGACCGTACAGAATCAAGACATCTCTGTAAAGAGAGCAAATTTAATTAACTGATCTGAAAATTTTACCTTTGCTGGCTCACAGTGCTCAATTACCATGTAATTGAAGTGATATGTGATTAATTAAATTTTTTAGCTCCAGCATATTTGGAGTGTTTCCCATGATGTATTAGAGTCAAAAGCCATGGTGTTCTCCCAAGTAATGTATAATATAATAAAAGAGACAGACCTATTACAAAATGAATAGGCAGTGCAGTGGGATAGAAAAAGCACTGAGCTACTATCTGTGTGAGCTGGGAGAAGTATAATAAGTTAAATTATCATCTTGGCCTCACTTTCATTTTTGGTAAGAATGGAGTCATTGGGCTAGAATCTGTAGGTAATGGATTCTTACTGCTATACGTAGAATAACCATTTTGTGTACTAAGGACCAATGCAGCCCTACCTGTAGCTGGGCAGCAGCCAGAGTCAGAGTGATTGGAAGAAAAAAATTGGATCTCCAAGTTGAAGGTCTAGCCTTGGAAGAATCTGTTACTATAAAATGAGAAGCAGAATAAGTAAGCCAGATGAAGAGTTAAACCCGTGCTTGTAGATTTTTGTTGGCTTGGTATTTTTTTGTGTTTAATTCAAGAAGAATTAGAGGCAGTGTTCCCCATTAAGAAAAGACATAAACTGATTAAAAGGAGACCCAAAGAAGGGAATTATCACTGCTCTGCTAAGGGACGTGGAAGGTGAGGGGACACAGCACAGTTGTATATAGAGTGGCCACTAATCCAGCCACACAGCAGCATTTCCATCTGCCTCCTGCCATCTTTCCCCTGTATGGAGAACCACAGGATTTTGGTGATGTTCTATTTCTTGACTTTGGTGACGGTTACAGTATTTGCTTAATTATTATTTCATTATTTACATGTTTTGTGCACTTTTCCAAACCTTTTAATTGTTAAGAATATATGGTACCATGTATTTAAGAATACATGGTACCATATAATAAGAATATATATTTAAGAATATATATTATTCTTTAAGAATATATGGTACCATAATGTCCTGAATGATACCTATGAGAGCAGTCATTTGACTTTGGCAAAAAAATGAGGTTTCTCATGGAGTCAATTTATGCAGCAGACAGAAAAAAAAATCCTTTGAAAGACAAATACATTGTGTGCTTCCTGCCAATAACGATGTAATACTTCCTCGTTTTAGTTAATGAAAAATAACACATACTTTCAAAGTTCTGTAGACTCTAAAAAGAAAGAAAACACTCAAATGAGTCACCTATTTCCACATTCGAGGCTGAGAAGCTATATAAATTTCTGCAGTCACTAGCAGAAAACACCAAATCAACCATAGGTCCAAGAACAATTGTCTCTGGACGGCAGCTATGCGACTCACCGTGCTGTGTGCTGTGTGCCTGCTGCCTGGCAGCCTGGCCCTGCCGCTGCCTCAGGAGGCGGGAGGCATGAGTGAGCTACAGTGGGAACAGGCTCAGGTATGTCACAGCCCACTTACTTAGGGTTCCATTCTTTTGCCATCTGCATTAAGAAATGTGTTTTTCAATTATTTCCCTTCCCATGTTAGCATTGCAGTGGAATTTTCTTTGGGGTGGTTCTTCGGATTATAAAAGCAATATATGTTTTCATCAAGTAGCCATTAAAAGCAGGTTTCAGAATCTGCTCAAATCGGGCTTGAGTTCCAACCCTCCACTCACTATGTAGATAGACTCAGGAAGGTCATCAAACTTCTCTAAGCTTCAGGTTTCCAATTTGGAAGTTGGAGATAAGAATGGTATCAACCAAATGAGGGTGTTGTGAAGCATTCAACACAATACCTGAAACATTGTTTAAATTAAGTTCTTATTTTTATTTATTATAACTTGAGATTCTTTTTCTATAGTATACAGAATATTGCCTCTTAAGATACAACCTGTAAATATACTGTTTGTGTATTTACAATACTGTTTGTAATGGAGATATCTGAAGTCAGAAAACATGGGTAGAAATTACAACTCTCCAACAAGTCAATGACAATAGACAAGGCATTAACATCTGACTTTGTTTTCTCATGTGTCCAGTAGAAAAAATAATATTATGTGTTTTATACCTCATGGGGTATTCTAGTAAGTAAATGAGGTGATAACAAAACCAACTAGCATGTATGTAACAATTGTAGATTATAAAGTACTTATATAGACATTGTGTCATTTAATCCTTAGTTCTATAAAAAGAGGAAACCAAAGTTAAACTGATTAGTGTACTTATTAGTGGTAGAGATAGAAATCAAGGACAAGTGCTTCTGGTTCAAAAATCATGTTCCTTGCAATATGCTTCTTAATAAGCAGTCTAATAAATATAAGCAGTCTACTAATTATTATTTGGTTAACTAATGGGATGATTACTTATAACTATTATTTGTAAATTTAGGCCTTAAGCATAAGAAAAGTCAATTTTTAATTCACATTAACTTAGACTTTTAAAAAGTTCCAGTTATAATAAGTTAGATTGAACCACATAAAGTTACTAGTATTTAACTTTTAAAATCTCCAAAACAGTAGTTTTATATGGTTCCACCTAATGAATTCTCCAGAAAGAGTACTCTGCGTTTAGTTTCTTTACTTAGAGTGAAGGTTGGCAGAAACTTAGTCTTCACTTGGAGGGATGTTAGCTAGGTTTAACAAAAAAACAGGAAAAGTCATCTCAACAAAGCAGAGAGATTTCTTCCAGAGGGTGTCTTGGTAAAGTCTGTAGCTCTAGAAGGGATTAAATGGGTTATTTGTTTTTAAATAAAGGATCAGTTATCAATTGTCATGGATGAACAATAAGTATTTGTTGTATTTAATGAGACAATTGTTGGTAACAGGAAAAAAAGACACAATATTAATAAGATTTCTTACATAAATTGCATATTCCTGGGCGGTCCTAAGACAGGTAACCATTACCATCTACTCCAAATAAACTGCAAATTAGTGAGCCAATGTTTAAATCATTTTAACAACAATATTATCAGGCATCATATAACCCTACACATGTTTCTAATGTATAGAAGTCAGAACACTTGAGTTCAAATACTGGTTCCTTCAGTTACTCACAAGGTGATCTTGTGCAATTTATTTCACTTCTCTGAGCTGTGTTTCTTCATGTATAAAATAGGGATAACAATGCCATACTTGTTTCATAGAGTGGTTATGAGGTTTACATAAAATAAATATGTAAGTGCCTGGCTCTAGTAAGTGCTTAAAAATGTTCCTGTGAGGTTGCTATTGTTGTTAGTTCATTCACTTTTGTTGTTGTTGTATTTGTGCTGCTGGATTCCTATCCTCATATTCAGATACTGAGAAACTTTAGAGAAATTCCCAGGAATCCAACCTTGCATGGAATAAACCTGGGAGTCCTACTGTATACTGCAATCTCCCAAAGTGGGTTTGACTAGAGATTTAACAGCAGAAAGAAGGGCTGGGAATGGAATGAGCAGAAAGAGGGAAAAGAGGACCTAGGAGTCAGGAAAGTCAAGTCCAGTTCTGCTACTAATTTAAGGTGTGAACCTGGGCACATAAATCATTTAGTTGCTATAAGCTTTGGTTCCTTCACCGGATTATTAAATTGAACTATTTAATAATTTCCTAATATCTTTTCCCAGAGCTAAAATTTTAAGACCCTTTAACTTTTAGCTGGAACCGCATCTCAGCTGGACTTTAGATAGGGCTGGTTGACCTCAGATCTCCCCCACAGGGTCTATGATAACACAGAGAATGTCCCAGTCGTACCCCTGAGGACAGACTGGTACATGCTTCCTGATTGCTCTTACACACTTCTAGGCTTTATAAAGTGTACAGTGTAATTCTCCCCAAAACATTTAAATGGATTTTTTAAAAATTGAGGGATTCTTTTCTTTTGCTCACGAAATGGCACGCCAGTGCTTCATTAGCAATATTAAATTTTCTCCTCACTAATGCACACTTATTTTTCTCTGTGACTATGTAATTATTCTGTCTTCAAATCATTATTTGAATTCACAGGAACCAAAGGCAAGAGATATATAGGCTTCTAAGATAAAAGAATATAATAAACAAGAACTATAGATTAATTACTCTCTTTTCAATAGGACTATCTCAAGAGATTTTATCTCTATGACTCAGAAACAAAAAATGCCAACAGTTTAGAAGCCAAACTCAAGGAGATGCAAAAATTCTTTGGCCTACCTATAACTGGAATGTTAAACTCCCGCGTCATAGAAATAATGCAGAAGCCCAGATGTGGAGTGCCAGATGTTGCAGAATACTCACTATTTCCAAATAGCCCAAAATGGACTTCCAAAGTGGTCACCTACAGGTTAGTTTTGCTCTGGCTCATTTTGGCAAAAACAATAAAGCCTGTTTCCTAGGGGTCAAACATTGTTTTCTTGTTTGCTACTAGGATCGTATCATATACTCGAGACTTACCGCATATTACAGTGGATCGATTAGTGTCAAAGGCTTTAAACATGTGGGGCAAAGAGATCCCCCTGCATTTCAGGAAAGTTGTATGGGGAACTGCTGACATCATGATTGGCTTTGCGCGAGGAGGTAAGAAAGATTCCTGTAGGCTAATCCTGTGTCCTGTTTTGTTTGTTCATGGTTTATATCAGTGCTCTTTTCTTATGAAGATTAAAATCCTTTAATGAGATATGATTGGTAGATAGATAGTTAATAGATAGATTTAGCAATATTATTATAATTTTTATAATCTGGTAATATAGAGCCACTTTTTATAGCAGCAGTTGGCAAACTATGATGCATGAGCCAAATCCAGCCCACCTTCTGTTTTTGTAAATAAAGTTTTACTGGAACACAGTCAGGCTCCTTCATTTCCCTATTACCTATGACTGTTTGGGCTCAGGCTGCAACTGTGACAGAGATCACAAAGCTTAAACACTTGTTATCTGACCCTTTACAGAAAAAGTTTGCCAACCCCTGTTTTGTAACGTGAATTATTATTTATATATACAGTCATGCACTGCTTAACAATGGGAATACACTCTGAGAATGAGAACTTTGGCAATCTTGTCACTGTGCTAACATCATAGAATACACTTACACAAACCCAGGTGATACAGCCCACTATCCACCTAGGCTACATAGTATAGCCTATTGCTCCTAGGCTGTAAATCTATACAGCATGTTACTATACTGAATACGGTAGGCAACTGTAACACAGTGGCAAGTATTTGTGTGTCTAAACGTATTTAAACATTGAAAAGGTAATGTATTGAGCTATGACATTATCACAACTACTATATCACTAGGCTATAGGAATTTTTCAGCTCCATTATAATCTTATAGGACCATTGTATATGTGATCTGTTTACTGAAAGATCATTATGTAGCACATGACTATATGTTTACAATATATCTACCTAACATCGATATTAAATCAACAGAAAGAGTCGCAGCTTCCAAAGGCCTCAAGAGTCCCCTGAGAAGTGGTATATGACCTGTTGCTAATGCCTTTCATGTGGCAAGGAAGTAGGAAATGGAAACTTTCATATTAAAGAACTTAAAAATATATAACACAGCAGGGTGTGGTGGCTCACGCCTGTAATCCCAGCACTTCGGGAGGCCAAGGCAGGTGGATCATCTGCGGTCAGGAGTTCAAGACCAGCCTGGCCAATAGGGTGAAACCCCATCTCTACTAAAACAAAAATTAGCTGAGCATGGTGACGCATGCCTGTAATTCCAGCTGCTTGGGAGGCTGAAGCATGAGAATCGCTTGAACCTGGGAGGCAGAGGTTGCAATGAGCCAAGGTCACACCACTGTATTCCAGCCTGGGCAACAGAGCAAGACTATGTCTCAAAAGAAAAAAAAAAAATATATATATATATATTTTTTTTTTTTACGTGGGTTTTTCTATATGTAAAACCCATTTTTTTAGTATATGTGTTATATATGTGTGTGTGTGTATATATGTATATATAAAACCCATATACATAAATTGTTCTTAATTGCTAGTGTTTCATGGTGCAAATTTAGAGAAAAATGTTGCCCATTTCAGTCTGTTCTATGTGGAATGGTCCGGCTACTGTAGCTGAAATTTGAACTTCAACCCACAATATTGACAACACCGAAGAAAATGTTATGGGAAAGCACTAATCATGGCACTACAAGTTTTTTAAGAGCTAGATAAACTGGACTGGCCTCATATCACCTCGAAGATAACCAGCTCTGCATCACACATTAAAGGACTATAAAAAGCCATTTTAAGAGATCTTGAGCATGGCTCTCTAAGAGACTATTTACTATGCCCACGAAGAATAAGCTAGGTTTTTAAGAAAAAAAAAAAAAAAAACCTATGAAATGGTGCACAAATTACTTGCCAAATGTGGTATTCATATTCATTCTCCCTCCCACCACCCTTTGGCCGAGCAAAGTGGTCAAATTTAACAAAAGCTTAAATGCAACCTTAAGTTAGATATAACTGCATTTTAAGTCCTGTATCCAGTAAGCTTTCAATATATGGTGATTATCAGTGATGAGCAATGGTTCTGTGAAAGGAAAAGTGTCTGGGCCAAGAAAGCACCCAAACTACCCTGTGAGTGCAACCGACAGCACATAACAATGTCAGCTACTTGCACTGGGCTGCCTTTTTTTTTTTTTTAATTTATTTTTTGAGATGGAGTTTCACTGTTGTCACCCAGGCTGGAGTGCAGTGGCGCGATCTCAGCTCACTGCAACTTCCGCCTCCTGAGTTCAAGCAATTCTCCAGCCTCAGCCTCCCAAGTAGCTGGGATTACTACTTGGTGGCATGTGCCACCATGTCCAAATTTTTGTATTTTTAGTAGAGACGGGGTTTCACCATGTTAGCCAGACAGGTCTCAAACTCCTGACCTCAGGTGATCCGCCCACCTCGGCCTCGCAAAGTGAGCCACCATGCCTGGCCTGGACTGGGCTGCTTTTTCTAGCCTCAATAATCGTATAAACTGAAAAATAAAATGACTGGAGAAAAAAAAAATCAGTCACTAAGAACAATCACTCCATTTTCTTTCAGCTCATGGGGACTCCTACCCATTTGATGGGCCAGGAAACACGCTGGCTCATGCCTTTGCGCCTGGGACAGGTCTCGGAGGAGATGCTCACTTCGATGAGGATGAACGCTGGACGGATGGTAGCAGTCTAGGTATAGCATCTCATGTCTCTTCTACTCCACATCCGTTTTAAAATCCTGGACTTACACTAAGTTAAATAATTATATTAATTTATAATAAGTATTGAGCCCTTGCTAAGTGCCAAACACTGTACTATATGCCTGAAATGCATTATTTCATGTAATATACTCATAATGCTACACACAGAAGATGGACACTCAGGCTATGGAGTCAAGCACCACTGATCCAATTTGCTGTACGTCTACCAATTACTCTGTGTCATTGGGCAAGTTATTGAATTTCTCTGAGCCTCAGTTTCCTCCTCTGTGGAATGGAAATATAAATAGTTCCCACATCAAGGAGTCTTTAAATTAAATGAGATAATGCTTATACAGTGCTTGGAATGTATTAATAATTAATTAAATTATAGCTCTTTCTTCATATTTCCAAAAAATACATGCCCCAAATGGAAAAGAAAGAGAAGTAGAAACTATGATATTTGAGAAGTATATGCAATTCTGGAATTATTCACTATTTTCCAGAAAGAACCAACTCCATGATTTAGTATATCATATTTATCATTTTACATAGTAGGATATTATAGGCACATGAGAGAACTAATGGAGAAGAGCTCTGGCATAAATAATCCCAATTAGAGACAATTTTTTTAAGGCTACCAACTGGCCCTAAAAGGGAAATTTGTACTTGTGTTTGGCAAAAGGAATTCACCATAGCTTGCTGTCTTGCTGTGAAAATCTATGTTAAATTGTGATGCTGCCTCCCATTTGCATCTGGCATATTCTTTTCATTCTTCTTTCTTCCCACTTAAGGTAGGTTAAAGGCAGCTTCCTTCAATTCAATGCAACGCCACCAGAGCTCAGGCCACTCCTCAAACGCACGGGCTCACACCTTCCACATACTTGCAAAGCCTTTCAATGAGTATGAGGGAGAACAAAGGATATATGTAATACAAGTTAATGAATCAAAATCAAAAACAAAGCCCAGCATTGCCTAGAGACCCTGCCTTTCAATCTTCGCTTTCTCAAAGCCACCATTCTCTCTTCTGATATCCAAAGTCACTAACATTTATTGAATGGCCGTGACTTCCCAAATATTGAGAAACTCTAGCTATCATGACAAATCTAGAGGGCAGAAATTACTGTCTCTGTTTAACAGATGAGAAACTGAGACTCAGCAACATCAATTAATCTGTCCAGAGTTGTCCAGCTAGTAAGTAGTGGAGCTACATTTCAAACCTAGGTCTTAGTGCTTTTAAAACCTTTGCTTTCCACTGCAGAGTATTGCTGCCTGAATGAAAGAAGCAAATAAAAAAAATTACACATTTTTAATAAGCAGAAGTAGTGATGAGATTAAAGCACTCCTATTCTGATTAACCTTCTAACCCCTCTCCACTTTTGAAAGCCTAGAAACAAATAAGTAAGCTACCGTGGGCTAAAACTTGGGTATTTTTCTTTAGTTTTTTTAAATTATGATATCATATATATAATATTACATAATGTATGTAGCTATTTTTATCATTACTGTTTGTCACTTCTTCGGTTGTAGGGATTAACTTCCTGTATGCTGCAACTCATGAACTTGGCCATTCTTTGGGTATGGGACATTCCTCTGATCCTAATGCAGTGATGTATCCAACCTATGGAAATGGAGATCCCCAAAATTTTAAACTTTCCCAGGATGATATTAAAGGCATTCAGAAACTATATGGTAATATTTATTATTTCAAATAAGAGGATTTCCCATTTTCTTTTTAGAGTGGGGTAGGAAAAGAAAGGCTGGGAAATGGGTATTTACCTGGAAAACCACACTGGAACTCATATCAAAAAGCCTATTGAGGGGAGGAATTGGGGACCTTAGATACTTAAAATATAACTAGGCTGTAATATACTATGAAGATGTTGATTGTGAGTTTCAGTAACATAGTATCATGTGGTAAAATTATGCAAATGATATTGTCCAGATTTTCTTCAAGCTGCCACCCACTGCTCTTCCTCTCTCAGTTTAAATAGTTTAGGAGAGTGTCCCCTGTAGGGGTGGACTGAAGGGACAAAACACCTTTCTTCATAGCTGCCCACTCCTAAGGATTCAATCCTAGATAATTATAAGTGACCCTGCTCTTCCTGTTTGCACGTACATGTAGAGAAAGCGGTTAACCACGGACAGAAACTGCTTATCATTCCTGGTCTTGATACTTATGTATATCCCTTGCCCCAGTCTATGCTTTTTTGGTTTAATCAAGTTCCAAATTCAGTTTTTTTAAGTGCACTGATTTGGATTTACTGTATTGAGTCAGCCAAAAGTAGTATTTGAGAAAGAAATCAAAGGACAAGAATAAAAAGCTCTGTCTCTGGATAAAGATAAGGAAAGTAAGATTCAAAGAGGCTAAGTGGACTGTCCAAGGTCATGTGACTGTCGAGTGCTTGAGCCATGATTCCAAGTGAGGGCTATGTGACTTCATACTTTTTCTACGACATATTCCTGCCTATCACTACCCAGTAAGCTTTTTATCCTAGTAAGAATAAAAGAATACAGAATGACATCTTTAAATCAGCAGATATAACTAAACCTAGCCAGTAAAAATATCAGGATGAAGAGAATACACTGCAAAAAGATCACTTAAGATTCTTCAAATGATCACGTGAGCAATGAAAGTGCTTCCACATAATAGAGGACTGTCCTCAGGGGAGAAATATTCCAGTAAGACACTGGATTTAAGATATCAGTTCAACCTAGCATTTGCTATAAATCAGCATGTCCCAAACTGTATTCTCAGAACACTAGTCCTACAGGGTGATTCCCAGAAAAGGAGGCTATGGAGAAATAAGTTCAAGAAACACTACCTACTGTATTTCAGGTGTATAGACTATTAGAGAGTATGGAGTATTGAACAAATGTTTAACTCAGTGTTTCCTAAATTATAATCCTTTTTATGGGTCTCAATGAGTCCCATAAACTAGCACTTCAGAGAACACACTTTGGAAAATGCTGTGTAACTATTCCCAAAAGTTACGACGTAAAGAACCACTGCTGTCCAAAAGATTCACAAAATGCTGACTATTGTTCGTAAAGTTATCATGAACAAAACTGAAAATACTATCCTCCCCTTACATAAAACTGTGGAACTCATGGAATATTCTATAGCAGTCTATAAATATTTTAGAACCCTAAGAAAAATACAAAGAGACTAAAGAAGGTCTGAGGCATGCTGATTAAATTTAACAGGAAGAAAAGAGACTAGTGCATTAAAACCTTAAGTATTAGACAAAAGGGCATCTCTGGTCAGAGTTGGAAACAAGTAACTTCTGGACAAATGGAAATAGAATTTAATTATGTGGGCTGTATATGTAGGGAGTTAATCTAAAAAGTAATATGAGCAGAAAACATAGATTCCAAAGAAAGTGATTAAGATACAAGATTCCTAATGCTATACTCAGAATGATAAAAATAATAGCTGGCTGGGCGCGGTGGCTCACGCCTTTACCCAGCACTTCGGGAGGCCAAGGTGGTTGGGGATCGCTTGAGGCCAGGAGCTCGAGACCTGGACAACATGGTAAAACCCCATGTCTACTAAAAATACAAAAATTAGCCGGGCGTGAAGGTGCATGTCTGTAGTCCCAGCAACTCAGGAGGCTGAAGCATGAGAATTGCCGGAACCCAGGAGGCAGAGGTTGCAGTGAGTCAAGATCACACCGCTGCAATCCAGCCTGGGCAACAGAGTGAGACTCCATCTCAAAAAATAAATAAATAATAGCTAACATGCATTGAGTACTTGCAGTATCCCAAGACTTCACATGGATTAACTCATTTAATTCAAGAATTCAATGAGACATTATTATCCACATTTTACAGATTTGTAATCTGATGCTAAGAGAGGTTAAGTAGTAAACTACCTAAGGTCACACATCTAGTAAACTGGTAGAAACAAGATGCAAAGGTACCTGAGCCCTGGGCCCACACTCCAGTCAATCCTGCCTTCTTAGCCTCTGGAGGTTGTTCTTCAGAATCTTTGTCCCAGGGACAAGAAATGGTCTGAGTGAATAATAGATTATACTTTCTGTGACATTTCCTTTGCCTGTATAATCTTAGGATGGTTTTTATGCATTTTCTACATATCAGAATGTTCTTTTTTTTTCTCTCAATAGGAAAGAGAAGTAATTCAAGAAAGAAATAGAAACTTCAGGCAGAACATCCATTCATTCATTCATTGGATTGTATATCATTGTTGCACAATCAGAATTGATAAGCACTGTTCCTCCACTCCATTTAGCAATTATGTCACCCTTTTTTATTGCAGTTGGTTTTTGAATGTCTTTCACTCCTTTTAAGGATAAACTCCTTTATGGTGTGACTGTGTCTTATTCATCTATACTTGCAGTGGGTAGATGTCAATAAATGTTACATACACAAATAAATAAAATGTTTATTCCATGGTAAATTTATTTATAGTTTGGAGCACTCTTTCTGTGAAGACATACTATACAATGAAACGAAAGACTAAGACAAAAAAAGAATCCCACCACACTATTTTGAGGTCTTCCGCAGCACCTCACCCTTCCACCCAAGAGGGAAGGTGGGAGCTCCACCTCTTTATTGTTCATTAGTGTGGCCCAAAGTTACACTAATTTCCCCTTACCTTTGTGGCCCGTGCTCTCACACTGAGTCCTCTGGAAAGTCCAATTCTTCCCACAAATGTCTGAGAATTTCCAACAACTTAAGACTTACCACCTCACGGTCACTTCCAGCTCCAAGTTCCTACCTGCCCCTCACCTCCTGATTTTCCTGCAACCTCTCCTGCTGCAGCCACTCTCTAGGTTCCCTTCCCTTTTCCCCATGCCAACGCAGATGTTGGTCTCACCCTGTTCTCTTTAACTTTCTACAGACCAGTGCTACAGGCTTTAATGAGAATGTAGATGTTGCTGGAGATTTGCATAAATAGTGGAATTTTCTACTGTGCAAGGGTCATGAAATTGAACAAAACTAAAATTGGATATTATGGATATTATCCCCATCCTTCAAATCCTTTTTTTTTTTTTTGGAGGCAGTGTCATTGTTACCCAGGCTGGTGTACAGTGGCACGCGATCTCGGCTCACTGCAACCACCGCCTCGTGGGTTCAAGCGATTCTCCTGCCTCAGCCTCCCAAGTAGCTGGGATTATAGGCACATGCCACCATCCCTGGCTAATTTTTGTATTTTTAGTAGAGATGGGGTTTCACCCTATTGGCCAGGCTGGTCTTGAACTCCTGACCTCAAGTGATCCACCAGCCTCAGCCTCCCAAAGTGCTAGGATTGCAGGTGTGAGCCACCGCACCCAGCCCAAATCCTTTACTTATCCCCGATCAGGAATTTCTCATTGGCCACCTGCTTCTGCAGGCTGCAGCCTCTTGCCACCTGTCTCCCAACTCCTCTTGTCTTTAAACCCCACTCCTTCTCACTTCCCCAGAAACTCATTTTCCTGATGTCCTTCAGCTCAGGTCCTCCCTTTCCACACGTAGAAACCCACTGTGTTTCTCTGGGTGAAGCACTCTCTATGCAAGGTTTAACCTTTTAGCAGAACACGGAGCTGGCAAGGGCTTTGCTGTTTCAGCCTTCTCTTTCTTCCTCCTTCTCCACACTCCCAACACCCATGAATGGCTTTCTCTATAGGGAGATGAACAATTGAAATTTACTTTCTTACTGATAAAAATTATCCTTCCCACACATACCCTAAAAGCAGATCAATATCCCGAAATTCGGAACTATCCTGCAGCCTTAGGAAGCCATTCCAAGAATAGATCAAATGAGAGGAGAATCCACAATCCAGGCAAAAAATTAAGTATATGTGAACAAGCGTTCAAAGACCCTTTTAAAACATAAGGAAATATATAAATATGATGCTAGAATGAAAAGGAAGTTATGTCATTAAATTCAAGTTCTTCATTTTGTAGAAGACAAAACAGAGATTAAATGATTTCCCTAAGGTTCACAGTAAGCAAAAGTGGTGATTTAAGCATTTTGTTGTTTGTTTAGCTCTTTGTATTTTGATTTTAGACAGCAGGAGGCAGTATCTACCTTGCAGCTAAAGTGGATATCTATTGTTCTTACCTGCCCAGCATCCCATCACCCTACTTCTGGGGACAAGAAACTGCCTCTTCCCTTTGTGTACAATCTTCATGAGATGTCACATAGGTTGCCTCAAGCTGCCTGGGCTGAGAGAAGAGTACAGGACCCAAGCTTGGCCTATCAGACACTCTCCCAAAAACACTGGAGGGGTTATAGGTGGATTCATCCTGGCCATGGGGCTCTGGAGACACTGCCTAGTGAATCCTGCACCCAGACAGATTCCCTGAAGCTGCCCTGGGCCCTGTCCTTCTCATAGCTTAGGTGTAGGGCTTCTCTTCCAGATTTACAACTGACCGCACTGCCTTCCAGTACATTTTGTCTATTGCTTAAGTTATCCATAGTTAGTTCATTTCTGTGGTTTGCAAATTCTGGCACAGTAGCTTAGTTGGCTTTCCTAGGGTATCTGCACACACGGGCTCCGTTCTGTATTTCACCACATATTATCCTTCAATCTTGACAATGAAGTAAGCTCTAACAGAGCATAGAAGTAAATAAAATGTTCTTTTTCTGATCAAATAGCATAAAACTAACTGGTAAACAAAAATTTTTCCTAGCAAATAAGGACCCATTTTTTTAATTGTGGTAAAATACATGTAACATAAAATTTGCCATCTCAACCATTAAGTGTACAGTTCAGTATTGTTAAGTATATTCACATTGTTGCACAAGAGAAAAAGTCCTTAACCTCAGCACTATTTGCATTTTTGACTATATAATTCTTTGTTGTGTCCTATGTATTAAGAATACTAGGCCAGACATAGTGGCTCATGCCTATGATCCCAGCATTGTGGGAGGCTAAGGTGAGCAGATTGTGTGAGCCCAGATATTAAAGACCAGCCTGGGCAACATAGCAAAACCCTATCTCTACAAAAAATTTGACAATTAGCCAGGCGTGGTTGTACGTACCTGGGCTCCCAGCTACTTGGAAGGCTGAGGTGGGAGGGTTGCTTGAGCCCAGGAGGTCAGGGCTGCAGTGAGGCATGACTGTACCACTGCACTCCAGCCTGGGCAACAGAGCACGACCCTGTCTCAAAAGAAAAAAAAAGAATGCTTACAGTTAACCCTGGCCTCTATGCACTGATGCCAATAGAATATCCTCAGTTCTCTCAACCAAAAAAGTCTTCAAACAGTACCAAATATCCTCTAAGAGGAAAAATAGCCCCCAGTTGAGAACCACTGAGCTAAAGAGAATAAACTATTTCATTGTATTATACTTAGTATCCCTTCTACCATTTTCACCCAGGACCCTATCATACTCTAATTCTGTACCATCCCATGAGAAAGGAAAACCAGTAAAAGATTAAGGTGACATTGCCTGTTTTTGACACTTATTTGAGGAAAAGATTGTCATATTTTAAGAAATAAAAAACACCTGAATTCCAGCTGGGCACGTGGCTAACGCCTGTAATCACAACACTTTGGGAGGCTAAGACAGGTGGATCATTTGAGGTCAGGAGTTCAAGACCAGCCTGGCCAACATGGCAAAACCCCCTTTCTACTAAAGATACAAAAATTAGCCAGGTGTGATGGCAGGCACCTGTAATCTCAGCTACTTGGGAGACTAAGGCATGAGGATCACTTGAGCCCAGGAGGCAGAGGTTACAATGAACTGAGATCACGCCACTGCACTCCAGCCTAGGTGATAGAGCGACACCCTGTCTTAAAAGAAAAAAATCTGTATTCCAAAGCCAGGGTACTATGTATTTATAGAAGTCCATAAGACTTGGGTGTATTTTGTAAATTACTTGTTATTTTTCTGGTTTTAAAGTCAATAAACTCCAGTTTAAGAAAGAGGTCTTAGCACATGAATTTGTCTTCCCTCCCTTCAAAGATTTCTTTTAAGCAGTAGTGAAGGAATAAAACAGAGCAGGAGGAGGTCTGCAATGGACAAGGGATTTCAATTAATTTCTGTAAGATCTAATACAGCTAATAGACAAAACATACCAGCCTCAGCCTAGGATGTACAAAGAGGCCTACAGTGAAAATGGGAGTTAAAATTGTCCAACTCCTCAGAGGCTTTGAAATCTCAGTTAGAAGGTTTAATGAAGGCAGGGTGAAAAATGGTATTAGGCGATTAACTGTGTATGAGTACATGTGTATAAGACAATTAACTTCATTTCATCCCTTTAACAAAAATGGCAGAGAGCCAGATGTTCACTTCCAGGCAAAATATCAAAGGGTTCTTTGCTAAACAAGTTTTTTAAAAAAATTGAGAGAGAACAGGACATTTAAATTGGGTTCTGTGCCTCTGAACAAAATAACCATATTTTGGCTTTGAGGCTGGGAATAGGGAAGGCTCCATCCATCTGCTCATCCTAACTTAAATGTACGAGTGAACAAGAACATCCATGGACACCAGGCTCCTAGTCAGCTTTCTTGTTGCATTGTTCTGTGGTGGACAGGTCTAGGCAAATCTACCCACAAAGGCTGAGGAAGCTGTGGGGCTGAAGAAAGAGGCTGACAAATCCAGTTTCTCAGAAAGAAACATTTAATAGTGACTTACAAACAGAAGCCTTATCTTGGGCAGCCATAAGACGAGAGGGTGGATTCCTGCACCATTACCCGCAGAACCAGTACTCACATGCCATAGGGAAAGGGTATACATGCTTCAGAAGGGACAGGTAGGACAACCATAGCACAGTAACGTCAAGGTTGTTTTGACCAGAAATTTATGGTAAGTACCTTCTCTTACACAAGGAACAATAAATAAGCCGGAAATCTTGGAAGCCTTCACAGAACTGGGGTTAATGACAAGATAACATGGTGGATTAACATCCAAGATGGAATTGCTTTAGTCTCCACACCCCTTATTTAAATGAGATTGGGAACAAAATAACAACTCATTGAAAAAGGTGGTGATACCAAAAAAATTCACCCCAGAAAAAACAGAAATAATTTACAGAATAGAAGAGGTATGAGAAAAAAAAAATAGGACATTCTCACAGAAATTTGGGACGACATTACACACATAAAAAACAGTAACCAGCCAGGGGCGGTGGCTCACGTCTGCAATCTCAGCTCTTTGGGAGGCCAAGGTGGGCAGATCGCTTGAGGTCAGGAGTTCGAGACCAGCATGGCCAACATGATGAAACCCGTCTCTCCTAAAAATATAAAAGTTAGCCAGGCGTGGTGGCAGGTGCCTGTAATCCCAGCTACTTGGGAAACTGAGGGAGGAGAATCGCTTGGACCCAGGAGGAAGAGGTTGCAGTGAGCCGAGATCGTGTCACTGCACTCCAGCTTGGGAGACAGAGTGAGACTCCATCTCAAAAACAAAACAAAACAAAACAAAACAAAAGTAATACTAAGATTATATTAAAAATTATCAGAGAATAAGCTGAAACTTTTGAAAATTGAATTTATGATTGTCAAGAGAGAAGTATAATGTAAAAGAGTTGGAAGATAAAGAAAGCCACTCAGAATGAAGAGCTGAAAGACAAAAAAATGGAAAATAGGACAGAAAAAGGAAGAAGAAAAGATCAATTCAGGAGGTCCAATACCCAATTCTGTCAGCTTTGAAATATGTCAACTTAACTAAGCTAAACTTTATTTCCCAGAATTCCTTTCTCTATGTTTCTTGTTAGGGCTGGCCACAAGAAAAATCTACATGGAATTTGGACCATGGAAGTAAAGTAATACTTGCTCTACCAAGGTTGATATGAGTCTGGTGCTGTTGCAGCTCATGCACAATTTCGTGGTTCTGCTCATTCACATTGTGAGCACAAAACACTGCAGGCCCAGGGCTCCAGCTCCCACATTATCTCTTCCTTCAACTTCTCCAACTCCTGAGTTAGGCCTGAGTGTGGATCCACACAATAATACTAGTATCTTCTATGGGGCACACACAGAAGCAAGGTTAGAGACCTAGCAACAAGGAGAAGCCATCACAAGCACCTGTGATAGAAGGAGAAAAGTTCCAGCTTGTTACTCATTTCACAGGTCCCAGGTGTCCTGCTCTCCCCACTTTACTTCTATCTTTTAACTGCTAACACCTGTCCTGTAACTTCAAGTTCAGCACCAGATGCAGAAGAAACAGCCAAATCAAGATCGTTTTACCAGCTCCCACAACGGTATGAGTATAAATCCCTATAAGTCCCTTATTTTACATCATTCTTAGTGGTTCTGCTCCTCTCATTGAACCTTGTCTGCTACAACAGCCAATAAGATTTCCAAAAATGAAGAATAGACAAAATAAAGAATAGACAAAATAAAGAAAAGAAAATTATCAAAGAAATAATTGGACATTTTCCAGTCTTGAGAAGGGTGAATGGTTTGGAGAAAAACGAATCTTCAAACGAAAGAGCCAACATCACGTTAAAATTTTAGAACACCAAGAATAAAGAGATTTTAACCATGCCCCAAGATTTTTTTTTAAAAAAAAAAAGGACTCCAACAAAATAGAATTAAACTGACATCAGATTTCTCATCAGCAAAAATGATTCTAAGCTAGACTGAATTAAGGTCTTCAAAACCCTGAGGATGAGTTATTTTTTTCCTAGAATTCTATATATACCCAGCCAAACCATCTATCCAGTGTGGTTGTGGGTTGAATTGTGTCCCCAAAAAGACAAGTCGAAGTGCTTATCCCTTGTACCTGTGAAAATGGGACCTTATTTAGAAATGGGGTGTTTGCAGAGGTAATCAAGTTAAAATGAGGCCATACTGAAGTGGAGTGGGCCCTAAATCCAATGACTGTTGTCCTAAGAAAGCCATGTAAAGACAGAAGAACACAGAGACACACAAGGAAAACGCCAGGCAGTAACAGAGGCAGAAGCTGGAGTGATGCAACTACAAGCCAAAGAACGCCAAGGACTGCTGGCAACCACCCAAAGCTAGGAGAGAGACATGGAACAGATTCTCCCTCAGATACCAACTTGGCTGACACCTTACTTTTGACCTCACCTTCGGAACTGTGAGACTTATTTTAAGCCATACAATTTATGGTACCTCTTTATGTCAGCCCTATAAAACTGATATAAGTGTGAAGCCAACATAAACTCAACTTGTACGACAGGAGTTCAGAAAGTCTATCCCTTGTGTACATTTTCTGAGATAACTAATTTAAAATATATTGCAAACACAAAGGATGAAATCCAAGAAAGATGATGTGAGATAGGGAAATGATGGAAAAAGAATCTCTGAGTGATAGCTGTGCTCCAGGGCTAGAAAGCAACCAGTCCAAATTACAACAGTAAGTCAATGGGACCTAAAAAAAAAAGATGGTTTTTAAGAAAAAATGAAATAGCTACTAAACAATACATGAAATGGTGAGTGAAAATCTGTAAAATATATAGGCTGTGGTGAAGGGACATAAACTTCATCTCCCAATGGAGAAAAATGACAATCAGATATCCAAGGGAAAATGAGGAATTATAATAAAAATCATGATCCAAATATAAGGCCACAAACTCAAACGTGACAGGAGTAATTCTCAAAGAGTAATCAGAGTAATTACTCAAAGAGTAATCAGAGAAGTTGGAGAAAGGATAGCACATTTGAACTGAAGGGAAAATTCTCCTGTGAGAGGCAGGGGTCATGTC
Organism: Homo sapiens; assembly: GCF_000001405.40. NCBI lineage: Eukaryota > Metazoa > Chordata > Mammalia > Primates > Hominidae > Homo > Homo sapiens. The sequence goes on along the minus strand of NC_000011.10, from coordinate 102,513,309 downwards.
GGAACCAGAGAGAAGAAGTATGGTTGTAGCTCACTGCTCAGCCCTGAGCTGAATAATGTTGACACGGTGATTAATTTAAATGCTCTTTATTGGTTGTTTAGTATTCATAATGAGCACACTGATAAAGCTCAGGCAATTTAATGATGGATAGAGAATGAAAAAGTTGTATCAATCATGAAAATGTAACAATATGGGAAGTTGGGAGGTGAAGGGAAGGGAGAGATGCAGAGAATGCCAGAGGCTTTGAGAGCCTCCTATTACAGGGTGGGGAATGGAGAGATGCCCCTGAAACTAATGGAACAAGAAGCAAAGATTTACATAGATCATGTAAAGTTACAAGCAAAACCAATAATGATATAACTCTCAAAATTGGGGCAGAAAGGAAGGACAGCAGAGAGTAGAACTAGTGAGCAAATTCTCTGAGTAGAGAACACCTAACACTGATAAAGAAATAGTGATATAGGCTGGGTGTGGTGGCCCATGACTGTAATCCCAGAACTTTGGGAGGTCAAAGCGGGAGAATCACTTGAGCCGGGGACTCATTTCCAAGTCATCAGTTCCCTTCTCTAACAGTCTTTCTTCTCTAATAAGTATGTCTGACCTATAGCAGGCCTTCATGCCAACTGTGTACTATCCCATCTCCTGTCACAGCTGTTTGGAGCAGGGGCAGACACCTGACCCACGCAGGACCAACATGGCAACGTGGTGAAACCACATCTCCACATAAAATTTAAAAATTATGGCCGCGTGTGGTGGCTCACGCCTGTAATCCCAGCAGTTTGGGAAGCCAAGGCAGGTGGATCACTTGAGGTCAGGAGTTCAAGACCAGCCTGGCCCACATGGCGAAACACCATCTCTACTAAAAATACAAAAATTAGCTGGGCATGGTGGCAGGTGCCTGTAATCCTAGCTACTCAGGAGGCTGAGGCAGGAGAATCGCTTGAACCTGGGAGGCAGAGGTTGCAGTGAGTCAAGATCGCACCACTGCACTCCAGCCTGAGGTATAGAGCAAGAACCTGTCTCAAAAAACAAACTGACCAGATAGATAGATAGATAGATAGATATATAGATAGATGATAGATAGATACATATAGGTAGATGATAGATGATAGATAGATAGGTAGGTAGATAGATAGATGATAGATAGATAGATAGATAGATAGATAGATAGATAGATAGATAATTAGCCTGGCATGGTGGCACGCACTGTAGTCCCAGCTACTTGGGCGGCTTTAGTGGGAGGATCACTTGAGCCCATGAGGTCAAGGAGGCTGCAGTGAGCCGTCATCCCACCATAGCAATCTAGCCTGGGTGACAGAATGAGCTCCTGTCTAAAAAAAGAGAAAGAAAGAAAAGAAATAGTGATGTAAGCATATTATTCAATAACATGGAGGTAACTATTTTTAGACAACTAAAAATAAAAGAAAATGTATTACTTCTGGTGGGGGAAGGAAAAAGAGAAGTTGCTTTTCCTTCTGGGAACACTTTTCCCTGTGGGTTTCATTTTCTAATTTATATAAAAGTGTTGTTTTTATTAAAAATTAAATAAATGCAATATATGTCCATGGGAAAATTTTTGAAAATAAAAATGCATACAAAGAGGAAAAATAAAATAATTTAAAATCAAACAGAAATAATTACTGTTGACATTTTGAGATATTTTATTTATAAAAAATGTGAGGAAACAAGAAAGAGGAAGGCAAGAGTGTTGCTCATATGGTATAATTACAGGTGTGCTAAGGAGAGACTTTGATATCCAATGCTTCCTCCACTTCTAAGCAAATGCCTGAAAATTTATTCCACAATTGCAAACACATTTTTGAAAAAAAAAAAAGGAAAGAAGTAATATATAAACACAAATTTATACCAAGAAGAAAATAACTGATACTGATCCTCTCCTGAGGCCACATGAATGGGATGAAATTATGATTCTCTGAATGGGGCAGAAAAGACAAAAAGATCTTACATGGAAATGACCAAGACAAATATCATCCAATTTATGCATTTTCTTAAGGCTGAATTTAAAATACTTTAGGGCTGCTAAAATTATAAACTAGTCTTTCTGTGATTGCTGTTCCAGGAGACGAAATCATCTTTGATGTGCCAGGAGATTAAATCTTTTCTGATTTCCATATATGTCTCCTTTTATCATTGCCTAGCTAAACTCTCCTCACCCTCTCAAAACCCACTTTTATTCTATGGTTAATCTGTGAATTTAGGATGCTGGAGAAATGGGTGAATTTCCACAATTATTCAGCACATTGCCAATTTCACAGATTGTAAAACATACATTTGTACATGTTTACACTGCTAAAATAAGATGGCATCTTACAATAGCTGCTGGCAGTTCTCCTGAAGAGGATTTGGTTTTGTTTATGCCAAACATATGGGGCTCTATCAACCTGACATCACTTGATATTAAATCATTTGCTTGAGATTGTTTAGGCCACACTGTTTGTGTGAATTCCATCAGCAAACCTGTAGGAGTGCCAGCTTAGCATTCATACATTAAGGCATTATGATGTTTTTTCCTCCAGTTCCTCAAACTACAATTGACATAGTCATTTGTCCTTGCTGGGTTTTCGTTTGTTTGTTTTTTAAACACAGTCTTGCTCTGTTGCCCAGACTGGAGTGCAGTGGCATGATCTCGACTCAGGGCAACCTCTGCCTCCTGGGTTCAAGCAATTCTCCTGCCTCAGCCTCCTGAGTAGCTAGGATAACAGGCGTGTACCACCACGCCAGGCTAATTTTTGTATTTTTAGTAGAGATGGGGTTTCGCCATGCTGGCCAGGCTGGGCCTTGCTGTATTTTTGGTGTAGCAGGTTTATTTCTCATTTATCTTTGTACCACAAGATTAGTCATTGGTGTCTGAGCTTCATGTCAGTGTTTCCTATCAGACTCTACTTCTTTAACATCTCTTCTTTTTTAATGGCACACAAAGAAATTGTTCATCCTACAATAGATGATATTTTATTTCTTGGAAATGTGCTAATTGGAATACCAAGTTTAGATACAGTACATGAAAAGACACCAAAGTTTATACAACAATCTGTTCTTATTTTAAATGCCAATTCTCCAGAACTGTTGGTTGCCTGTCAGTCTCTTAAGAACAAACATAAATAACTCACTTTCAAGTCATCAGCCCCCTTCTCTGACAGTCTTTCTTCCCTGAGGAGTATCCTGACCTATAGCAGGCCTTCATGCCAGCTGTATACTATCCCAACTCCTGCCGCAGCTGTTGGGAGCAGGGGCAGACACCTGACCCAGGCAGGACCAACCAGGTGCTTTCTCCATAGGGAATTGTGGAATTCCATTCACTTACTCATTCAATATGTACTGATGGTTTACCATTGTCTTAGTCTGTTTTGTGTTGCTATGCAGAAATACCTGAGGTTGGGCAATTTATGAAGAAAATAGGTTTTGGCCAAGCCAGGCACAGTGGCTCATGCCTGTAATCCCAGCACTTTGGAAGGCCAAGATGGGCAAATTACTTCAGGTCAGGAGTTCAAGATTAGTCTGGCCAACATGGCAAAACCTTGTCTCTACTGAAAATACAAAAATTAGCCAGATGCGGTGATGCACACCTGTAATCCCAGCTACTTGGGAGGCTGAGGCAGGAGAATCACTTGAACCTGGGAGGCAGGGGTTGCAGTGAGCCGAGATAGTGCCACTTCACTCCAGCCTGGGTGACAGAGTGATTCTCCCTCTCAAAAAAAAACAAAAAGAGATTTATTTACCCCATAGTTGTGCAGGCTATACAAAAAGCATGGCGCCAGCATCTGGTTGGCTTCTGGTGAGGGTTTTTGTGCTAAGTCTTAACACGATGGAGAAGGTCAAACAGGAAGCAGGTGTGTGTGAAGCAGGGCCCAAAACTGAGGGACATCATGGTTTTATAACAACCTACTCTCAAGGGAAATAATCCGTTCCCCTGTGAACCAATCCAGTCTCCCAAGAACAACAACTCATTCACTACTGCAAGAACAGCACCAAGCCCTTCAAAAGGAATCTGCCTCCATCACCCAAACATCTTCCACTAGGCCCCACTTCCTGACACCACCACACTGGGGGTTAAATTTCAACATGAGATTTAGTGGGGACAATCTGTATCCAAACCATAGCAACCATTTTCCAGGCCCTGTTCTAACCTGAAAGACACCATCCTGAACAGAGCAAGCCCTTGTATGCACATAGACCCCACAAAGTAACCACAGTGAATAGAGAGGCCTAGAGACTGGGAGCTCTGAGCTGAGTCTCGCTTGTGGTGAGATCCCACAGGAAAGATCCCTATATTTCAAATAAGCTGCTGAAGATCCCAGAAATACTGTAAAACTTTTCTTTCCCACGCCCTGGTTGTTCATTGGTTTCTTTAGGATTTCATAAAGCATTCTAATGTTCTTCCAATAAATTATTTTTTGGCCATGCTAGCACAAAAACAAATGAATCTAACTATAAAGGGAAAAAATAGAATGTAGTAGTATTCCTCTCCTTGTTGGTGTTATTCACCATTTTTGCCATGAAACTTTCCAGAAAAATAGAGTCCAACAATGCAGAATGAAGACCAGATCAAAGGTGACTGAAGTGGTATATAAAAAAGTAAGTTAATTATTTTTTTCTCCCAGTGCCAACCTAGTGTGAAGCTAACCACAGCTGTTCTCACATCGTTGTTGTTGTTGTTGTTAAGTTGTTGTTGTTGTTGTTAATGTAAAAATAATCATATGAAACAGAAAAAATATTGAACTATGTCTGAAGTTCTGTTTTGATCCTAATTATGCTCTAACTAGTAGGGAGGACTTGGGCTTTCTTCTCTTAGCTACGGATCATCATTTATTTTAATTCCCTTCCTTTATAAAGCAAGACTTACGATCCTTCTAGTTCTAAAATTGAACGATCAACTAAAAAGATACTATTTGTTGATAATCTTTTATGATTTTAGAATCCTTTACATGTCAAAATATTTTGTTTCACCCTGGAGTAAATTTACGAATGCTACCAATTCTATTATGAAAAGCAAGGATATGAAGGAAAACGTGTGTTATCAGAATCACTCATTGGGGCTCTACAAGGGAAACAACCTAGCTTACAGAGTTTAAAACTGATATAAAAGGAGCCACTTCTCTTCACCTGGCTACTTCTGGAGTTCTTCACCTCTCAGTCTATATGTCTTGACGTCCAGAATACCTTCACTGATCTCACACTCACCTAAACCTGCTTAGATGCTCCTCTTAAGAGCTGCCTCGGTAACTAACATTTTACCCCTCACATTCATCACTTACCTCATTGAATTAACAATCTTCTGTTTAATTAAGGAGTCCACTCTAGATTGTCAGCTTCTTAATGGAATTGGATATATATATATGTGTAAAAACAGTTATTTCGGAAATTAAATGAAAGCTTCACTAACATAAACTTCCATTAAGGTTATATTCAAATTATTAAATCATTCAAGTCACTCCCAAAATACAGAAAATTGAGTTATCCACAGTACATAATTAGATCAATGCCTAAGAAATTAAGGAAAAAGAGAACTTTAAAAAGAACCACAGGTGAGGATTCTAGGAAGATGGCAGAGTTGGAACTACCAGAAATCTAGCTCCTCACCTAGATGACAATTGCACTGGAAGAATCTGTCTGATGTAACTATGTTAGAACTCTGGAGTCAATGCAAGGCTTCCATCTTCCAGGGGACAGCTTAGATAGTAAATTGTAGTGAATTTTGGTGAATTTCAGCTCTTAATACAGTAGCGGCTACCCATCCCCCACTCTAAGCCCAGTGGCAGGCAATTGTGCACCTGTTCCTGGAGCAGCTTTATATAATACAACTTTCATACAACTTTGAGAGCCAGGGTGGACGAACAGGACCCTGTCCTGCAATTATTAGGTATTTGTGCTCTGATCTCCAGATTGCTGCTTCTGATCACACAAAGAGGTTATGGCCATTGTTTTTGCATCTCCCTCACTGTTGCAAGCTCTCCCCAACTGACTGAAATAACTTCCAGGGGATTTAAACGGCCAGCACTTTTTCCTCCTTCATTTTTCTCTTTTTCCCCTTTTGGGACCAGACACTGAAGACACAACCTTAACAGACAACTGCATATACAAGGGAAATCAGAAAGCCATCATGCATGCTCTAGGGTAGGCTCAGGCTCAGAAAAGACCTGAGAAGACCTTAAGTTTATACTTCATGCTGATCCTTGGCACAGAGACCACCTATAAGAATACAAAAAAAGGCCGAGGGTGGTGGCTCACGCCTGTAATCCCAGCACTTTAGGAGGCCGAGGCAGGTGGATCACGAGGTCAGGAGATCGAGACCATCCTGGCTGACAAGGTGAAACCCCGTCTCTACTAAAAATACAAAACAATTAGCTGGGCGTGGTGGCGGGCGCCTGTGGTCCCAGCTACTCGGGAGGCTGAGGCAGGAGAATGGCGTGAACCTGGGAGGCAGAGCTTGCAGTGAGCCGAGATCACGCCACTGCACTCCAGCCTGGGCGACAGAGCGAGACTCCGTCTCAAAAAAAAAAAAAAAAAAGAATACAAAAAAAAAAAAGGCAAGGCAAACCCTAGGGATGGGAGAGAATCTGACTTCCAGAATTACCATATCATTAGATTCAAATGAGATCCTTTGGAGGAGAAGAGGCATTCTGGTTTTTGAAATATATGTATTGCTATAATGCTTGGAAAGAAATAAATACAGAGTTATTTCTAATTAAAAACAAAAATAAAGGAACACAGGGAAACCCTGGGTGGTGTTAGATATTTCTATTACCTTGATTGCGGTGTTGATATCATGGGTGTTTACTTATGTCTAAACTCAACCAATTGTACACATTAAATATGTGTAGTTATCTGTGTATCATTTATAACTCAGTAAAGCTTTTTAAAAATAATTTCAGGTGGCATAAAAGAGCTACCACAAACAAAGTCTTATTGAAGTTCCTTGGAGAAACCAACATTTACCTATGAAGAAAATGAAGAAGCATAAATTAAAAAGCAGTAATTCAGAGTTCTATATACCTGTCACCATGAACTTTCTGATGTTTCTGGTCATTTTCCGTAAACTGGAGGCCATTATCCTTAGCAAACTAACACAGGGACAGAACACCAAATACCACATGTTCTCACTTATAAGTGGGAGCTAAATGATGAGAACACATGGACCCATAGAGGGGAACAACACACCCTGATGGAGGGTGGGAGAAGGGAGAGGATCAAGAAAAATAACTAAAGGATACTCGGCTTATCACCTGGCTGATGAAATAATCTGTACAATAAATACTTGTGATGCAAGTTTACCTACGTAACAAACCTGCACATGTACCCTGACCTTAAAAATTAAAAAAAACAAACAATTAGTTTATATTTTCTTTTAATTTTTACATAAAAGAAATTTCAGGTGATTCCTTTGGCAAAGAGGAATTTTTGATTTCATTCACTAGCGGATTGAAGAACTTCTTTCTGTTTCTAATCAAAATGAAAAGGGATCATTGAAATTTCACTCAGGCTTTTCTTTTTGCTGAGGCACTGACAGGGTTCTTTGAACTGATAGAACAGACCTTAAACCAACTAAGATCAAAAGAGACAAAGAAAGCCATTACATAATGGTAAAGGGATCAATTCAACAAGAGGCGCTAACTATCCTAAATATATATGCACCCAATACAGGAGCACCAAGATTCATAAAGCAAGTCCTTAGAGACCTACAAAGAGACTTAGACTCCCACACAATAATAATGGGAGACTTTAACACCCCAGTGTCAATATTAGACAGGTCAACAAGACAGAAAGTTAACAAGGATATCCAGGAATTGAACTCAGCTCCACACCAAGCAGACCTCATAGACATCTACAGAACTCTCCACCCCAAATCAACAGAATATACATTCTCTTCAGCACCACACCACACCTATTCCAAAATTGACCACATAGTTGGAAGTAAAGCACTCCTCAGCAAATGTAAAAGAACAGAAACTATAACAAACTGTCTCTCAGACCACAGCGCAATCAAACTAGAACTCAGGATTAAGAAACACTCAAAATCACTCAACTACATGGACACTGAACAACCTGCTCCTGAATGACTACTGGGTACATAACGAAATGAAGGCAGAAATAAAGATGTTCTTTGAAGCCAATGAGAACAAAGACACAACATACCAGAATCTCTGGGACACATTCAAAGCAGTGTGTAGAGGGAAATTTATAGCATTAAATGCCCTCAAGAGAAAGCAGGAAAGATCTAAAATTGACACCCTAATATCACAATTAAAAGAACTAGAGAAGCAAGAGCAAACACATTCAAAAGCTAGCAGAAGGTGGGAAATAACTAAGATCAGAGCAGAACTGAAGGAGATAGAGACACAAAAAAAACCCTTCAAAAAATCAATGAATCCAGGAGCTGGTTTTTTGAAAAGATCAACAAAATAGATAGACCGCTAGCAAGACTAATAAAGAAGAAAAGAGCGAAGAATCAAATAGATGCAATAAAAAATGATAAAGGGGATATCACCACTGATCCCACAGAAATACAAACTACCATCAGAGAATACTATAAGCACCTCTAAGCAAATAAACTAGAAAATCTAGAAGAAATGGATAAATTCCTCGACACATACACTCTCCCAAGACTAAACCAGGAAGAAGTTGAATCTCTGAATAGACCAATAACAGGCTCTGAAATTGAGGCAATAATTAATAGCTTACCAACCAAAAAAAGTCCAGGACCAGATGGATTCACAGCTGAATTCTACCAGAGGTACAAGGAGGAACTGGTACCATTCCTTCTGAAACTATTCCAATCAATAGAAAAAGAGGGAATCCTCCCTAACTCATTTTATGAGGCCAGCATCATCCTGATACCAAAGCCTGGCAGAGACACAACAAAAAAAGAGAATTTTAGACCAATATCCCTGATGAACATCGATGCAAAAATCCTCAGTAAAATACTGGCAAACCGAATCCAGCAGCACATCAAAAAGCTTATCCACCATGATCAAGTGGGCTTCATCCCTGGGATGCAAGGCTGGTTCAACATATGCATATCAATAAATGTAATCCATCACATAAACAGAACTAATAACAAAAATCACATGATTATCTCAATAGATGGCAGAAAAGGCCCCGATAATATTCAACAACTGTTCATGCTAAAAACACTCAATTAACTAGGTAATGATGGAACATATCTCAAAATAATAAGAGCTATTTATGACAAACTCATAGCCAATATCATACTGAATGGGCAAAAGCTGGAAGCATTCTCTTTGAAAACCAGCACAAGACAAAGATGCCCTCTCTCACCACTCCTGTTCAATATAGTATTGAAAGTTCTGGCCAGGGCAATCAAGCAAGAGAAAGAAATAAAGGTATTCAAATAGGAAGGCAGAAAGTCAAATTGTCTTTGTCTGCAGATGACATGATTGTGTATTTAGAAAACCCCATTGTCTCAGCCCAAAAACTCCTTAGGCTGATAAGCAACTTCAGCAAAGTGTCAGGATACAAAATCAATGTGCAAAAATCGCAGGCATTACTATACACCAATAACAGACGACAGAGAGCCAAATCATGAGTGAACTCCCATTCCAATTGCCACAAAGGGAATAAAATACCTAGGAACACAATTTAAAAGGGATGTGAAGGACTGCTTCAAGGAGAACTATAAACCACTGCTCAAGGAAATAAGAAAGGACACAAACAAATGGAAAAACATTCCATGCTCATGAGTAGGAAGAATCAATGTCATGAAAATGGCCATACCACCCAAAGTAATTTATAGTTTCAATGTTATTCCCATCAAGCTACCATTGACTTTCTCCACAGAATTAGAAAAAAACTACTTTAAATTTCATATGGAACCAAAAAAAAGCCCACACAGCTAAGACAATCCTAAGAATAAGAACAAAGCTGGAGATATCACACTACCTGACTTCAAACTATACTACAAGGCTGTAGTAACCAAAACAGCATAGTAATGGTACCAAAACAGATATATAGACCAACAAAACAGAACAGAAGCCTCAGAAATAACCCCACACATCTATAACCATCTGATCTTTGACAAACCTGATAAAAACAAGCAACGGGGAAAAGATTCCCTATTTAATAATCGTGTTGGGAAAACTGGCTGGCTATATGCAGAAAACTGAAACCAGACCCCTTCCTTACACCTTATACAAAAATTAATTCAAGATGGTTTAAAGACTTCAATGTAAGACCTAAAACCACAAAAACCCTAGAAGAAAACCTAGGCAATACCATTCAGGACATAGGCATGTACAAAGACTTCGTGACTAAAACACCAAAAGCAATTGCATGCAACAAAAGCCAAAATTGACAAATGGGATCTAATTACACTAAAGAGTTTCTGCACGGCAAAATAAACTATCATCAGAGTAAACAGGCAACCTACAGATGGGAGAAAATTTTTGCAATCTATCCATCTGACAAAGGTCTAGTATCCAGAATCTACAAGGAACTTAAACAAAGTTACAGGAAAAAAACAACCCCATCAAAAAGTGCGCAAAGGATGTGAACAGACACTACTCAAAAGAAGACATTTATGTGACCAAAAAACATAGGAAAAAAAATCTCGTTATCACTGGTCACTAGAGAAATGCAGATCAAAACCACAATGAGATACCATCTCATGCCAGTTAGAATGGCAATCATTAAAAAGTCAGGAAACAACAGATGCTGAAGAGCATGTGGAGAAATAGGAATGCTTTACGCTGTTGGTGGGAGTGTAAATTAGTTCAACCATTGTGGAAGACAGTGTGGTGATTCCTCAAGGATCTAGAACCAGAAACACCATTTGACCCAGCAATCCCATTGCTGGTTATATACCCAAAGGATTATAAATCATTCTACTGTCATGTGTGGTGGCTCACACCTATAATCCCAGCACTTTGGGAGGCCAAGGCAGGCAGATCACCTCAGGTCAGCAGTACAAAACCAGCCTGACCAACATGGTGAAACCCCGTCTCTACTAAAAATACAAAAATTAGCTGGGCATGGTGGCAGGCACCTGTAATCCCAACTACTTGGGAGGCTGAGGCAGGAGAATCACTTTAACCCGGGAGGTGGAAGTTGCAGCAAGCCGAGATCACACCACTGCACTCCAGCCTGGGCAACAGAGGAAAACTCCCTCTCAAAACAAACAAACAAAAAAAATCACTCTACTATAAAGACACATGCACACGTATGTTTATTGCAGCCCTATTTACAATAGCAAAGACTTGGAGCCAACCCAAATGTCCATCAATGATAGGCTGGATAAAGAAAACGTGGCACATATACACCACGGAATACTACGTAGCCATAAAAAAGAATGAGTTCATGTCTTTGCAGGGACATGGATGAAGCTAGAAACTATCATTCTTAGCAAACTAACACAGGAACAGAAAACCAAACAAAAAAAAAATTCTGAGAAGAAAGCACAGGGCAAGTGCTTCATGATATTGGATTTGACAATGATTTATTGGATAGGACACCAAAAGCCCAGACAACAACAACAAAATGCACATACTGGACTTCATGAAAATGTAAGAATTTTGTGCATCAAAAAACACTCTCAACAGAATAAAAAGGCAACCCAAAGAATGGGAGAAAATATTTGCAAATCATATATATGATAAGGAATTAATATAGAGCATATATAGAGACCTCCTAAAATTTGACAACAAAAAAATTTTGATTTAAAAATGGGCAAAGAACTTAAATAGAAGTTTCTACAAAGAATATATACAAATGATCGATAAGCACATTAAAACATGCTCAACATCACTAATCATTAGAGAAATGCAAATCAAAACCACAACAAGATACTGCCTCACTCACATCCCCTAAGATGGCTTCTATTTTTAAAAGCTGAGAATAAGTGTGGGTGAATATATGAAGAAATTGGAACCTCTGTGCACACTTCGAGGGAAAATTGTATAGCAGTTGTGGAAAACAGTACAGTGGTTCTCCAAGAAATAAAAGCAGAATTATCATATGATGCAGCGATTCCACTTCTGGGAAAGTACGCAAAAGAATTGAAAGCAGGGTCTCAAAGACACAGTTGTACACTCATGTTCATAGCAGCATTATTCCCGGGAGCTAAAATGTGGAGGCACACAAGTGTCCACTGACAGATGAACAGATAAACAAAATGTGGTATATATACACAATGGAATGTTAGCCATAAAAAGGAAGAAAATTCTGGATAAAACTTGAGGACCTTAGGCTCAGTGAAATAAGCCAGTTACAAAAAGACAAGCACTGCATGACTCCACTTACATGAGGTACTTAGAGTATAACATTCATAGAGATGGAAAGTAGAATGATAGTTTCCAGGGCCTTTGGGGGAAGGGGCAATAGAGAATTATTGTTTAATGGGCATACAGCTTCAGTTCTGCAAGAAGGAAAGTGTTCTGGAGATTGATGGTGGTGATGGTTGTACAAGCATACGAATGTACTTAATACCACTGAACTGTACACTTAAAAATGATTAAGACATTAAATTTTATGTTATATATATTTTTCCTCAAAAAAAGAGAAAAATTTACAATGAAAAAAGATCATAATATAAGTTAAAATTCAATTTGTAAAATACTATGTATTGAATTATCAGTTCTATTTTTTAGTATATTTTAAACATATTTTTTAAATGTATAAATATAGTATAAACATATGTTTAGGTGTGGAATGATAAAGAACAAAATAGTATGCATGGTCATATCCAGGTTTTCCTTATATGTGTTTTTATAATGGACAGGAATTTATTTTGTAATAATAACACCATAAAATATTTTTCAAAAGCACATAAAAAATAATTATCACAAAGTTTCTTTAGGCAAAAAGTTTCCTTAATAAGGAAGAGAAAGTTAGAAACAGGATATCTCATCTGAAAAATGAAGTGTGACTGTTAGGAAGAAACAATAACACAAGTTACCATGGAATAAAAGTGTCTTTTAAAAATGTTTGTATTAAAAAGGAACCAGCTATTTATCATTGCAGAGTTAATAATTTAGTGAAGAAATTATAGCTATTCCAGGTTTAGTTTTATTAGGCTGAAAGAAATCATTTTTAATAACACATCACCGTTGTAGAACTTCTTTTCTTCAACTTCATGTCTTCTGGAATGTTCTTGACAATAATTAAACTATATTTAACCACACATAGCAATGCACTTCATGTGACTATAGATGAACAAACTAAGCCATTGCTAGGGCTTGAATGTTTGTCTCTTCCCAAACTCATGTTGAAACTTAAACGTCATTCTAACAGTATTAAGAGGTGGAAGCTTTAAGAAGTGACAAAGCTGTGGGGGCTCTGTCCTCATGAGTGGATTAATGCCATTATTGCAGGAGGGAGTTTGTTATCATGGGAATTATAAAAAAACAAGTTTGGCTCACTCTCTCGTTCTCTCTCGCTCGCTCTCTCTCTCTCTCCCTCCCTCTTGCTTTCCACCATAGAATGATACAGCAAGAAAGTCCTCACCGGATGCCAGTCCCTTGATTTTGAGCTTCCCATCCTCCAGACTCTGCAGATGTCAATTTTTGTTCTTTATATATTACCCAGTCTGTGGTATCTTGTTATAGCAGCACAAAACAGACTAAGACAGCCACTGAAAAGGCCAACTCATTTTCTCCTGGTGTTTAGATAGGATGGCATAGACTACTAGATGCCTACTCAAACATTCATTCTCCACTTCTTTTTTTTTTTTTTTTTTTTTGGAGAGCCCCAATTTTTAGCTAAGAATATTGCCATTGTAAATCAAAGACCATTTCTCAAACTTTCTTAACAGCAAGTATACAGGAATGTGATGTGGGATATCTAGGAAAGCTTAAAGGGACTCTGTTGGTCTTATGCTTTTCTGCTTTTCTTACATTTTGCAGCCTGAAAAGCTAGCAAATTTTATTTCTCTTTTATCTAACAGTCCAGCAGTGCACAGACCTGGGCGGGTGCGGGAGCTCTCCTCAATATGAGGCTCCCAAGCTTGCTCTGCTTGTCTCTGATTTCCAGCCAGCAGTCAGAAATATAGAGAGAAATGAAATTCTATTTTTTAAGCCACTGCATATCTACATCCCCTTGTCAAGAAGCTTAGCTCATTCTCTACTGATGTTAGTCCTCAAAGGACTGCATGGAGCAGGGGCCACTGCTGGTATGAAACTCCGGCACAGAGCTCTTCTGTAAAAGTGAAATGAACTATCTTTTCTTTAAATCATTAGGTTCTGGGGTCTGTAGCCTATTCTAAATAATGCATATAGCAAATAGATCAGGCACACCTATCTTGCACCAGCAGGAAGAAGGCTATGAAATCTGAACAGCCTTCTACAAGCACATATTTCTAACACTTGCAAAAAGTAGAGAATAATGAGTAAAGGACAATAGACAAAGAATTGCTCACAGAAAATGGAACAAGTTCTAACCAAGAATGTATTCCATTGCCAGGGCAAGGAGTCTGTTTTTCTGCCCATTAGAATTTCGCCATTGTTATAAACCACTGAGTCCTGCTCATTTCCCATTTCCCAATTTTCCATTTGTGAAAGAGAGATTTTATTGCAGATATACCATTCTACAACATCATTACATACTGGATGTAGGTGTGGGAGGCAAGAGCCACCCTGTCACTTGATGGAGAGGACAGCACATCACCCAGAGATCCTGGACTTGGAGATGGATGCAGCACCCAGACAGGACTTTGGGTTGTTGGTATGTGGTGATTACGCTCCACTGCTGAGAAAAAATGGTGAGCCTGGCTACATGGAGGGCCAAAGGAGTGGGCTGTGATGGATCACTATTTTCTCCAGTATCCATTCTCCTCTTCCTTTCAAAAATAGAAACACCAAGTTTTAGTTAAATACATGGCCAAGAGCTACAGACCAGAATTCCCCAGCCTCACTGGTCTCTTCCTCCAACCAAGTCTAGGCCAACAGAATGTAAGCAGACGTGAGGTGTGCAACTCCTGTGTTGCCTCTGTAAAAATGAAGCATCTGCTGGATGCAGTGGCTCATGCCTGTAATCCAAGCACTTTGGGAGGCCAAGGCAGGTAGATCACCTGAGGTCAGGAGTTTGAGACGAGACTGACCAACATGGCAAAACCCCGTCTCTACTAAAAAGACAAAAATTAGCCAGGCATGGTGGCAGGCGCCT
Organism: Homo sapiens; assembly: GCF_000001405.40. Taxonomy (NCBI): domain Eukaryota; kingdom Metazoa; phylum Chordata; class Mammalia; order Primates; family Hominidae; genus Homo; species Homo sapiens. Next base: position 102,498,180 of record NC_000011.10, on the reverse strand, counting down.
GTAATCCCAGCTACTTGGGAGGCTGAGGCAGGAGGATGGCTTGAACCTGGGAGGCGGAGGTTGCAGTGAGCCAAGATCATGCTGTTGCACTACAGCCCACCAGCCTAGGCAACAAGAATGAAACTTCATCTCAAAAAAAAAAAAAAAAAAAAGCATTGTCCCCAGGACATTCTCATTCCTCCTTCCCAGCCCCTGGAAAATGGCAGCTGCTGGACAACTAGGAAAGCCTTAAATAAGTTGAAATTTTAATTTACAGCCAATAGTTCAGGTACACAGGCTGGTACCAAACTGTAAAGGAATGCTGAACAATAAGGATAATGTACTAACTCTGTAATCTGTCTCTGTCCATTCCATTTTAAAATTCTGAGATATCCTCTTTTTGTTACGAACATAGCCTTTCTTTTGTAAAATGATGGTAATAATAGGCCATAGATTATTTTTGATGTTCTTGCTTTACAAAATAAGTGTCAGCATCCCAGTTTTTAAAAAATGATATTAATCCATGAAATCCAAAAATCTGGGAACCATCACAATAGGATACAGTGACAAGGAAGTCTTTAGGTACAGAACTTACAAGATCAAATATATTCTCTAGGAAGTCAACTAAAACGTCAGTCTAGTGAGTTATGAATTCTACTATCCATAATCCTGTCAGAAAATGGTGGGAGAGCAGCGCTAGCAAAGACTATAAAAACTATTTACTAAGATAGCAAAGTACCATTAAAGAGAAATTCCTCCTTTCATGTGATTTTCTTCACTATTATTTACAAGTCTGTTTACAACATATTTTTAGAAGACATAATTAATATTCAGATATTTCATCAACAATGAAGTCCTTATAAGTAAATCCAGAGAATTACAATTTGTTCTGAGAACCACACAGGGAATGTGATTTCACTATCATTCTTAGTCATTCAACAAGCATTCATTGAGCCAGGAACTTGGGGAATGAAGAAGGATACAAAGATAAAAAAAAAACACATAGATCCTGCCTTCAAGAATATCAAAGTCTGATGAATAACATGGCTATGTAAAAAATAACTATAACACATTTTGGCTGGGCGCAGTGTCTCACACCTGTAATCGCCGCACTTTGGGAGGCCAAGTGGGGGGGGGGCGGGTGAATCATTTGCGGTCAGGAGTTCGAGACCAGCCTGGCCAACATGGCAAAACCCCAACTCTACTAAAAATACAAAAATTAGCCAGGCGTGGTGGGGCACACCTGTAATCACAGATACTTGGGAGGCTGAGGCAGGAGAATTGCTTGAACCCAGGAGGCGGAAGTTGTAGTGAGCCGAGATTGCACCACCACTGCACTCCAGCCTGGGTGACAGAACAAGACTCCGTCTCAAAAAAAAAAAAAAACTATAATACATTTTCAGAGTTATAATAGATGATATACAATGTGAGAGGGAGAAAGTCCTAACACTGGGATTCTATAAGTTGATTTTTTGTTTGTTTGTTTGTTTGTTTGTTTGTTTTTTGAGACGGAGTTTCACTCTTGTTGCCCAGGCTGGAGTGCAATGGCGCGATCTCAGCTCACTGCAACCTCTGCCTCCCGGGTTCAAGCTATTCTCCTGCTTCAGCCTCCGGAGTAAGCTGGGATTACAGGCACGTGCCACCACACCCAGCTAATTTTGTATTTTTAGTAGAGGCGGGGTTTCTCCGTGTTAGTCAGGCTGGTCTGAAACTCCCAACCTCAGGTGATACGCCCACCTCAGCTTCCCAAAGTGCTGGGATTACAGGCGTGAGCCACCGCGCCCGGCGTGGGATTCTGTAAGTTGTTTTCGTGAGTTTCTAAGCTACATTCTATCAATTCTAGCATGCCGCACACAGGTCCAAAACTCCAGTTTGACATAAAGTGTTTGGGATAAGCAGAATCTTTCTAACAGGCTTGAGGACCTCCCCCCCCACCACCACAGCCTGGAAATACTTTATTTTCTTGTGAGATAGCCTAAGACTCTTCTTGCCTAATCTTTCTTCCTTCAGATTCCAGACCTGCATCAGAGTCTGAAAGCTCTCCCTACCTAGTCCACTCCTTCACCCGTTATCCTTCACAGGTGTTTCCCCAAAAACCTCTTTTATGTCGAATCCGATCCTCTTGGTATCAGCTTTTAGAGAACTTGAATTAACAGAAGGAGTGTCCAGTTATCGAACATTGCATAAAAAGAACCCTAAACCGTAGCTCAAAACAACAATCATTTTATTATGTCTCATGATTTGGTAGGCCAGGAGTTCAGGCAAGGCTGCCCTAGGTGATCCTTTTGTTCTGTGGGGCCGATGGGCTGGTTGGGAGGGGCTGGGATGGCTTCAATCACACGTCTGCTGCGTTGCTGGAGATAATTGGAAATCTGGGCTCAGCTGGGACTGTCAACCATACTGCCTGCTCATGGCATCTTCTCCACCATGGAGGCTGTATGACTTTTAAGATCTAGCCATAGAAGTCATATAACCTCACTTCTGCCATACTCTTCTGATAAAAGTAATCAGAAACACAACCAGAGTTAAAATGAGGCAATATACACCTCCTCCTTGAAGCCGGGAATGCCAAAGAATTTGCTGTTATGTTTCTAAATCGCCACATGAGGGCACCCTTTCTCTTATGAAACCACTAAGTTTCATCAACTTCAGGAGACTATCATTCAAACCAGAAGAGATGTATTAATTCTAACCAAAAGAATACTTGCTACCACAAAAATGCTGTATGGATCAGCAAACATACGTTCTAGTTTATACCCTCTTTTGTCATTACAGTTCAATTGTCAATGCCCCAATCAACAAAAAGGGAATTCAGATCTAGTGCTTTACACTCCAGATGACGTGAATCTAAAGACCATGACCCTGGTGACCACATTAGTTTCTTTAACGGTAAAGTCTGTATTTCCTACAAGTATAGAAGGCTGTCATGAAACGTAAACCCTGGCCACTGACTCTGATCATTTTTGGTGTGCGAAACTGTTACTCCTTTGGTTACTAGCAAGCATACAGAGGAGAGTAAATTGCACCTGAGCCTAACCTCCGACTAAGGGGCTGCTGTGACCTACTGTTGCCTTTTGGAACTTTAACTGGGGAGGTAAAAAACATGGAGTTATGATTACCAAAGGATAATGAGTTAAACTTCAAAGGAATAACTCAGTCTTATATCCCTGTCATCTTTTGCTGAGGCATCTTCATAAAGACTAAGCACGTTACGACCATGCAGCAGTGACTTTCCTTGGTTACAAAGCAAGAGTGGATTTGCCATCCTAGTCGTTGATAATGGTGAACATCAAGTTTGTTTTGTGTGCACGCATATGTGCTAAACATTCACTTGAAAGATACCTTGAGAACTACTTTGGCATAATACAAATGCATTTGACAGGCTTTTTTGTCTTGCCTCTCAAATTAGCAAATTTCCCTAGCCCTGAATAAAACCAAGCAACTACAGTATATAGAAAAATTTAGGAACCCTAAATAATGGATTGAAATTCTATTCAAACTTAACACCTAATTGTACTTTTTTAGTTATCAGTAACTAGACTATGTCATTCAGGGATCAATCTACCTCAAAGTAAATAGATTAAAATATCTTAATCTAAGAAATCATTCAGTTATAAAAGATATGATTAACCTAGCACTTTTTTTTCAAGTTTTTCCTCCTCTACCATAATTTTGATATGAAAAGTGGAGTTCTTGGCAGAAAAAGCAGAGTCTATGTCTGAATCATTCAGAGAAACAATGGTTAGCACAGTTTAGCACATAAAAGTTGTCCAACAAATATTTGTTGAAGCCAGGCGCTGTGACTCACGCCTGTAATTCCAGCACTTTGGTCAAGGTGGGTGGATCACTTAAAACCGGGAGTTTGAGACCAGCCTGGCCAACATAGCGAAACCCCATCTCTACTAAAAATACAAAAAATTAACTGGGTGTGGTGATGCACACCGGCGACAGAGTGAGACTCTGCCTCAAAAAATAAATAAATAAAATAAAATATTTGTTGAATGATCGGTTGAATGAATGAATGGATAAGTGGTATTTATTTGTGTTAACTTACTCAGTTAGGATTTTCATTTACACAGCTTCCAGAAGGTAGTGGTAGAAATTAAAAATAATAGGTAAGATAGAGGCTAATTTAAATTTGAAATAGCTATATGGTGTCTATTCAGCTTGTTAACGATTAATACTTAGATGTTAATTATAATTTACTTAGGACAGATTTCCTTTGAACTTCATTTCTTACGTGTCCATATCAGACAATTAGGTCTTTTTAGGTAAACCCCGATATTCTGGTTATCTTAATAACCATTACATCACCAACAATGATTAAAAGGTATTACCTTAATTACTTTCAGGCAAGGAATTTATCCACTTTGTTCAGCAGCAAGAAGGGCACATGACACAGAGTAAGCACCCGTTAAATACCTGTTGAATAAGGCACTTAATTATTAAACTCCATTTCTCAATGTGAGTACATAACAAAGAATGTGCAGCCATCCCTAATCCACCCTACATACCTACATTCTGATCACTACAGCAACCCTGAAAAGTAGGTATTATTTTATTCATTTCATAAATTAGGAAATTCTCACGGCTGGGATGTGACAGCACTTGCATTTGAAGCTATATTTGTATGTTTCCAAAGTCTTTTTAATTGCCTCCCCAGGCGCAGTGGCTCACGCCTGTAATCCCAACACTTTGGGAAGCCGAGGTGGGTGGATCACCTGAGGTCAGGAGTTCGAGACCAGCCTTACCAACATGGTGAAGCCCCATCTTTATTAAAAAAGAAAAAAAATACTAAAATAAATTAGCCTAAAAAATTAGGTGGTGGCAGGTGACTCTAATCCCAGCTACTCGGGAGGCTGAGGCAGGAGAATTGCTTGAACCCAGGAGGTGGAGGTTGCAGTGAGCCAAGATCGTGCCACTGCACTCCAGCCTGGGCAACAGAGCCAGATTCTGTCCCGAAAAAATAAAATAATAATAATAATTGCCTCTCCGATAAGATAATCTTAAGGACATATACATATAGAAAACAAAAACAAACAACAATTACTGGATATCTGACTTTGTGTCTGGACTTAGTCATTTGCCTCGTGATTGTCCCTGATAGCCATGTTCAGGGACAATCTATTTTCATATAGAATCATCCATCAGGGCCCCGTACTGCCTTTTGGCTCCAAATTCTGCCTCTTGGGGTTTTCCTATTAATTGTTGTCAACACAAAGACCAGACCACCATTCCCTATTCAGCCTGGGTTTCCTGTCTTTTCACAAACCAATCATTCAGCCACCAACAAATAACCAGTCCTTGGTTCTTTTTTTAGTAGAGACGAAACCACACTCGGCTAGTCCTTGGTTCTTTGAAGAAAGACTATGCTTACCTGAAATAACAACACAGAATTGAGCTCTAGGCAAATTTGTCCTCATAACCCAATCACTTTCTCTGATGTGTCCTCAGAAAATGCAAAATATTTTAATACTGGCCTGATGATCATAATTCTTCTCTACTCCAAAATCCTAAAGATATTCTATGTTTTATTTTTAGTTGTTGAGACAGGGTCTTGCTCTGTCACCCAGTCTGGAGTGCAGTGCAGCCTCACTGTTGCCTCAACTTCCCAGGCTCAAGTGATCTTCCCACCTCAGCCTCCTGAGTAGCTGGGACCACAGACACATGCCACAACACCCAACGAATTTTTGTATTTTCTGTAGAGACGGGGTCTTATTATGTTGCCCAGGTTGGTCTTGAACTCCTGAGCTCAAGCAATCCTCTCACCTAGCCTCCCAAAGTGCTAGGATTACAAGCATGGGCTACCATGCCCGACCTATATATTTTTTTCTAGCAGTTACAATCTTTCATATTTAAGTCCTTACTTATTTTTACATCTCTCCCTTAGGTAGGAATCTAATTTTTATTTTTCCATAAAAACTAATTTTTTCTCCAAAATAGACCAAATTCTCATGTGCCTGTTTCTGGGTTCTATTCTGGTCTATTCGTATGTTCCTGTACCAGTACCACATTGGTTTACCTACTACGGCTGAGTAATATGTTTAAATATCTGGTGGAAAGGGGCTGTCCCCTCTTTTTCTTTTTTTTTTTTTTCTGATTGTCTTAGGCAGGGGTTAGGGAATTAGGGTTCATGGGCCCAACCCTATTCACTAACTATTTTAGTAAGTTTTATTAAAACACCACTACTCTAATTTGCTTCTTTTGAACACTGCAACAGCCAAATTGGGTAGTTGCATCCAGCCACCAAAGATTAAAATGTTTAATATCCAGTCTTTTGTAGAAAAAGTTGACCAATCCCTGGTCTTAATTTACTCATGGACATGTATACTTTTACATGAATTTCAGAATCATTTTGTAAACATTCCCAGTTCCAAGTTATTGATTGTAAGGAACAGAAACTGATTCCAAATTAATACAGAAATGAATTTTATTGGGAAAGATATCAGAGAGCTCAAAAATCAGAAAGAAGATTAGAGAAACAGGCTCAGAAAATGGGCAGGAACCATGGGAGGCTTGACAACAGAGAAGGCTACACTGCTGCAGAGAGCCTGGTTAGGACACCACCAGGATGCTGCCACAGAGAATGTTCTTGCAAACCGTCCCTGCATCACCCTACCACTCACACAAGCTTCAGAGTTCCAGAAAGGAGAATGTTATGTCCAAGTTAGGATTACATACTCATATCCTAGTCTCCAGAGAGAAAGAAGGTTCTGATTCTTCTCCTACTTCCACAGAGAGAGGCAGGGCTCTGCCCTCTATCAAGACTTACTCAATGGAGGGTTCGTTCAAAATATGAGAAGGCACATTCTCCCTAAAGTAGCTATAATTTTGCTTGGAATTGTCCTAAATTGAGGGAAAATGGTTATCCTTAAATACTGCTGCCTCATTCATGAAGATGATTTTTCTGATTATTAATTCAGGTTTCTTTTTGCCCTTTGGTAGAGTTTCAAAATGTTCTTCTGTGGTAGTCTTGTGAGTTTTTGTCTATTAAGTCTTGATATTTTACCGGGATTTGGGATTGTTTTAGACAGTATCTTCTTTTCTATTATCTTTTTAATTTTATTATTTCTAGTACTGAAAAATGTTGCTGACTTTTGTATATTGATCTTGCAATCCCCAAGCTTCTTATTACTTCTAAGAGTTTATTGATTTACTTTAATTTTCTATGTAAATAGTCATAGCAGTCATAACACTTGGAAATGACAATTTTATTTCCTCCAATCCAATCGTTATATTTCTTAGTGTTCTATGTCATGTTATTACATTGGCCTGAGCCTCCAGTGTGAGGCAGAACATTATGATAGCCAGTATTCTTGAATTATCCCTAATTTTAAAGCAAACATTTTTCAAGATTTTCCAGGTAAACAGTAAATACCTTTTTATCACATTAAGGAAATTTCTTTCTGTTCCTAGTTTTCTGCTAATTTAAATTGTAAATAAATATAGCACCTTATGGAATGCTTTTTATGCTCTGTTGAAATGTTCTAGGTATTTCTTTCTTTGGTTTCTTAATATGGGAAATCACATTAATAAATTTTTCAAATGTAGAATTATCTCCTTGCGGTCCTAAGAATTAACTATAACTGGTCATGGTATGCTATATTTTTAAATCATGATATATTATTTTAGTAATTACCAAATTCAGTTACCTAATGCATATTAGTATTCTTGCATTTCTGTTCAGAAGTGAGAACTATCTGTAATCTACTTTATTGCACTACTCTTATCAAGTTTTGATATTAGGGTTATATTGGCTTCATAAAAGGAATTAGAAGTCTTTTTTTTTTTTTTTTGGCAGAGTCTCGCTCTGTTGCCCAGGCTGGAGTGCAGTGGCATGATCTCAGTTCATTGCAACCTCCACCTCCTGGGTTCAAGCAATTCTCCTGCCTCAGCCTCCTGAGTAGCTGGGACTACTGGCATGCACCACAACGCCCGGCTAATTTTTGTATTTTTAGTAGAGACAGGGTTTTGCAATGTCGGCCATGCTGGGGAATTTTTAAAAGTTGAAATGATTACAAAGATTACAATTTGTTCTTTAAAAAGTTAATACAAATAAAAAAATAGCCAAGTTGACTGACCACACAGGAAAACTCTGGTTTTACTTATAGTCCTGAGATAATTATTAATAGTTGCCCCTTTCATTCTCGAAATATCACTATTGGACAATAAATTATCCGCTAGGGTAAACCTACAATAACTGACATGGATTTGATGTCACATACTTGCTCTATTACTGTGATAAATTCCCCTGGCCTCTCTGAGTTTCAGGTTTCCCATCAGCAGAATGGAAACTGTGACATTTACCTTCCTGGGTAGTTTGAAGAACAAATGAAATAAAGCAAGTAAACTGACTAATTATTTTTAAAAGTTAGTTAATTTCAGCCGTGGGCATCCGCAACAATTCACAGATTAAAGCAAAAATTCAGCACCCAGATTCAACCCCCAACAGAATTCCAAAGCCTTCTTGACCAGAAGCAGGAAAGTTCATACGAGGTTAGACCACTAATGCCCAGCCCCCACCCCTGCCACCTGCAGCCCTATCTACTAGGTAACTGGGGATATTCAGGTTTGATCTATGGACCCTGAATGCAGGCTCATTGCAATGCTCCATTCTGAAAATCAGGGAAGTCCAAGTTTAAAGACATCATCTTCAGCCACTCCTCAGACCCATCATATGTCCTGCCAATTGTCTCATTCATCAAGTCCTTCTCCTGGGTATTTCCTTGCACTTGTTTATCCTCCTCTCCACAAATATGTGGCAGGGTGTAAATGCTCACTATTTCAGTACAAAATCTTAACTGTTTTTGTTTTTCTTCCCTTTTTTTGATGGACAAGAAAGTGAAATGCAAATATTTTCCCTCACTTTGGATTAGTAATCCCTCCCTTTCCTGGAGGAAAGAGGAACATGTTTTTCAAGTTATGAATCTGATGAATTATAAAAGCATATGGTGAAAGAACAAGAGGGAGAAATATCCACCCAAACTAGAGATGACTTTAGAGGTCCTGAAGAGAAGAGATCTGTAGGTCTAGAAGCAAGAGGACCCATTCTCTGCTTGGGTCATTACTATGGGAAGCAAGACTCCAGGCAGGAGGTACTCAGTTCATCTAGGAAAACAAAGCCCTAGGCAATGGGTTGCAGAGCTTTGCCGAATAGTCCAGTGTCCTAAATATGTCACGGAAACTGCCAGATGCTGCCAGACCTGCCAGTATTGTGCAGACACAGACAATGGGCATGTCAGCATTGACTGATGTGGGAGATGACCAGTGACTAAGGAAGGCCTCCGGAGCCTTGGCAGAGTAAGGGAGTGTGACTGAGGTGGGACCCAAACCTACTGGAGTGATTTACATTCACCTTCCTACCAGCCTAATGCGTGGCAGCTTGGAGTCAAAATTAGGTGGATTCATAGGTCATAAACGTTATACTTCTCTCACACTTGAGCTTTCCGACTTAAGAGTCAAACATTATAATACAGGAGATTCCTAATTCAGGGTGTAGATCTAGTAGTTGAGAGACTACCCCCGGAGGAAAGATTTCTCTGCTCACCATTCCTTGGTTACCCTTCCAGATTTATTTTGGCCACACTCCAACCATGCTTCAGCCTCTCACACCACACTGCTCACCAGCCTCAGCCTTGATTGTCAGCCCCAGAAGCTGGGCCAGGTTTTCAGGGTTGGGCTTCAGTATCTCCTCTCTTGCCCTGTCTTGATCTGGTTCATCTCAAGAACAAGACACTTGCAGGATGCAAGGAGTTTCACCTCTTCAGTTTCACCTTTCAGAAGCTCTGGGGTGGCTGTGTGCCCCCCTGTGACTCTCAAATCTGTATCTTCAGCCCTGCCCTCACTACAGAATAGCAACTCGTATGTATGAGAATTCTACTGGACATCCCCTTGAGATTCCTACATAAAAATCAAGAATCAGATACTAAAAACGAACCTATTAGCTCATGCTACCCTGCCCTTTGATGTCACCATCTCAGTGATTAGAACCACGACCCAGTTGCTTTAATCAAAAACCCAAAGTCACTAATTCCTTTAAAATGTTCTTAATTCACTATCTTCTCCAGTCCCATTGCTGCTGAGTTAGGTCAGGGCCTCATCATCTCCTGTTTGAATTATTACAACAGCCTCCAGTTTGTCCAGTTTCTATATACACTCCACAAAGCCAAACTGATGATTCTAAAACACAAAGTGACGGTCAGTCCCCTTTTCACACTCTTCAGAGATGCCCTACTACTCTTGTTGTATGTCTTACAAATTATGACCCCTGGCCAAATCCAACCTGCAGCCTAATATTGTACGGCCCTCAAGCTAAGAATGGATTTTGTATTTTTTTAATGCCTGCAACCAAAACAAAACAGGAACATCCAATGGTGGCCATATCTGGCCTTCAAAGCCTAAATTATTTACTAGCTAGTCCTTCACAGAAAAAGTTTGCTACCCCACTAAAATTTAGATAGCCCCACTCTGGCCCTCCTATAACCACTTCCCCCCCTCACTCAGGACAGGAGTCTGTATGGGTCCAAAGGGCTGTTCTTCCCAGAGCCTGTGTCCTCCCTACTTACAGACAACACTCCTGGAACACCCAGCCCAAAGAATCTGAGTCTGCTTCCAGACCCATGAAGCCACCAGGCTGCCAAGGCTCATTCTTAAGCCTTAGAGGAGGCCAAAAGGCAGATGTTTTCATGAGGATAGGACATAGCTTAGACATGCAGGCTGGGCTATTCACAGATGTGTGTGAGGATCTTTAGGTTGGAGGAGAGGAAACAGGAAGACAGCCAAAAACCTGTACTTCTGCTCTTGCCCTGAACCTCACAAGTGTTACGACAAGCCTGCTTAGGATGCAATACTTTAAAATTCCCTTGCATGGTAGCTAAGGCTCTTCATGATATAGTACTTGTGGACACTGCACTCAAGACAAGTGTGAACTAGGCTGACTCTTCATACACCATGCTGTTTTATCAGCTCCCATGTACTGGCCTTCCTTTCATTGCCCATTCTCCTAGTGGAATCTTCTCATCTTCAAGACTCAACTCAAGGGTCAACTTCTCCATGAAGCCTTTCCTACTCTCTTATAACTGAAACGCAGGTTCAGTTGCTCACTGCTTGCAGAGTCCAATGAACAAGAGCAAGGTCTGGTATAAAAAAAGTAACTTTTATTCCAAAGCTAGTTTAAGGGAAGAAGTATAGGCTTCCTGTCTTAATGTTATTGCTTTGCTTTTGGAGCAAAAAGCGGACACTTTAAAAGCCAGGGGAGGAAGCAAGCAGGCAGGGAGGGTCCATGTGATAGCTTGGTACCTGATCTATCAGGCAGTTGAGTTGGCATCTTCATAGGCAGAAATAGGTTGTAAAGGTGGCTGAAAACTCTCCAGGTGGGAGAGCATTTCCTGGCGGGACTTTGGGTTATAACTCAACAGTTATCTCTCAAGGCAGCCTCCTGGTGGATGAGAGGCTATAATTGCATTTCTAAAGAGCTAAGTAGGAAGCAGGAGAAAGGAAGAAAGAGAAAATAAGAGAGAGAGAGAAAATAATTAAACTATCTCTTAGAAAAGTAGGGGTTATGGGTTACATTTCTCTCATAATCTCCCATCTTTTCTCCTCATTTAGTCTTAGTAGCCTCAATGCCCCTATGAAAATATCTATCTGAGCACCTGTGACACTATTATACCTAGTTCATTGTGTCTGTTTTCCTCCATTAGGCTAGACTCTCATTGAGGACAAACACTTGGTCTAATTTGTCTCTATAACCTAGTCAGTGTAGTTGAATATACACATAATATATCCTCAATGACTGTTGAAAAAATTTATGAATAAATGAATATGTATGATCAGTAAACCTTACCACATCCTGGGATCCCTTCTTAAAGTATATAGATACTTATATACGCCAAGTGACCATGGGGTCCCATTTTTGTCCATACTAAATTAGAATCAAACTAGAGTCATAGAACTATAAGGGAGCAAAATTTTATCTCTACTCCCTGGGGTTTTTCAGCTGGGTCTGAGAATTAAGTTGACATAAGACAGATCAACAGAAGAAAAGCACGCAAATTTGTTTAATACAAGTGTTATGTAGCACAGGAGTCTTCATGAGGAAATGAGCACCCAAAGTCACAGTTAGAGTTGAACACTTATATTCTGAATTTAACAAAAAAAATTCAAAAACTTATGAAAATGTGACAAAGTTAAAGGGCTTGATCTAGGGTAGTTAACGGGGTAGAAAAGAAACTAGGAAGATAAGGGTTAGTTTAACAAGGTTTGATTGTACAGATTTCCCTCCCTATATTTTGCTTCAACTTCCCTTCCTCAATGATAAGAATAACGTTTCCTTCTGGTATAGGGAAAACACCTTTCACATGGGAATTTCATCTCCTGCTTTCAAGAGATAGAAAGAAAGAGTGATCTTGCACCTGCTGTTTTTCAAGTACCTTTATTTCATAATAGTCAATATGCCAGAGGAGCATATTTTGAGGCAGCATGTTTTTAACTCCTTTATTTCTCCCATCTGAAACTTCCCTAGAAGTTTCATACATTAAAAGCTGAGCAGGTGGCGGTGGAGAGAAAAACTGGGTTAGTAGCTGAGTGGCAAGAGATCTGCAAAGGGAGAGAAGAACATAGATTACAAGTATGAATCATCAGGAAAGAACAAATCTAAGGACATTTCATCATATCCCATTAAGCCAGTCTCCCATCCCTAGAAATAGGTCAGTCCATTAAAATCGTGAGCCTCATTTATCTGATGGGGAGAATTAATATTTATCTTGCCCTTTAAATGGTGCCAATTAAACACTATTTGTCCTAAGTTCTTTACATAGAAGCAGCTTTCTTCACCAATGATCAAGCAAGCTCCTCCTAGTCTGACTGTTAGTGAATCTAGTCCCTGACAATTTTGGAGTGAAATAGCATGATCACAGCTCACTGCAGCCTTGAACTCCTGGGCTCTAGCATAAATTTAACTTCTGATTGGAGTGCTTCCAATGTTTGCATAGTAATACTGAACTCTTGTGCATTACTATAGAAAGACTTAGAATGGCCTTTTCCAAAAAGTAAGTTCCAAAGCCCAGGAACAAGATCTCAATACTGAAGAGAACTTAGAATTGTGATATACAAATGAGTTTTCCATAATGTCACTTCTGGTACATTTGTGTGGCACTACTTTGTCAACAGCTGAGCCCACACTTGTAATCTGACTGGCATTTAAAGTGGAGTATCTGGCAATGGGAGGCATCGGATATTCGAGTCTGCATCATCCTGACCATATAGATGGGAATACCATATATACTTTGTTGCCACATAAGATAAAAAGACCAGTGTTGTTCATGGATGAGGTTAGAGTGGAACTTGTGACCCACCAGTCTGGGGTTTGTTATGTTTTGACACATGTCATGTTGGCATCTGCACATCCCCATCTTCCTATGTCCCTGTTAGTCTGTAGGAGCAGAACTGCTGCAGAATACCTGATATAGGAGTCCTGCAGTTTGGCTTTGGCAGCTATAAGGTGTGGTTTTGTCATCTGACCAAGTTAATCTACATCTTTGGTTTATTCATATATAATCTTTGGTTTTTGGAAGCCCAGTTAGGGGCTGAACTACCCTGCGTTGCACAGGGCTGGCTTGTAGGCCAGCTATGACATCCAGTGATTTGACAAGTGCTTGTATCACAAGAGTCAGTGCCAGGACCATCTGTGACCTTCATGAGAGGTTGAAGATGTCACCTATAGAACAAACCACAGGATTTGGTTCCAGTATACCCTTGGTATGTCACCCAGGAAGGGTCCAGCACCACGATTATTTTCCATACAAAGGAAAAAATGTCCCTTTAATGACTTACTTGAGCAAAGGAGAGCCTTCAAGCTTCACAGAGATTTTTCTCTATCAAATTAACTCACCAAAAGAAGTAGAAAGATATTATTTTCTTTTCTCTTTTTTTCTTTGAGACAGGGTCTCACTCTGTCACCCACGCTGGAGTGCAGTGGCATAATCACAGCTCATGATAGCCTCAGCCTCCTGGGCTCAAGCAATCTTCCCACCTCAGCCTCCCGAGTAGCTGGGACTACAGGAACAGAACACCACACCCAGCTAACTTTTTGCATATTTTTGTGGAGATGGGGTCTCACCATGTTGCCCAGGCTGGTCTTGAACTCCACTCGCTTAAACCTCCCAAACTGCTGGGATTACAGGTGTGAGCCACTGTGTCCAGTGATATTATTTTCTTGGTCATGGATACCATACCCTGTCATACATCCATTTGCCAAGTTGGTCCACCAGGCACTTGCACTGGCAGAAATTAGTTAGGTTATTTTGCATAATCTGGATGGCACTGGCATAACCAGCAATCAGATTAGTTAATGTGGCCAAGTTTGGAAAACTGGTGTAAGGGGAGTTAGGTCTGCACTTAACCTGTTGAGAAAACTGTCAGGGTTAATAAAAGAGAGACACAGTTTCAAAAAAAGGTCATAGTGGAGGATCGGAGGGCCAATCGAAGAGACAGAGACAATAATCTCCACAGTCAGCCCTTAAATAAAAGGCCAATAAGTCAACACGATGGAGGGATTGGTGAACAGGTCTGTTCATAGGTAGTCTGTGGTGAAGGAAGAGGGTTTGTTTGTTGTTTTCTGATCTCTTGTTGTTTTTATATTTATTGAATTTGAGAGGCTGAAAAGAGGAAGAAAATATTAATAGGTGTAAGCAAAGTTGCTTGATCTGTGATCTTGGGAAAAACTGTCTACTTCATGATATTGTTTGCTTCCTGGGCCTGGGTCTCGACTCTGGAAATCCTTACTTAAAGGTCACCTGTAGGGATGGTCTTCCAATTGCCCTGGGAGTGGTAATCTGGGTCTGGTTTGGCATGACTTGCACGAATCCAGGAGGATTTTTCTTTTATTTTGATAGCAGTGTAGGTGGTCAGTGGTACTTTGCAAGGACATTCCCAGTTAGGTGACAGCGTATGTTTTCTTCTAAAAGCCTTGATGTACTCTGATTTCCCAGTCAAAAGGTTTATAGTAAGGTCTGTCAGTCAGCACAAGCCATGCCCCTTTTACCTGTTGATGATATGCTCTAAATGTAATAGGGTCTGTGTATATCTAGTCATAGCGTCAAATTGTTCACTGAAGTCCCTGTAATGTTCATTCAATCCAGAAATGGAAGGTTTAGAGCTGCCAGTAGGCATGGGGCAACCAAACACTATTTCAAAAGAGGTTAATCCATGTCTTCTATTTGGAGTATTCTAGATTTTTATAAGGGGTAATGGTTTTGTTTTTGTATGTTTGTTTGTTTGTTTGCTTGTTTTTATGGAGTCTCGCCCTGTCTGGAATGCAGTGGCGCGATCTCAGCTCACTGCAACCTCCACCTGCCGGATTTAAGCAATTCTCCTGCCTCAGCCTCCCAAGAAGCTGGGATTTCAGAGACAGGGTTTCACCATGCTGGCCAGACTGGTCTCAAACTCCTGACCTCAAGTGATCTGCCTAGCTCGGCCTCCCAAAGTGCTGGGATTACAGTGCTGAGCCACCGCACCCTGCGCATTTTTTTTTTACAAGGTGTAATGCTTTCAGCCAATTAAGTCCAATTTCTTGACAGACTTGTCCTAAAGTTACTTTTGTGTCTCAGTGTTTACATTCCACTTGCTCTGAGGATTGGGAATGATATAGGGTATTAAATTTCAATGAATATCCTAGAACTTTTGCAAACAACTGTTTTATTTCTGCTGTAAAATAAGTTCCAGTGGTCTGATTGAATCTATAATAGAACATCCAAATGAAGAATGATCTGTTATTTATTATTTATTAATTGATTAATTTATTTTTGAGACAGAGTCTTGCTCTGTCTCCCAGGCTGGAATGCAATGGCACGATCTCAGCTCACTGCAACCTCCATCTCCCAGGCTCAAGTTTCCTGCCTCACCCTCCCAAGAAGCTAGGACTACAGGCATGCACCACCACACCAGGCAAATTTTTGTATTTTTTGTGAAGATGGGGTTCTGCCATGTTGGCCAGGCTGGTATCGAACTCCTGACCCAGATGATCCACCTGCCTCAGCCTCCCATAGTGTTGGGATTAAAGGCATGCGCCACCAGACCAGGGTAATTTTTGTATTTTTTGTACAGATGGGGTTCTACAATGTTGGCCAGGCTGGTATCAAACTCCTGACCCCAAATCATCCACCTGCCTCAGCCTCCCAAAGTGCTGGGATTACAGGCGTGAGCCACCACGCCTGACCTGTTATTAATTTCTTTACCACTGTCATGGTGTCAGCACATCTAGTCAGATAGCGTTCAATCCATCCACTAAACATACAGACAACAATCAAACAGTAAGAAGAGCCTAAAGCCTAATGTCTTAGAGGACTTGCTGAGGCACGTTGGTCTCCTCCAAAAATCTGATGGGATTTATTAGAAGTGCACTGAGAATAATTCAGTTAGAAATTTTGTAAATACCAAGGCAAAACCAATTATCTTTTCATTCCTTAACTATCCTCTGTCTGTACATATGTCCCATCTGAAGGGAGATAAGTGCTTCAAGCCAAGAAGTTAAAAAAAGGGGGGCCACAGGAACTCCATTGGCCCCATGTATAATACACCTGATAATTATCTGACATTCTTTTGTATTCATTTGTGGGTTTTTTGTTTGTTTGTTTGTTTGTTTGTCGCACTGTGCCCATTCTCTGGTAATCAATAACACCAGTAAGCAATAAAGGCAGGTTAATAAAGGGTGGAAAAGAATAGGAGGGTTCTTTGGGGCTGCATTCTTAGTGGCCTTCTCCACCCTCTCGTTCCCTAGAGATATACTATCAGTCTCCTTAGGGTGAGCTGAACAATGAGCAATAGCAATTTGAATAGGGAGGTGAACAGCCTGTAATAGAGCAGCAATTATATGCTAATTGGAAATAGGATTATCAGCAGAAGTTAAGAATCTGCTGGACTTCCAGATTGCCAATAGTGTGGCAGACACCCAAAGCATATCTGGAGTCAGGGTAAATAGTGGCAATTTTTCCTTTTGCCATTACACCAGCTCTAGCAAGATCTATACATTCGGCAGCTTGGGCTGACTTTACAGTGGACAAAGAGGATGCCTGAAGTGTTTCACAAGGGAAAACTATGGCTTCACAGTTATGTTTCCTGGAAATGTCATCCACAGAAGCCATTACAAAATAGAAATAAGTCTGGATTGTCTAAAGGAGTATCTAGGAGGTCTTCTTGTGGCTTTGAGACCTTTTCTATAGCTGCAAGGCAAACATATTGAATGGAGTGAGGCTCTCCATCATCAGGCAGGGGCAGTAGAGCAGCTGGATTTAAAGTGTTACAACAATGCAACATGATGGAGGAGCTGGTAAACAGGGCCTGTGCATAGGTGGCCTGCCATCTGGAGAAAGGTGCTGTATCTTATGAACTTGTAAGAGAACAGGCAGCATGGGGAACATATGGATGAATGAAGGAGTGTAATATCAGAATATGCTGGCTTTGTCAATTATTAGGGTGGTAGCTGTGGCTACTGCACATCGGCATGGGGGTCCAATTGACATGAGAAATATGCTACAGGGTGTATCAGAGAGGCAAAAAAATTGTTCCAAATATCTGCAGCAATCCCATTGTGTCATGGTGAGATGGGCGAAAAGGTCTGTCAAAATCAGGTTAGCTGAGAGCAGGGGATGTGGATGTTAATTTTAAGGCTCCGGAGGAGATTTATGGATCTGCAGGCCAAGAAAATGGGCTCAGAATTAATATCTGGGAGGAGGGTATAAAGGAGCTTAGCAAAGGCAACAAAATTAGGAATATATTGGTGGCAATAACTAGCTGCTCCTAGAAATTTACATAGATGTTTTTTTGGGAGGGGAATGCACAAAACTGACTCTAGGCATTTTGGGGCGAGCTTTTGAGTGCTCTGAGATATGACAACCTAGCAATTCAATCCTACATAAGTAACAGTTATTTGCACCCACTGAAGTTTAGGTTGGAAGGCTTTATGGCCTCTGTTGAGCTAGTGCCTTTAGGAAAATGAGGGAGTCTGGAAGAGTGGGTTGCTTAGTTCAGTAACAAACTAAAAGATCATATCGGAATAATGAACAAGAGTAGAGCCTTGGGTAAAGGACACAGAGTCTAAGCTGACTTTAAGGACTCGGGAAAACACTGAAAAGGACTCATGGTATCCCTGACCTATATGAGTTCATGTTCATTTTCTCCCTCTAAATGTGAATGTAAAGAGAAATTTTGAGTCAGGGCGCAATGGAATTGAACAGAAAATTGAGCAGATGTCAATCATTGTAAATCAGGCTGTATCAGCAGAAATTGAAGTAGAAATGTCAGCTGGATTAGGGACTAAGGGGTGGTGAAAAATCACAAAGGAGTTTATGGGCTCTTAGATCTTGTACAAATCAATAGATTTTATTCCTGTCTGAATCAAATGTTCCTTATTTCTTTACTGGCAAGATTAAGGTATTACAGAGTAAGGAAGGAAATAAAGACAAGAACACCCTCTGTAAAAGACAGTCTATTATAAGTTTGTTGACCTAAAAGGAAGAAGCTGAGGCAAAATTAAAGAGTTTTTCTGTGCCAAGGCTGAGGATTGCAGCCTGATTCCAGGTTGCCTTGGCAAGCCTTTGGGAGAACAAAGGAAAGGCTCAAGTTTTTAAAGAAAAAGGACGAATCAGGAGAGGGAGTGATTACAAAATACGTTCATCAAGAATTCTCACTGATTTACAGAAACACATTGGTTAGTGATTGTCTATACGTTGTTAAACTATAGGGTATATGACATCTTATGGCTGTATGGCATCAGTTAGTCTATAGCTCATATAGCACATATAGCTTCAAGAGGTAATTCTTTAGCTCAAGGGCGAATGAAACCTGACTGCTGTTATATTATAAATACCTCTCTGGGCCTGATAATTTAAAGGAGTTTGCATTCCTTAGATAAAAAGGGTTTTTTTTTTTTCTTTCTTTCTCAGGTTTAATTTCTTGCTCTGCATTTTGTGAGAGGGCATACTGAGCTACTATCAGGAAAGATTTATTCTTTTCCAGGCAATAACTACAGGCTCCACACACAGTAGCAATTCAATCTCATTGGCATGTGAGGCTGGGAGATGAGTTGAGACATCTTTAAAGGTTGCTTCCTCTTCAGAGGATTTAAAATCAAGATGAATTTCCATTAGGGAAAGGAGGAAGTCTAAGGCCAGGGAAATAAAAATGCTTCTCTCTTTACATTGTATAACACATCTCCACCTAACAGGTTTGTTGGTGAGGACTCAGAAACTAGAAAACCTTGACTGAAAACACTCCCACAGGGTTGACAAGCATTGCATATTGGTTTCTAGAGAAATACAATTATAATTCAGCATTAATCAGGCTGCACTTTGGCCCACTTCCTTGTTGCTGAAAGGCACATAGCACTAGAATCTGAGCATCTGCAGATGTAACCACATTGTTCCTCTGGATAGGATTGCTGACATTAGGGTTGTAAGACTGTTTAAGAGTTGATTTGCATCCCCATTATTCCTACAGACAGGATCTCTGACATAAGAATCATACGTTTTGTTTCATACCCTGAATTCCAGCATAGAGGAATGGGATCAGCATGAAAATACAGCTTCTTCAACTCCCATGTCATTAGTTTACCCTGTACCCTTCAACCAATCAACAATCTCCACACTTTGGCCTACTCCAAAATCCTTAAAAACCCTAACCCCAAAATCCTCAGGGAGGTGGATTTGAGGTTTCCTCTCATCTCCTCGTTTGGTGGCCCTACAATTAAACCTCTTTCTCTGCTGCCCCCAATATGTGTCTCCGCATATTGATTTGCTGTATACATTGGGCAATGAATCTATTAGAGTTACATGATGGGTGTTAAGAAGGCCTAAGGGTATTGCAGTGGCCTGATACATGGGCAATGAAATACGTTGCCCAGAAACTCCAATAGCTTGAATAGAAGCAGAGGTGACAGGGAGAGAGATCCTCTGAGCAGATGGTAGGGACAGTTGCACCAGTGGCAATTAAGTATTACAGTTCCCAGCTGGCCCTGTGGCCCATGTCTATAGTCTGAGGCTGAGACAGGAGGATTGCTTGAGCCCAGGAGTCCAGTCTGTGCAACATAGCTAGAGTTTGTCTCTTATAAAAAAAGAAAGAGAATTTCAGTTCCCAATCCTCTACTGTAAGTTTAATAGTGGGATCTAGGGGGTGACTGAAAATTAGCTGACCCCATCAATCGATGGGGTATTGTCCCACAGAAGAGAGAAAGCTGACCTTGTGAAGGTGCTGGGGTCTAGGGAGATTGTTATTTAAGCTTTCCTTTCTCATAAGTCTAGGACAGCTGTTTTTCCAATGCCCTTGTTTTTTACAATATCTGCAAACATCTGAAGACAAAGCTCTGTGGTTGGGGAGAAAGGTGAGTGGGTTTTGAGTTTTCCCTGGAGTTATGATTTTGTTTTTGTAAAGAATCAATTTTCAAAGCAAGTACTATTGACTTTAATCCGTTTTTCCTCTTATTTTCCTGCAAGTTATTTTTAAAGAATTGCATAGCTCCTTCTATAATAACATTCAGAGAATGACCTGTCCAGCCAATGACACTATTTTGGATTTGCCTCTTTGTATCAGGGTGATTTCTAACCAAGGCAGAATTTAAAAATTGTTCATGTCCTAGGGCTTCAGAATTTAATGCAGTGAACCTTTCAAAAGTTTGTATAAATCATTCCATATAGGCCTTAAGATGTTCCCCTTTCTTCTGAGTACATAATTCAACCCTAGACCACTTCACCTTAGAGGAAAAGGCCTCTAATATTGTCCCTATCAGGCCCCATAACTCAGCCATTTCCTGGTCAATTGTAGGAGGACCTGGGAGAAGTTCTGGCCACTTATTCCCTCTAGAGGTAAGACATTCATTTGGGGGCTTTCTGGAATGTCTGATAACCACAGTATAATCATGGGTGTAAAGAACACCCCTTAGTAGCCAGTGGAGGTTCCTATGAATGGGGTTATAAATGGCCACTAATCTTTCTAACTCCTCTCTAAATTTGATAGGCTCTTTCAAAAGTGGAGACAAAAGGGCTTTGTAATTTAGAAGATCTGTTTCTGTCCAAGGGACATGAATTCTTTGCAGTAGGGATCCAGGATATATTCACAGGAGGCATTGTATAGGAAGGTCTGTGGCTGAGGAGTCTGATTACAGAACACCAGGAAGTAGGAGGAGTTGTAAGGTACAGCAAAGCAAGACTAGCTGCACGTACCAGGGCCTGTGCCAGGTTTATTTTCTGGCTGTCAGCATTGACACAAGTGACCTGTATACTCTGAGCCTAGAGATCAGGCTGGAGTGCTCTCTGAAAATTTTGCAAGGAAAGGAAAGATAAAGCAGGCAGTTGATGTTTAAAGGATTTTCTAGGGAAGCTGGAGTTTTAGAACTTACATAAAAATTTGTGGAGGAGGTGGGACTGGATTTGGAGGAGAGTTTAAGCCAGTGGCCCAGAGATCAAAAGATCTTCTGGAGGATCAGGGACTGGAAGTTGGAGATAAAGGGGTATATAGGAACTGAAATTGTCTCCTTGCAAGTTTCACCCATTGTTCTTGGAATACATGTTTGCCTTCTTCACATGAGAGATTCCATATTTTTCAGAGAAAAAGATCTCATACTTCTCCCACCCTGAACCACTTTTCCAAGCTCCGTTCCTCCAATTCTTACTAACATGTTCCTAGACCTTTCACCATCTCCTTACATGCCCTGTTCTCAACATCCTTCTGATATTGAACAAAATATTCAAGAAGAGCTGTGAAACAGATGAGTACAACATAATTGAAACTGATAGCCTTAGGCCTATTCTAACAGTGTAAACATTTCAGAGCTCAGGGAATCCCTAAAGATGATCTAGTCTAAGCCCTTTACTTCACAAATGAAGAAACTGAAGTTAATTACTCATCAGAGCAAGGCACAAGACAGGCTCCTGGTCCAGTAGATAGTCAGGAGTGGACCCAAGCCTGGAATTTCAAGTTAATTATCTTATTCTATTTGAATTCTTATTCTGATGCAACACGGAAAACCCCCTGTTAGATCTGCAAGATCTAGCTCCCTGCCAAAGACTATTTATTCTCTCTAAAGAGATGATGAAATTATTTTAGAAAGAGGGCCAAATGTCCTATTTGAGAGGAATAATTTATAGTCATTTTATCTGTTTCTCATGAATTATCAGCTTCTTGGTAGCCTTTTAAAGAAAGGGTTAATAAAATAGTTTACAACTTGTTAAAAGAGCTATAGAAAATTATATTAAGTTCTTATATAAACTCTTTGTATGATACTTAAATTTTTTAGGTCAAACATAAACTGAATCTCAGTAAAAATTATAAGACAGAGGCAATTCAGCTTAAACCATAAGTGGTCCATGTCATACATCTTTTATCTCCTATAGAGAGAAAAATAAACTTAAGACTAATTTTTTAGAACAAGAAAGGATAACCCATTTGCATCCCTATTTATCACTTCCTTTCACTGTGTTCACTTTTTTCAGGAAAAAGTAAACCAAATCAAGTAGAAAATGTCAAATTTTTAGTGAAGACATTTAAACACTTCAAAAGGGTGAGCAGTTACATTCCTTTTAAAGAATTCTATCTTAATATTGATGAGAGAATAGTTAAAAAAGGATCATAAGGCCTCCTTTGCATGTAATATGTATAACGTATAGTGAGACAATTTGTAAATAATCTAGTGAAAAACTGGTTTTACTAATCTGTTTCCCTAAAATAAATCTGCCTATTTGTAATTGAGAACTTCCTGGAAAATGAACAATAAACACATAAAAGTTTTACTTTTATGTGCATTACAAACTTCGGCTGTCAACAATTTGCACAAATTATTTTGGGAAGAATCTTCTTATATACTCTTCCCTCTGAAAGACTGGTAATTTAAAATAGGAAAATGCACAATCATACAGTGTTAGAATTGCATTAGAGAGTCACATAGAGACCACTCTAGATTTTTTTTTTTTTTTTTGAGATGGAGTCTCACTCTTGTGGCCCAGGCTGGAGTGCAGTGGTGCAATCTCGGCTCACTGCAACCTCCGCCTCCTGGGTTCAAGCAATTCTCCTGCCTCAGCCTCCCGAGTAGCTGGGATTACAGGCATGCGCCACCATGCCCGGCTAATTTTTGTGGTTTTAGTAGGGATAGGGTTTCACCATGTTGGCCAGGCTGGTCTCGAACTCCTGACCTCAGATGATCCACCCGCTTCGGCCTCCCAGTGTGTTAGGATTACAGGCATGAGCCACTGCAGCTGGCCCACTCTAGATTTTTATCTTGAGAATTGCAGATAACCCTATTGGGTCAGTTTTCTTACACTGTAATCATCCTCACTTTTGATACTTCCATCTACTTCAGTGGTTTTCAAAGTGTGGTCTGGTAGCATAGACAACACCTGAGGACTGGTTAGAAATGCAAATTTTCAAGTCTCACATTAGACCTACTGAATCAGAAACTCTGGCGGAGGGGGCAGCCCCCATATTTTCATAGGTCTGCCAGGAGATTCTGATGCATGTCAAAGTTTGAGGATCAATGCTAGTCCTCTATAGCAATCCACCACATTTTGTTCCTTTATCCTTCCAAAGTTTTTACCCTTACAGGAACTATATCACCCCATAGAGATAAGAAAGGAAAAAGCAGCCCCTGACAACTGAAAGCTGGCCTGGCACTCATATTTAGGCCTTGGTGTGGAACATAAACAGTTTCACTGAACATTAACGTCAGACCAGAGCACTCTGTGATCATGACAAAAACAAGAGCACTCCATCACGATGTCTGAACAGAAAAACAAACATGTCCAAACCACAAAAATAACCAAAATATCCCCCATCCTAGCTAATATGAGAGGATCTTGCCTCTGCCAATTAAAGTTTTAGACTCAGTTTATTCCTGCCCCCTTCAATAAGATTTGTTAAAATACCCAGTCATAAAATTGCCTCTACTCCCTTGATAGCAACCAATCCTGGCAAAGCTCCACTTCTCAGTATCACCTAATACAAGCCCAAATCCTAAAATAAGCCTTTCTCACTCGCTTCTACTAAGATGTCCCAGGATGTGCAATCTGCCTTGCTATAAACGTAACCACCTAATGGG
Source organism: Homo sapiens (assembly GCF_000001405.40). Taxonomy (NCBI): domain Eukaryota; kingdom Metazoa; phylum Chordata; class Mammalia; order Primates; family Hominidae; genus Homo; species Homo sapiens. Next base: position 102,474,125 of record NC_000011.10, on the reverse strand, counting down.
CTTGTTACAGTAGGTAACTAGTCAGACATGAGCAGGGCAGCAGAGGACCCCCCACCCCCAACACCACCGGGAATATCAGGCAACCATCAGGTGATGGTCAGGTGGTTGTTAACCATCTCTCTAAAATGATAATTGGTCACAGCCAGTGCCAGGGGAAAGGCAGTTCCCCAATAGGTAGAAAAAAATCTGAAACTGGTGATCAGCAACTTTCCAATAAGATCTTAGGAACTGAGCAAATGGGTCCAAGCATGTGAACTAAGAGGCAAAATGGTGGAGCTTAACTGCTATAGGACCTTCCTCTAGGAACACTCTACTGGTAAGGGAAGAACGACTTAAGTGAGCATGCGTGCAACTCCAGTAAACACACTGTGTATGCAGCCTCTCCCAAGCACTGGCAGGGCACTGCGCATGTGGAGAGCACGCCCCAAGGTAAGAATCAGGGCAGAAGTAATGCAAGGCCCTGGAAGTATGCCAACATATAAAAGCAAGTCAAAAGGTCAAACCCTGCACTTGATCTTGAAACCGCCTTTGCAAAATTATGACTGAGCCAGTGAAAGAGATCTAACTTAACAGACTCCATCTTGCTTCTAACCTCCAAACCGTCCTTGTTCATTCCTGGGCATGGACTGAACTAACTATGAGAGAAACTTAGTTTATAGTTTATAGTTTAAACAAAGACAGTAACAGCCCTTTCCTAAAGCGGACCTCCTTCTTGCCTGGGGACTAGACTGCCTTTGTAGGACTAATATTAGCCACAAGATTATAAATTATGGTTTAGGAGTCATGCAGCTGGAGGCTACAACATTCTGACCCTCCCTAAACTGCTCCTAAGATCCGTGCTTGAGATGTTTTGCAGACCCTGCACTTGATGGATCAGCTGGCACCACCCAGATCAATAAACTGGCTCATCTGATCTTGTGGTCCCCACCCAGGAATGGACTTAGTACAAGAAGATGGCTTCGACTCCCTATTATTTTCCATCTCTGACCAATCAGCACTCCTGGCTCACTGGCTTCCCCCCATCCACCAAATTATCCTTAAAAACTCTGCTCCCCCAGTGCTCCGAGGGACTGATTTGAGTAATAATAAAACTCTGGTCTTGGCCGGGTGCGGTGGCTCATGCCTGTAATCCCAGCACTTTGAGAGGTCGAGGCAGGAAGATCATCTGAGGTCAGGATTTCGAGACCAGCCTGACTAACATGGAGAAACTCCATCTCTACTAAAAATACAAAATTAGACGGGCGTAGTGGCGCGTGCCTGTAATCCCAGCTACTCGGGAGGCTGAGGCAGGAGAATCGCTTGAACCCGGGAGGCGGACGTTGTGGTGAGCCGAGATCACGCCAGTGCACTCCAGCCTGGGCAACAAGAGTGAAACTCTGTCTCAAAAAAAAAACAAAAACAAAAAACAAAACTCTGGTCCCCCGCACAGGCAGCTCTGTGTGAATTAGTCTTTCTCTATTGCAATTCCCCTGTCTTGATGGATCAGCTCTGTCTAGGCAGCGGGCAAGGTGAACTCCTTGGGCTGTTACAATCTCTCAAGTCACCTGTTTGGCCCTCTTCCAAGTGTACTTTATTTCCTTTCTTTCCTGCTCTTAAGCTTTTTAATAAACTTTCACTCCTGCTCTAAAACCCTCCTTGGTCTCTCACTCTGCCTTATGCCCCTCCGTGGAATTCTTTCTTCTGAGGAGGCAAGAATTGAGGTTGCTGCAGACCCATATGGATTTGCCGCAGCCAACATGCTTTGGTGCCGTGTCACTAGGATACATTCTGCTGCTAACAGGTTCTTCCCGCCCACTGCACAGACAAAACCAATTCACTGTGACCATGACATTGCAATAAAGAAAGAGTTTGACATGATGCTGGCCACCACACATGGGAGACAGAGTTATTACTCAAATCAATTGCCATGAAAATTTGAAGGCCAGGGCTTTTCAAGTATAGTTTGGCAGGCCCTGTTGGTGAGGGTTGGTGGGTCCAGGTAGACCCATTGGTCATCAGAAATGCAAAAACCTGAAAAGACATCTCAAAAGGTCATTCTTACATTCTACAATGATGATGTTATCTGCAGGAGTAATTGGAAAAGTTGCAAATCTGTGACCTCCGGAATAACAGCTGGTAATGTTTGCGTCTATCCCTTAGCCGAATTCAGGCTCCTCACAGCCTCCTAACCTAGTGGCCTTTCATAAGCTTTACCAAGGTGGTTTAGTTTTGGTCAAAGGCTATTATCATTTAAACTGTAAACTAAATGTCTCCCAAAGTTATCTTGGCCTAAGCCCAGGAATGATTAAGGGCAGTTTGAAGGTTAAAGGCAAGTTGAAGATTGGTTAGATCAGATCTCTTTCACTGTCATTTTCTCACTTAAAATTATTGCAAAGTGATTTCACAAACCCAACTTGATCAGTAATAGGTGTGCTCCTGTTGGTCTTTGGCTGGAGGGCATTGACAGAGGATTATTACAGCAGCTCCTGGCCAGTGCTACTTTAGAGCAGTGCCCTTCCATGAACAGCTGGTTCCCAGTCCAAGGCAAGTACAGAAATTAGGAGTTGTCAGAAGAATTGACAGCAATTTGACAAAGTAATTTTATGTCTGTTGGTTGGATCCAAAAATAGAACACTAGGCTTGTGTTTCCCTATGCCAGTTTAAATTTCATTTAGCTAGTAAGTTTTAATTGTATATTACAGATGACCTGCAGTAGATTAAAAAAGAAAGAAAGAGGCGGGGCGTGGTGGCTCACACCTGAGGACTTTGGGAGGCTGAGGCAGGTGGATCACCTGAGGTCAGGAGTTTGAGACCAGCCTGGCCAAAATGCAGAAACCTCGTCTCTACCAAAAATACAAAAATAGCCAGGCATGGTAGCACATGCCTGTAATCTCAGCTACTCGGGAGGCTGAGGCAGGAACCTGGGAGGCATAGGTTGCGGTGAGCCAAGATTGCGCCATTACATTCCAGCCTGGGCAACAAGAAAGAAAGAAAGAAAGAAAGAGAGAGAGGGAAGGAAAGCAAGCAAGCAAGCAAGCAAGCAAGCAAGAGGGAAGGAAGGAAGGAAGGAGAGAGAAAGAGAGAGAAAGAGGCTCCTCATCAGAAATAGTTTGAAAAGCAATGTTGTAAACCGTGTCCTAACACTATCCTATTCTCTAATGCTTTTCTTTCCAACACTGCTATTACATTAAGATTCTTAAAATTCTGCTTTTAATGTGTAACATTCTTCTCAAGCATCTTTAACATTACAATCTCCTCTGTTTTCTAGTTGAAGATGGAGAAAACTAATATATTTTGAGTACCTACCACATGCTATAAATTGTGCAAATCTAAATATACTCCAATACCCATGACTTTATTTTTTTAAATTGTGTTAAATAAATTTTATCGTGTATGTGTATTTAAGGCATACAACATAATGTTGTGGGATACATATAGATAGTAATATGGTTTCTATAGTGAGGCAAATTAACATATCCATCATCTCATGCAGTTACCCATTTGTGTGTGTGTATGTTCACGAGGAGCTAAAATCTACTCATTTAGCAGAATTCCTAAATAAAGTACAATTTTATTAACTATAGACTTCATGTTGTTCATTAGATATCTAGATTTGCTCATCCTACACATCTGCTACTTTGTAAACTCTAACCTACCTGTCTCCATTTCCTCCCTCCTCCCAACCCCTGCCCTTCCCCTGGTAACCACAACCACAGTTTTTTTTCTCTCTGTATATTTGACTTTTTTTTTTTTTAAGATTCCACATGTAAGTGAGATTTTCGCTGGTGGAGGGTGTCAATGCCTGAAGGGTTGAAGATCAGGAGCAATGACTGGATTACAGAATGAAGAGGACTTACTGAACAATTCGCTTCCAAAAGAAAAGGGAGAAGAAGAAATCCAAGAAGACATCAGCACTTTCACCTTTTATGTCTTCTAGGTTTGACAGGGGTCTGCTATTCCACCCTCAATTCAGGTGAGTCTGTTAGCAGCAGTGAATCTGAATCTGTTTGGGTCTGCAGCAACCTCAATTCTTGCCTCCCCAGAACAAAGAATTTGACTGAGGGGCATAAGGCATAAGGACAGATCAAGGCAAGTTTTAAAGCAGATGTGAAAGTGTATTTAAAAGTTTTAGAGCAGGAACAAAAGGAAGTAAAGTATACTTGGAAGAGGCCAAGCAGGTGACTTGAGAGATCAAGTGCGTGGTTTGACCCTCAACTTGGGGTCTTATACGTTGGCATTCCGCATGCGCAGTGACCTGCCAGCACTTGAGAGGGGCCGCTTGTGCACTGTGTTTACTGGAGTTGTACGCATGCTCACTTGAGGCATTCTTCCCTTACCAGTCGAGTGTTCCTAGAAGGTCTTACACCAGTTAAACTCTGCCATTTTGCTGCTTAGTGAACATGCGTGAACCTGCCCGCCCAACTCCATCGGGAAGATGCTGATCACCAGTTTCAGGTGTTTCTACCTATTGGGAGACTGCCTTTCCCTGGCGCTGGCTGCAACAAATTGTTATTTTGCAGAGGCAGTTTAACAACCGCCTGACCATCAACCTGATGGTTGCCAGACATTCCTGATGAAGGGGGGCCTCTCCGGCCCTGTTCATGTCTGCCTAGTTACCTACTGTAACAAGCCTTGGCTCCAGGTCATTTGTGCTTCTCAAGGAAGAAAACCAGAGTTTGCTTTGGTAAATGTCTCCATGGTAAAAGCCAACCTCTTTGACCTTTTTGTGTTTCTGCTTTCACTTACTTTTTAGCCTCTGAAAAATCCTAACTTCCTCATCGATTTACTGAAGTCTTCTTCATTAAATGTCATTTTATATTATACTTTCTCCAGTGTTTTTATGCATTTTCACTGTGGGGTCAGCCAAGAAAAATGACTCACTGACTGGTAGTTCTATTTACTGTTCATCTGGAATTTCACTGTTTTCATTTCAAAAATGTCTTCTTTATTTAGTGTGTTAAAGCAAACTAAACGTGGCCTGAGAAGGACTCCATACCTCTATATTTGAGTCCTTGTGGATGAACTGCTACCTAACTTAATAGGTAGGCAAGATTGAAAACCTAACTTAGGAGTTATGTTCCTGTAACAATCGCTGAGTCTTGGCCAATCCCAGCAGCCATGGCTCAACCAGTCGTTTACTGCTGAGTGTTCAAACTGTGTTCAAATAAGGCAAATGCTGAACTGTAACCAATCCAGCTGTTTCTGTACCTCACTTCCAATTTCTGTACATCACATTACATTTTTGTCTATAAATTTGTTCTGACCGCGAGGCACTCCTATGACAGAGGTACTGTCAGAGGTGCTTGAACCTGAGCAATTGTATCTTAAATAGGGGCTTGATAAGATAACGCTAAGACCTGCTAGCCTACATTCCCAGTAAGTTAAGGCATTCTTAGTCACAGGATGATACAGGAGGTCAGCACAAGATTCAGGTCATAAAGACCTTGCTAATAAAACAGGTTGCATGCAGTAAAGAAGCCTGCTAAATCCCACCAAAACCAAGATGGTGATGAGAGTGACCTCTGGTCATTCTCACTGCTACACTCCCACCAGCACCATGGCACTTTACAAATGCCGTGGGCATGTCAGGAAGTTACCCTACATGGTCTAAAAACAGGAGGCATGAATAATCCACCCCTTGTTTAACATATAATCAAGAAATAACCATAAAAATGGGCAACCAGAGGCCCTCGGGGCTGCTCTGTCTATGGAGTAGCCATTCTCTATTCCTTTACTTTCTTTGAATCTCTTTCGATTTAGGCTAGAAGTCCAATGCACTTATCCATCGCACCACAGAGCCTGCTTGCTATTCCTTTACTTTCTTAATAAACTTACTTTCACTTTGCCGTATGAATTTGCCTTGAATTCTTTCTTGTGTGAGATCCAAGAACCATCTCTGGAGTCTTGATCAGGACCCCATTCCGGTAACAGTACTATTATTTTCCTTATATTACAGTTGAAGAAATGGAAGTTCCAAGAAACTAAGGGACCTAGGCTTGTAGATAGAGGAGAGGACAGATTGAAGGTCATGCTGTCAGGTGGCACAGCAAATGTATAACCAGGAAGATATGCAGCCATGCATCTCTGGGGTCAGCACACACTTGTGTCTCTTGAAGTCATGGGTTTGGTTCCAGGGTGGCTGTTGTTTTTGGCAGCTGTATAGGACACTAAGGACACCCTTGTCAATTGAACTCTCCCTATTTTACCCAAGAGGAAATAAATTTGTGGTTTGTGCTCCACAATTAGAAGTGGCAGAAATAAGATCAGAAGCCTTACCTTCCAACTCTTATCAAGTGTTTATCCACCGTACTACACAGCTTCCTTAATCCTGAAGTCAGACATTTTATTGGTGTTTTATAAACTATCTGAGCAAACCGATGTGGGAGATACACAGATTGTATTATTTATATAGAAATCCAGCAAGCTGAAAATTGTTCTCACCCTGGGTCAGTTTGTTATTGTAACATTTACAATTTACAGCAAGCAATAAAACAAGATAATACAAAACAAAATAATCTGAACAATATGAACCCTGAACGAAGTAACAAATGTCCAGTTAGATTCTATTATAATGCCACCATTATTAGAGCCACTCCAGCTTTCTAGTATGCCAGAGGGCCATGTGAACTAACTGGTTCTACAAGAAAAAAAAAATGTTTTAAGTGTGAGTAAAACTTCCTCCATCTGCTAAGGCATACTGATCTTCTGTAAACAGGTACAATAAAATATAATATAAATAAAAGCCAAGGCTTCCCTGAATGAGAGTGTGAATTATCACCTCCCATTTTCAGCTCATCTCACCAGTCTCTTGTGTCTCAGGCACCAGCAAGCCACCTGTTGGTCCTTCCCAACAAGGCTATGCAGGAGGACAGGTCTCTGGATGACCTTGACCCACCCAGATTTCTTACAGAATGCACTGAGAATATGACATCCTGACATAAGGAAAAAGGCCCGGAACCACCGGGCTATATTCTGCAACACTTGAGCTCAGCAAGCCCCTTTGCACCCAGGATATAAAAGCCCAGGGTGGTGTGCTTTCGGTGTCCTTAGCTGTATTGTGACATGGGGTCTGTGCAGATAAGACTCCACCCCACTCTGGACGGCTTTCCTGAGCTCTGGAGGACCAGCTTGTCAGGGATCCTAGGCTTTGGTTTATCCTTGCTGCTTATCTGTGAGTATTAAATCTGTTTGCCTAACTTGGTATGTATGAGTGTTCTATCCCACCAGACTCATACAAGTGGTAGAGAACCTTTGCAGGCTAACCCTTATTAACAAGAGTGAAGATCAGGCCTTGAAACAGATTCAAATCCGGACACACTACCTCTAAGACTCGGGTACTCACATGTTCTAGCTAAGTATCTAAGTACTCCACTTAACCCACCTGCGATAAACTTGAGGTTACACAAGGAAGGAAACCTGCCATGTTCACTTTTGTCTCGCTACCACCTACCACAGCCCTAATGCATACTAGGAGGACAATACCTATCTTTGGAATGCTGTCACATTAGATAATAAAGGACTCAATGAGTTAATGGATGTCATGGTGACTAAAAATCAGGGATAGAATGGTTCACATGTAGCGTATTCCTCCTGTGGTCACAGACAATGTCTGTGTGGAAACATTAGAAGATTTCAGTTCATCTCAAACCCCAGATAAACCACTAGTGAGATATGGCTGATAAAAATGGCACAGCCTTAAGATTGACTTAACAGGAGTATGGTGCTCAGAAGAAAGAAGGTTAATAGGGGAGTCTTCACTCCTGTGTCACTTCCCAGGCATTCTAAATGCTGTGCTCAATCTAATGGGAGCTGGTCCTTCTTTTGTCCTTTCTCTTCACATTGTTTATCTTCCACTTCGAAGAAGGCTTTCCACCCCAACTTTTCTCTCTCTACCATCCTTCTTGGAGTTCTTTCTGGTTCCACAATAACAGTCCCCACACTCTCAACTTATATCTGTTTCCCTGGAATCCCTATTACAATGCTATAGCACTTACCTTTTTGCTTAATCTTTTAGCTATTTATATACACATCTTCTTCAACACTGCAAAGCACTGCTCAAAAGAAAGCAATTTTCATTATCTTTTGTTAGATTTGCTCCATGTATGTTTTATATCTATTACTTCTCTTTGCATCATTAGATTGTAACCTCTGCATTTCTTTGTAAATTACATGTTGCCCCTAGCTAGTTGTTCTGAACAAAGAACAAATGTTGCTAATCTGGTGATCTACAAGCCATAATAAGAGGAAGCTGACATGTTAGAAAGGAACAAGAACATACACTCCAAGACAGGAATGAGGTTTTGAAACATCCCTTAGTATATAACTACATACATGTATTTTCTAGTTACATTATTTTCATGTCCACAACTTGGTAAGCAACTCAGGATATAAGCAGATAATTCCCGGAAAGGAAATAAAAATGGCTAATAAACATAGGCAAAGATGTTCCATCTCAGTGATTAAGAAGGGAAGTTCAAATTAAACAAAATGAGACACCGTCATTTGCCCATCACATTGCCAAAAAGTATCATCACATTTATGTTAGTAAAAATCAGAAATAACTGAAATATCTGTCAAAAGTGAAATGCTAAAATGAATTACATCCATGCTCTGAATACTTCGTAGCCATCACAATGAAACATATACATTTGTGTATACATATGGAAAAATGATTATGACATACTGTCAAATTTTTTAAAAGCAAGTTGAAAAGCATGTATTTTCGGGAAAAACCCATATGTTCTATGTTTCTATGTTCATATAAATACATATTCAAATATCTACGTAATTGTAGGTGCAAAACCTAAAACTAAAACAAAGACACAAACAGAAACAAAGGTCTGGAAAGAAAAACACTCAAGTGCTAACTGTGGTTACCCCTAGGGAAGTAAAACAGGAAGGATTTTTTCTTTTTATTTTAGATACTTCTGTGCATTTTTTTGTTCAAAACTAAAGTAATACTTTTGACTTTCTTTGAAACGAAAAATAAAACCAATAAAATTTGTAGTCATAAAAGTAGTTATAAAATGTTTTAACTATTCTAGACAACAGTGACCCAACTTCAGGAACTGCCTGCATGAGTAGTCTAAGTATTCTTTATAACTCTATGCTTGCAAAATTATTTACACATATTTGTGTCAGTTACAGAAATCTGAAGCCCTATGTGGTAGCCTAGAAGAGTTGTTTCTATATTGCAGATGAGGCAAGAAAGAAACAAAAAGAAAACAAAATTTAATACTTTATAAATTGACAACCCAGGGACAGGGCCCTCAGAAATAATTTACCTGATTCTTGTTTTATGTTAGGGATCAGACATTCAAATGCAAGTATTAGAAATTAAGAAGCCAGCTGGGAATAAAACAATACGGAGAGTACAGAGAGTTCAAATACTGCATAAAGGGAGCAGCCATTTCATAACTCCTGTTGAAAGGATCGGTCTGGTATTACCAGATTGTTCAATGTTTCCAGAGAAACCAGGAATCAGAATTTTTATATCGATACTCTCGGGTTTTAAATTTTAGCAACCAAGTTTTTAAAATCCTAAATGCTGTGTTGATAAACACTGTGAAAGCCACACAAAACTTAACTCCCGGCTGGATGTGGCCTGCAGCCTCCTGTTTGCTATTTTGGGTTTTCCCATCTTTGAAGCATTCTAGTGGACAAATTCTAACACAAAAGTCCCCAACCTTTTTGGCACCAGGGACCAGTTTTGTGGAAGACAATTTTTCCATGGAGAGGTGGGGGATGGTTTCAGGATGAAACTGTTCCACCTCAAATCAGGCATTAGATGCTCATAAGGAGTGCACAACCTAGATCCCTCATGTGTGCAGTTCACAATAGGGTTCGTGCTCCTATGAGAAGGTAATGCTGCAGCTGATCTGACAGGAGGCAGAGTTCAGGCGGTAATGGCTCGCCCACTGCCACCTCCTGCTGCGCCGCCCGGTTCCTGACAGGCCACGAACAGGTAATGGTCTGCGACCCAGGGACTGCGGACCCCTATTTTAACACATCCTTCAAGACTCAGATCAATTCCCTCTTCTTACAGTAGCCCTTTGCCTGTGGTATTATAGACTATTAGAATTCAAAGGCAGGTGGATTGCCTGAGCTCAGGAGTTCAAGATCAGCCTGGGCAACATGGCGAAACCCCATGTCTACCAATAATTATATATATATATTAGAGTTCAAAGATATTTCAGAAATATCTTATTAAATCTCTCATTTGTTGTAGTAAGATATATAACATAAAATTTGCCATATTAACCAATTTTAAGTACACAATTTAGTGGCATTAATTACAGATGCAATGTTGTGCAACCACCACCACTAGCTATTTCCAAAAATTTTCTGTCACTCCAAACAGAAGCTCTGTACCCATTAAACAATAACTTCAATTATTGCCTCCCCCAGTCCCAGACAACTTCTAATCTACTTTGTTTCTGACTTTGCTTATTCTAGGCACCTAACATAAATGGAATGATTCAATATATTTCCTTTTGTGTCTGGCTTATTTCAGTTAGCATAATGTTTTCGAGGTTCATCCATGTTGTAGCATGTATCAGAACATCATTTTTTCATGGCTCATTAATATCCCATTATATGTGAATACCACAATATCACATTTTCTTTCTTTTTTTTTTTTTTTGAGACGGAGTCTTGCTCTGTTGCCCAGGCTGGAGTGCAGTGGCGCGATCTCAGCTCACTGCAAGTTCCACCTCCCGGGTTCACGCCATTCTCCTGCCTCAGCCTCCCAAGTAGCTGGGACTATAGGCACCCACCATCACACCCAACTAATTTTTTGTATTTTTAGTTGAGATGGCGTTTCACTGTGTTAGACAGGATGGTCTCGATCTCCTGACCTCATGATCCACCCGCCTCAGCCTCCCAAAGTGCTGGGATTACAGACGTGAGCCACTGCGACCGGCCCACATTTTCTTTATCCGTTCATCTTCTGATGGACAATTGAGTTGTTTTTACCTTTTGGAGATTGTGGGTCACGCTTAAAACATTTGTGTACAAGTATGTGTTTGAATCTCTGCTTTTGATTCTATACCTACGAGAATTACTGGGCAGGGTATACTGGGTATACTGGGTATTACTGGGTAATGTATACTGGGTAATTCTATATTTAACTTTTTGAGGAACAACCAAACTGTTTTCATAGTGACTGTACATTTTACATTCCCATCATCAATGTATGTAAAATGCTCATTTTTAAGACGAAGAACCCATGGGCAACGCCAGTGAGACAGCTCAATCATAGACACAGGAAGTCAGCTGCAATGCACAGCTGACATCAGAAACCAGGTATCTTGACTCTCAGTGTAGACACAGCCCTCTTTCCAAGGTTAAATCCATTAAAATTTAAACCAGATGATTAGGCAAATGGCTGGAATGTTTACGCAAAGACCTGGTCGCTACAAATAGATCACTTGATATGTTTAGAAGAAAGAATTTGAGTAAGTTCTAGACTTTTTTCTCCATCATGGAATATGGTTTTCTTTTACCCTTTTCTTCCTCAGGCCTAGGCTCTAAAAGTAGATTAGATCATATTTGTTTTTAGCCTCGTATCTTATTGTAGGATAGTCAGAAAATGTCTTTTATCATTATTAGAACTATAATTCTAAAATAACAGCTTAAAAAATTCCTTGAAATGTCATACATATTATTTCAGAAAAGCTGAAAAACTCAGAAAAGTAGAAAGGAAAAAAAAAAGATCACTCAGAGAATGGTCAACCAGAAATATGACTATTAATCTTTACCTTTTTTCCAGACTTTTTTTTTCTAGGAATGGTATTTTTGTTTGGTATATATTATTGGAATTATAAAATCTTAAAGCTTACGGCAATTATTACGTTTTGGGGTGAAGTTTAAAAATCAAATAAGGAAAAATAGATATTAAGTTCTACATTTAGTTAGTACTTCTTCCTACCAACTTACAGCCCTCACAGTCTGGTGACAGTTTTGGTGGAGTGCTATTACTTACTTGCCCACGTGGAAATGGGTCATTTACTTAAATATAACACCTGCAGGGACATGGCCACACATTATACTATTTTGCTTTTTCTTCCATGCCTTATACAATGCTGCACATACAATAGATGCTCAGAAAAAAGCTTTTGGATGATTTTTATTGATTTCATGCCATTATTAAGGTTAATACCCTCAGAATCTCCATAGGCAGTAGTAGCCCAACCCAGGCCCTGCAGGGCCCAGTCTTGGCGACTTTCACATTCCAAGAAACTTGGTTTAGAAATCAAAGGTAATTTAAAAGTTATTTGAATCTTTACTGTCATTGCTTGAAGAATATTAAAAAGAATTCAACTTGTAACCTATAATGGTAGTCTTAAATCCTCCTTGGCCCCATTCTTCTTCTTTTTTTCCCCCCTTTTCTTTTTTCCCTTCATTCCTCTTGCTTCAGTATGTCCATGGCTGACTTAAAGCCCCCCTCTCAAAATCTCTGCCAAAATTCTCTCCGAACTTGATTCCTTGTGATTCTTGGTTTTGCTTTTCATCCCCCTTCCTTTGGCTTCTATTCCTTCTTTCTTCCCACCAGGAAATCACAGCCCTTGGCATCATCTTGGCACTCACACTTGTTTCTTCACTCAGCCCTTTTCTCCTTGGTCACTGATTCTGCTCCATGAGCAGTCAGAAATGGAGCTGGCAAGCTCAGCCTCTCAGCTGGAGACACTGGAGTCAGGGCTGAAGGGAGGAGAGAGGAGAAGATCACAAAAGCTTATCATCTAAAGTCCTTTCTTTTATTCTCATTACACAGTGAAATTCTAATATATTTACTTATTGGGGGTGGGCTACATGAAAGGTATCTGGAAAAAATATGTGGCAATTATAAGGGTAAAATGACAAAATTTTCTTTGAGGAGGGAGAACACTGCCTACCCATCCTCCCCTCTTTAGGGTGTCACCCTGACAACATAATAGTTCTGACCTTTTGATTTTACATGCAAGGTCATGGGCCTTCTGACCTTTGAAACTGTCAACACTTACCTCTGGGATTTTGCTGAGGTTTCTCATCGGTACAACGATGGGTGTAATGAGACATCACACAGTACATCCTTTTGTCTCTCATAGAAATAAGAGGTTTCAGGCCAGGCGTGGTGGCTCACACCTGTAATCCCAGCACTTTGGGAGGCCGAGGTGGGCAGATCATGAGGTCAAGAGATCAAGACCATCCTGGTCAACATGGTGAAAACCAGTCTCTACTAAAAATATAAAAATTAGCTGGGCATGGTGGCGGGCCTGCAGTCCCAGCTACTCAGGAGGCTGAGGCAGGAGAATTGCTTGAACCTGGGAGGCGGAGGTTGCAGTGAGCAAAGATTGCGCCACTGCACTCCAGCCTGGGTGACAGAGCGAGACTCCGCATTAAAAAAAAAAAAAAAAAAAAAAGGAGGCAAAAGGCAAAGTATACCTGGTATATGACCACTAGACTGGTAAGGGAAAAATGCCACAAGTGAGCGTGCATACAACTCCAGTAAACACAGTGCACATGCGGCCCCCCTCAAAAGCCAGTAGGCCACCGCACAGGCAGACAACCCCCACAAGGGAAGAAAAAAGGGAGAAGTAATGCAGACCCCAAAAGAATGCCAACATATAAAACTCCAAATCAATGGTCAAACAGTACACTTGATCTCTCAAGTTGCCCACTTGGCCGTCTTCCAAGTGTACTTTATTTTCTCTCATTCCTGCTCTAAAGCTTTTGAATAAACTTTCACTCCTGCTCCAAAATTTGCCTCATTCTCTCACTCTGTCTTATGCCCCTCGGTCAAATTCTTTCTTCTGAGGAGGCAAGAGTTGAGGCTGCCGCAGACCCATACGGATTCACCACTGCTAACACAAGTAATACTCAAAATGCAGTATTCCTGGGTGAGAGCAAACTTAGGGATCATCCAATAGCGCTTACTTCCCTCTTGACCCATGTAGATACCAACAGATGATCACTGAAATATTGTATTCAATTTGGCTAACTCTGTATGCGTTCCTGATGAAGGTTGCTATAAGAGATTCAGAAATGACAGAAGGACAGTAGGACAGAATTCAAAAAGTGTGGGTTAGTATTCCAGGATATGGGATGTGAAGCTACCACTCACCCAGTTGCTCAAGCCACAAACCTAAGAGGCTTAATTTCTCTTTCCCTCAGCCATCATATCCAATTGACTCTACTCTCAATCCACATCCTAAATCCATTCACTTCTTCCATTGTCACCACTTCTACCCTAGTTCAAGCCCCCAACAATAGCCTCATAACTGGTCTGTTTCTACTCTTGTTCCTCCACAGAAGCTGGTGTGATGTTTTTAAAAATATATAAAGCACAAGATGACTTGCCAACTCTCAAATGGCTTCTCATCACATTTTGTTTTGTTGTTCTTGTTCTTTCCATACATCATATTTAAAATAAAATCTAAATTCCTCATCTGAAAAGGCCCAGATCTTCCCTTGTACCTCTCTGTTCTTATTCACTGAGCTTCAGGCACATTGGCTTTCTTTTTATTCCCCCAACACACTATGCTGGTTGAAATGTACTTCCCCCTTGTTTTCACATGGCTCCTTCTAAGGACTCAGTTTAACTGTTACCTACTACAGAGGACTTCCCTGACTGCTTATTCTGAAGTCACCACCCAGTTGTTCATCACATCAGTGTGTTTTCTCAGCACTTATTTCTAGTTGTTTCTTGTGTGTGTATATGTGTGTGTATTTGTGTGTTCAACTGCTCAATTTTTGTTGAATGAATGGACTGGTAAGCCCTACTTCTCCAATTTTTTAGATGAGCAACAGAAAATATTGAGCAGGGGTTAAGACTAACAACTTTCATCTTTTTTTTAACCTTCTCCACAACAGCAGTTTTATCTTTTGTCAATTTCTCTGTCATTATTAGCAATGAAACTTTCCCTATGGAAAGTGGTTAGGTTCAGAGGCAGCAAAGAGGAATGGCCTGGAGACTTGCAACTCACTCCATATGTAGACTTGAAGAAATAAGAACACCAAAGGATCGGGGTGGAGAGCAGTGGCTTTAAACAGAGAAATAAAATAGGCTGAGTTCCTATAGCCTCCTACAGAGAAGACACAAAAAAAGTCAAAGTAGGAGCTGATAAATAACGGGATTTAATTAACACTGGAAAGGCCCATGAGGCTTCCCTACATGCTCCCTACAAAACCTCTGAACTCACATCTCTCCTCTTCCTACTGTCCTCAGAGCACAACATAATCCTGCCTAGAACTGACACTGAAAACTCACATCACCACCTCTCATCTGGCCAAATCCTTCAGATTCAGACAAAGCTCCCCCACTCCCTTTCTGAGAAGTCACCCTTACAAACTTCAGTCCACACAGAACTCTCTCTTTCTGATCTCGTTTCAAGAGGAAAATCCAATTGCATCAGAGTTCATTGTTCTCTGCTTATTTTTTTGTTTTGTTTGTTTGCTTGCTTTTGGAGACAGAATATCATCATCACTCAGGCTGGAGTACAGTGGCGCAATACTGCTCACTGCAGGCTTGACCTCCCAGGCTCAAGTGATCCTCCCACCTCAGCCTCCTGAGTAGTTGGGACCACAGGCACACACCACCATGCCCGGCTAATTTTTTATTTTTTGTAGAGATGAGATCTTGCTATGTTGCCCAGGCTGCTCTTAAACTCCTGGGCTCTTGTAATCCTCTCAAGTAATCCTCTTGACTCAGAATCCCAAAGTGCTAGGATTATAGGCGTCAGCCACCATGCCTGGCCTGTTTGCTTTATCTTTGCCTTTACTTGTTTTATTTTCACTTTTGCTCATCTGAATCTAAGAATCCTGTAAGTGTTGAACACAAAATACTCAATAAATTTTTTTTGATTAATTATATAGATTCACACTCTGTCTGCAGTTTCTACTGTAAAGGAGGAGACAAGAAGGAAAAAACCTAAAGGTGAGGGAAGAAGAAAGTGCAAGAAAAATTGGGGCTCTAGAATACAAGGGAAAGGAAGCAGAGGTGCAGGAATGGGGAAGATACCCAGCAAATGAGCTTTCATTGTGAAGACTTAATCACAGTTTATAACATGTTGTCAATCTGCTAAAATGGAAGTTGACAGGAAATTGGCAGAAACAGAGAAATGGACACAGGCCAATTTACTCTCTTTTGTTAAATCTCTCCAGTGCCTTGCCTTATTTGCAACTACTTCAGTCTCAAAGCCAGGCAGATTCTGGTTCTTTCCTTATGCAAATATTGATTATTAACAGACTAATTCATACATAGCTAGAAGATAATTATCTGTGCACATTAAGCCAGATGAGCCATCCTCTATCACCTGCTTCTTTTTAAAAATGAATCAAAATTTACTGTGGGATATAAGTAAATCTCACTGAGAAAACATGAAATCTCTCTATCTTTTTACAATCATAACAAAAGCAGCTTTTACCATTCATTTTTAGAAACCAACTCACATTTTTTCCCTTAACAACATGTGTAAATTTATTGTTCTATTTTTGGGGGTGGGGGTGTACTTTTTTTCAATTGTGGTTATATATACATAAAATGTATCATCTTAGCCATTTTTACATGTACAGCTCAGTAGTATTATGTACATTCAAACTGTGTGTAACCATCGGCCCCCATCCATCTTCATAACTCTTTTTGTCTTGCAAAATTAAATGAAAACTCTGTACCCATTAAACAAAGCTCCCCATTCTTCTCTCCCCAGCCTTTGGTAGCCACCATTCTATAATACTTTCCGTCTCTATGGGTAGAAACCAACTAACTTGTAAAGGACTCACTAGTGTCTATCATTTTGTGAGGCAGATAGACTTGTGTTATTCTCTATTGTTTCCCAGCACCTAGCATAATGTCTGGTACATGTCATGTGTTCAATAAATGTTTGCACACTGACTAAGTGAATGAATGATAGTTCCAACTCCTGGTCCGCCCTCAAGTGACCATAAGTTAAAGACTCAGACATACAGGAAATACAGGTTGGATGCAAAGAGAATATTATTGATGGAGAAGGACACCAGCATTTTGCTGCTCTATTTGTCTCCACCCAAAATTCATTCCACAAATATAAACTGAATGCTTCTATATGATGGAAGTGCATTAGAGCCTCAAATACAAAGATGAACACATAGACTGTGCCTCCAATGTGTGCTTTCCCACGACCACTTCATAGCATTGATTACACTCTAGTATAATCGTGTATGTACCTGCCCTGCCACTATACTGTAAGCTCTGGCTAGGACATTGTCCATCATATAGTAAGCACTCAATAAATAGTTGGCGAATCATCTAATGGAGACTGTAGCCCACTGTGGGGAAAAAGACCCACAATCATACAAAGTCAGGATCCTTAGCTGTACGAAAGAAAAGCTGCTGACTCTTGCTGATATAGCAGAAAAGGATTATATTGAAGATATTGGGTAGTTCTCAGGTGTGTTGGAAGGTGTAGAGATTCAGGACTGGGGCCATTCCTCTGGGAATAATGCACAAAACCACTGCAGAACTAGCCCAGCAAGAAAACTATCACCATTGCAGCTCTCTGTCAATACCACTATTACATCAGAAACTCCATGTTGCAACCACTGAGAAACTAACGTCAC
The DNA here is from genome assembly GCF_000001405.40 of Homo sapiens. Lineage (NCBI taxonomy): Eukaryota > Metazoa > Chordata > Mammalia > Primates > Hominidae > Homo > Homo sapiens. The sequence continues at coordinate 102,456,572 of NC_000011.10, read as the reverse complement.
TGCTAGTGCTGCCAACTAAGGCAGCCGCCTGGCTATTAGGGCAATTCATACCAGCAAGGCAAGGAGCTCCATAATGAGCCACTTTCCTCTGGTTGCTTATACCTGAATTTAAGTTTGATATGGATGAGCCTGACTGGCAAAGCCTAGGTTATATTCTTGAACCCAGTTGTAATGGAGGCTGGGAAACTGAGTTCTAAATAAAAGAAAGTAGGCTGGGTGCGGTCGCTCACACCTGTAATCCCAACACTTTGAAAGGCCAAGGCAGGTGGATCACTTTACTTCAGGAGTTCAAAAACAGCCTGGCCAACATGGGAAACCCCATCTCTACTAAAAATACAAAAGTTAGCAAGGCATGGTGGCACATGCCTGTAGTCCCAGCTACTCAGGAGGCTGAGGCACGAGAATCGCGTGAACTTGGGAGGCGGAGGTTGCAGTGAGGTGACATTGTGCCCCTGCACTCCATCCCGGGCGACAGAGCAAGACTCTGTCTCAAAAAAAAAAAAAAAAAGGAAGTGATTCGTATGACATGAATCCAGTAGCAATATGCGATAGGCACTTGGCCAAAATATGCATTCACTTTTTTATTCTCATGGAACTTGTATTTTTGTAGGACAGACAAAAAATAAACACATAAATGAACATAATGATGGATAGCACTGGATGCCACAAAAAGAAACAGAGCTGTAAACTAGGGTATTCAAGAAGGGCTTTTCTCAGATGAGCAGTGTTGAAGGATGTGAGGAAGCAGCAAGTACAGAGGCTCCGGGATGGAAACTGACTTGACATTTCTAAAGTGCTGCAAGGAGGCTGGAGCTGAGAAGTGAAGGAGAGGGTAGAAAATGAGGTGGTAAGGGCAGCCATGGACCATGTCACGTAGGCCTTGCAGGCCATGGTTTCAGACTTTGTTAAGTGGCAAGGGAATGGCATAATCTGACATGTTTTAAAAGAATCACACTGGCTGCTATGTGGAGAATATTTTATAGAGAACAAGGTTAGAGACCCAGTTGATCAATGTATGAGCAGAGGGATCCAAGCACTAAAATCTGCCCAGATGGGTGGGGAGATGGGATATGAAGGGAATCTTGAGAGAGGAGTAGAAACTGCCTAAGAGAAAAGGTTAGAGGGCATCTTGGGCAAAGGGAAGAACAGGAGCAAGAACACAGGGGCGTGGAAGGCCCCAGCATATTTGGAAAACTTTGAGTGCTCTAGTGAGGTTACAGAGAGGGATCCAGACATGAGGCTGGAAAGGAGGAGAGACCTAAATGGCCAAGGGCTGTTCTTTTAACTTTTCACATCACCAAAGTAAAATGTTGGTACAGTGATGGGGGCTGAACCTGAGGCATAACTGGGGCTACAACTTCTCTGGGAGGCTAGTCCTCCCAATAGAGTTTCCAAGAGAGCAGGAAGGCCACACAGTTCCTTGCTCTTTCCCCTCTCCTCAGACTAGAAAAAACATGGGCAATCCACAGTACTGAGCTGTTAGTATCAAAGATGGGCACACCCACTCACTGTGGTGTGGCAATCAGATAGCAGAGATCTGAAGGTGTCTCCAACAGGTCAGTACCCGGGAAAAACTGTCCAAGTAAATAAATATCTTGTTCTCCACACTGTCTTAGTCCGTTTCTGCTGCTATAACACAAATACCTTAAATGGGATACTTTATCAACAAATTTATAAACAATAGAAATCTATTTGTCCCAGTTCTGGAGGCTGGGAAGTTGACAGAGCAAGGCCTCAACAGATTTGGTGTCTGGTGAGGGCCCTCTGCCTCACAGATGGCGTCTTCCTGCTGTGCCCTCACAGTACAGAAGGGTGAAACAAGTTCCCTCAGGCCTCCTTTACAAGGGCACTAATCCCATTCATTAGCAACCAAATCACCTCCGGAAAGCCTCACATCTTTTTTTTTTTCTCTTGAGACAAGTCTCACTCTGTCTCCCAGGCTGGAGTGCAGTGGCGTGATCTCGGCTCACTGTAACCTCCACCTCCCAGGTTCAAGCGATTCCTGTGCCTCAGCCTCCCAGCTACTCGGGAGCCTCCCGAGTAGCTGGGATTATAGGCACGTCCCACCACGCCCAGATAATTGTATTTTTAGTAGAGGCGGGGTTTCACCATGTTGGTCAGGCTGGTCTTCAACTCCTGACCTCAAACGATCTACCCTTCTCAGCCTCCCAAAGTGCTGGGATTACAGGCATGAGCCACTATGCCCACCCAAGTCCCACATCTTATTATCATCACCTTGAGGATTAGGTTTCAACACATGAATGTGGTGGGGATATAAACATCCAGACCTCTTATTCCACCCCAGATTCCCAGGCTATAAGTACACTGAGCCTTAAAGGAAGTATTAGCTGTGGGTTGGTGAAGAGAATTCCAGAAGGAAAGAACAACGTATGCAAATGCCAGGAACCAGAAAGCACCCTTCTCCATGGGCAACAGAACCAAGGCTGGAAAGACAGGTTGGGCCTAGATTGGGAAATGCTTGGATAATGGGGTAGTCACCAGAACGGTTTATTCCTAAACCAGATTCCCCAGTTAAATAGAATAACCAAAATCGAAATGTGCAATGCTTGCTTTTTGTCCATGATAAGCTGCAGGGGAAACATTTGCAGGTTGGCTGACTGAATCCACAGATGGAAGTCTCTGTAAATTTAGGACAGATTGTCTCAGTTAATCTCTAGGACCAGTCAGACCTCTGTAATGATGGATTTGCCTGACATGAGAAAGTTCTACCTCTCATAACACAGTTTTCAAAAGTTAACTGCAATGTGGCCTTTATGTGATGAAATCTGGCTCAGGTGCCAAAGATCTGCAACATTAAGACCTTTGCAGGTGGGGATTCACTGTGATTTTAGGTTCCTTGGATCCTTCAGTCTTCTACTTCAGCTGAGGGTTCCCACCCAAGCCAGGACTCAGCCTTTGTTATTCTCATGCATTAGCCACAGGTAGCTATGTCACTTCAGAGTTCTGAGCACGATGAAAATGCAGACTTTACAAGCACTTCAAGTCAAGACAAGTGATTAGCATTGGCTCCAAGGGTTTAAAAGGAACTCAGCCAAAAACTGTTCAAAACTGGCCATTTCATCTGAACTGGGACAGCAGGGCACAAGGAGAGAAAAGGCTGGTTGGATTAATGCAGCCCCCGCTTTCCATGGCTCTACTGTATTTCACTGAGAGTTGCTACCAACTCCTGCGCGCGCCCCCACCCGCCCACTCCACTAATCTCGTGTCTTAATCAGAGATACAGGGAACCCGTGGAGAAGATGAAGTACAACTGGGATAAGAAGATCGTAGGTGTTTTACGTTTGAATTTAAGCAACAAATCTGTCGAGCTGTTTTTCTCCACTTCCCCCTTAGGCTGGGTCACGCGAGGGGAAAGCTCCGACCGCCCAGGACTCCTTAGAGTGAATCCCATCCCCTCAAGTTCCTCTCCAGAATCTCCCCCTCCTCCCGCCTTTGCCCTGCAACTCCTCCCTCTCACTCTGAGTCGCACGCACCCCTGTCCCCTCCCTGCCCGCAAAACTACTCTTCAAAGGCTTCCTTCCGGGCACCGCGAAGCCAGCGTGCTCAGCATTCAGGGAGGCAGCGGCGCTCGCCTTCATCCAGGACAACAAAACTGCCATTTCCGAAGAGAAAGGAAACGGCTCGCGGTTTCTGGGGTTCCCAAGCGCGCGCCTGCGAGGGAGGCCGCGAGCCGAGTCGCCACGCCCAGAACCCCGAGCCCGCCCCCGCGCCACCCAGCCCGGCCCCGCCGCCCCGGCTGCGCACGCGACGCCCCCTCCAGGCCCCGCTCCTGCGCCCTATTTGGTCATTCGGGGGGCAAGCGGCGGGAGGGGAAACGTGCGCGGCCGAAGGGGAAGCGGAGCCGGCGCCGGCTGCGCAGAGGAGCCGCTCTCGCCGCCGCCACCTCGGCTGGGAGCCCACGAGGCTGCCGCATCCTGCCCTCGGAACAATGGGACTCGGCGCGCGAGGTGCTTGGGCCGCGCTGCTCCTGGGGACGCTGCAGGTGCTAGCGCTGCTGGGGGCCGCCCATGAAAGCGCAGCCATGGCGGGTAAGTGGCTGCGGGGGTCGTCAGCCCCGTTCGTGGGAGGCAGCGCGCTGCCGAGGCTTGGGTTCCCAAGTTGGGCTCTGGTACAGAAAGTTCCGCGTGTGTCTGGCCGAACGCTCGGGGCGGACCCAGAGGTGACCGGGCGGGGTGGGGGAAACTGAGGTTTGGACCAGTCACCCGCTGGCCCCGGGGCCGCCTGCTGAGGAAATTGCCTGGTGCTTCCCCTCTCGCTTTTTGGATGCGGCGGTCGCAGGCCGGGACGGGTGCGCATAACCTGTTGAGTTACCGCAAGTTGGTTTTTACAGCCTTTCCCTGAAGTTAATGTTTGCCGAGGTTAGAGTTTCTAAGGCTTCCGTTTGTAAACAAGATTAGCTGAGTTGAAAAATATGTCTACCTAGGCCCGCGGAAACGTCTCCCAGTTAGTCGGGGAGCTTTTCAAGCGTCCCCCAGGCATTTCAGCGTCTAATATTATGCAGTATTATCCAGATGAATTACAATCTTTAGGTCCCCCTGACGCTCGAAGTTAGACTTCGGGGCTCTTGGAGCTAGTTGGGAGCTTTTGGGGAGCGCGCCCCGCCCTCGCGGTAGTTGAGGCGGCCGCCCCCATGGCGGGGCGCTCTCCACCCCTCGTGTGCCATAAACACCCGGCCGAGGCGCGCGGCAGCTGCGCAGCGTTAAGGGCACAGCTGCACGGTCGCCGGTGGCCCTTGTCGTCGCTAGTAAGGTCGTAACAGGATGATGTTGACTTTGCTTTTCTGTGTAGGGCGGAATTTGTTTCGTTTTAGGCCCTTGGCCCTTTGGAGACTTCAAACAGCCCTTTTTGGATGAAACCAGGAAGTTGGGATTTGTTGTGTAAATACTGTTTTCCTTTGTCAACTGTTAGAGAAGTCAGGTCCCTAGGTAATGGTCAGTAAACTAGGATAAGTTAAGTAACCCAAGGTTTTCATGGTTTTAAGTTCTATCCATCCACTGTATATGTTAGCCTTAGGTTCGTTTTATCCAGCAAAAGAAAAAGGCAGTTTGTAAATCTGGAAGGTTCAGGCACAACACTTGCTTTTTCTGGAATAACCTGGGTGAATTAACAATTTTTCTTTGTTTTGCTGAAGTTTTTTTGTTTGCTTAATTGTGCGTGTGACAAACTGGCTTCGCAGACCTAATTTTGAGATCATTTAAGAAAAAAAGTGGTAAAATCATGTCCATCGTGTATCTTGGTCCTAATTTTATACCAATTATCTCATGAGGTGAGGTCTCCATTTTTAAAAATTTGTTGCTGTGTTTGTGAAGATAAGCCTTACTGTTTCAATGAATTACCGATTAGAGAAACTGTGAGTGACCATGCTTTTCTTTCTTTTGCCCTGATAACACAGATTTTTTTTGCCCTATTTTAGCACTGTTTGTTCTGTTTATTACTTAATGTCTTACTAGAGGTTAGTCCCATTTGCAAAACTTGAAATGCTCTACAGTAGGCGAGCCCTGAATTCATAAACTAGTATAACCAACCAGAGGTGGAATCTGTTTCTACAGACTATATAATGTCACCTTGCAACTAGACTAAAAGGTATACAATAGAAGATTTCTCAAAAAAGCTAGTAACTGTTAATCGTAGTCTTCATGTATAGTGTAATCTGTATACAATGTCATTACGAAGTATAGTGATTTTTAGCCATCATACTAAAACTCTTAATGGCTGATTTTTACTGGGTACATATTCTGTGCATCCCACGCTATGCTAATTTAGGTCCATAAATCATCCCATTGAATCCTCACAGTATCGTCCCCATTTTATAGATAAGTAAGCTAATTTATGGCAAGTAAAACAATTAATACATGTTTGGTTTCAGATCAAAATCCAAATTTTCAATTAACCATTTCACCACTAAGCCGCGTTAGATGATGATGGCTCTTGAAGTAGATAATACTTTTATTCCACAGTATTACCATTGCCTAGAATATTGTGGGAGAAGATAAAAACATTATTGAAATTCTGCTTTTAAAATATTCTTCACAGTCAGCTGCATAGCTTTATAAATATCAGTTGAAGGAGGAGGGAGACTATGAGCAAGTTTGCAAATCAGCAAACAGGATTTATTGTAGTATTCCAATGAATGACATTAACATTAACAGGATGGGAGGGGCGGCTGTTAGTCATTACTCTTAGTGGCAAGTGACAGAAACCCACCTTGAACAACTGTGGAAAGAAGGGACTTTTTTGACTTGTAACTGAAAAGTGCAAGGATTGAGGTGGCTTGAAAATGGCTGTATTCAAGTGTTCAAATAAGTCGCCAAGAAATTAAGAAATCATCGCGTTAAGAGCGACAATAGCAGGGAAACAAAAACAGGCTGTTGTGTTAGCCCAGCCAAAAGATGATGGTGAGTGGCAATGGAGATAAAAGGGTGGATTCTAGATCTATGGGGGGTTGGGACTAATCACTTGCTGATGGATTGGAGGGTGGGATGAGGAAGAGAGAAGAATCAAAGGATGACCTCTTGGTTTTGGGGTTGAGCAGCTGGTAATGCAACAATTGGGAAGGTTGGGGGAGGAGCAGGTTTATAGTAGAAAATCAGTAGTTCCATTTTGGCACTCATATCTGCAGGCTTAGGAATCAAACTATCTGGTCCAATTCCAGTCTCTGCCACTTTGTATCTGGGCGGCCTTCTCTGGGCCTCAGTTCTTGTCTGCAAAACAATACTCCTAAGAATTGTTGAGAGGGTTAGATGAGCTAATGCACATAACCCTGGCTTGTGGTAAGCACCTAATAATGTTGGCAATTGTTTGCTATCTGCTGCTAAATACATCTACGTAGTCTGTTGACCTTGATCTTTTTCAAGTTAATCTTACACTGTATCCTTTTGTGATAAATAGATGATAGTCCCATCAAGAAGAAGAAATTCTCACAAAGAAGAAATTTGCCCAAGAAGTAAAGATAAATCCTTCAAAGTTACTGCTTTTCTTTGTACTTGGAGGATTTTTTTTTAAGTGGGGGAGAGTTCATCTTTGTGAAAAGGACACAATAATACACTTGCTCTCTCCCTATGTGTTATACATATTTAATCTTCATTAGACAAAGACTCAAAACGAATAAAGCACTCTGAAAAGTTGCTTAATTGGGACATAGAAATCTCTTACATTTTTTCCAAATCTAAAGGTGTACTAATTTAAAAATTAAAACCCTACTGAGAAGGTGCAGTTAAATAAGAAAATCCTATTTTATCCCTCCATTGTATGAAATTAGGGGTGTTGGTTGGGTGGTGCAAGACCTAGAGATGCCTGTGAGTAGAATCGGCCTCTCCTGAAATGGTCCACTCCACTCAGAAGAGCAGAGTCCTCAGTGGCAGAAATTGGCCCATCTGTCCCCAATTGTGTGGGTAAATGAATTTTGGCAAAGCTGTTGCATTCGGTGGCTGGTATATAGTAAGTACTATGTAAGTGTTTGTTATGTAAGCTAGATGTTTATCTTGAAAAACCTGGTAATACAGTCCCTTTTACTGACAGCTTCAAGATATGTTTCATAACAACAGGGGCCAAAGTAGAACTTCCTGTGGAATAATCTACCCTCCTGACACCACTACCCCTACTCCCGCTAGGCAGAAAACCACATACTGCCAGTATTCTTAGTTAAATGTTCTTTCATAACAGGATATTTCTTTATTTTTACAGCATCTGCAAACATAGAGAATTCTGGGCTTCCACACAACTCCAGTGCTAACTCAACAGGTGAGTTTTAAAAGATTAAAAAAACAAATTTTCATTTGTCTAGGGTACATGAAGTAATAACAGCCAGGGAAGTAGGCATAAGCTGGTTCACTGACCTGTTTTAACCCTGAGTTCTTCACCCATGAATCCCAATAACCTGCCCTAGTGCCCTATAGTAGACATCAGTAAGTGATAGTTCACTGGATTAATCTTCCTCAGTCTTGTAAAGATGTCAATAAATTCTAAAACAAAAAGTGTATCGGAATTTCATGTTATGAATTTTTGAAGCACATTTTTAGATGTGAGGGTTTTGTAGTTTGCCTGTAGATATGAAATGTCAGCACAGAAGTCTGCAGGTCCTATTGATGAAACAAGTCACTGTAAACTAGTCAGCCATGGCAGCCTTAATATACCTCTGCTGACTCTAAGGAGACCCTACTTACATTTCACCCATTAGGCAGACTCAACCCAAACACTTGGTGAGGCCCTTACCCTGTGATTTTAGTTTGGGACAAAGCCTTGGGCCTCTGAGTTCACTAACATGGAAAGATGCAAGAACCAGGCTGATGTCATCAATATCAGTAGTAAATCATCAAGGTACGTTTCTTGTAAACAATTTTTAAGTTATCTTCTCACTGCCCTTAATCTTCACAGTTGACTGAGTTGGAAACTAGAAAAAGGTACACCAATCCTATCACTAACTTGTTTTGTTTACTTTTAGTCAGGGAATATTTATGGACTCTAATGAGCTAGCACATCCTAGGTTCTAAGAATACAAAATGGACCAAGCCTTAACTTCTAGGAGTTTTTGTTCTTTTGTTTTTTATTTTGTGGCAAAATATACATGACATAAAATACATAAGTAACCATTTTTTTAAAGTGTAAAGGTCAGTGGCAGTAAGTACCTTCATGCTGCTTTGCAACTTGCTGGAGTTTTTATTCCTGTGGGGCATCCCAGTGTTTCACTTAGTTTATGTTCTTGGTTTACTGCTGTTCTTTGTTTCATTATCTCTGCCTTTTTGACTGGTGTCTGGTGGTACGTAGTCAGGACATACTTTAATTCTAGTTTTAGTAATTCTACAGAAAACGTTTTCATTGAGAGGAAAAAAAGTCTAGAGGGATTACTCCAAAATGTAATAGTGGTTATCATTGGGTAGTTGTGAGAGGGTCTTAGTTAAAAAATATTTTATTACACTATTAGATAGCTTTTCCTTTTGTCCTTTATTGAATCTAATTCTGCACTACTGAACTTTTAACCTTGGGTAGACAAAGGAGGTAGAAGAAACATAAAGACAGTAATATTAGCAATAGACACCATTTTTGAATGCCTACAACTTATAAGATACTCCTCATACATTTACTAATTTAACAGTGGTGAGGTAGGTGTCATTTCTGGTTTACACATGGGGAAATTGAAACTCAAGAGTGGTTAGGAAATGCCCAAGATCACATGACACTAAGTGTCACATTCAGGATTTGAAACCCAGTTGTATTCTAAAACCTATGTCTCTTTATCACACTGTCTGAAGTGTGGTGTGGCCTTACTTTTAAAACATGCTTTTCACTGTGAATGATTATTAAAAATCAACTGAATACTTTGAGGGCAGCTCCAGAGTCAGTGGGATGATTTCAAATGCCCCTTCTAGCACAGGGAAATTTTTTGAGAAAGAAGAAAAGCATTGCCTCAAATTTTTCTAGAAGGAGAACAGATAATACAACTATTAAAAATGTTTTTGCACAATGTGTTTTACGCCTCATAACTGTCGCATTCCTCTTTGTATCTTGAAAACACTTTTGAAACATGTTAAGTTTGTGTATTTTTATAGGATGGATGCTTAACTGTTTTTCTTTTTAGTTACATAGACCATTGTTGAAGCTTTGTTTCTTTGAACATACTGTTTACCAATTTATTTGGTGCTATTTATTTAGTGCAGTTTCTGTGGCGCCATATTTCCTCTCACTAGGAAAATAGCATCTTTGGCAAATTCCATTATGATGTGTATTCCAGGAATGTACTGTTGGAAAAAGCGGAGACTGCCTGCAGTACTCCTTAGAATGTTGGGTGTCTATCACTTTTATAGGACTCACCACGTTGGAATTTCAGAGAATCTTTTTTTCTCTTGTTTTGGTCTCCAAGTTCCTTGAGAGTGAAATCTATGATTTATTCATCCTAACATCTCACTCTATGCCTGGTGCATAGTAGGTATGCAGGATATGTATGTTTTTGGTTGGTTGAACTCAATTGTGGAGCAACATAGATATTTTGTAATTGCTGACTTGCCTTATCAAAACACTAATATATACATTTTGCAGATGTGTACTGGTTTATGCTCCAATCCTATACATTATTACAGCTGTTTTTCTGTTTATACAGTAATATAGGTACTTGAAGTCAATAGGAATAAAGGTTGCTTTCCAATGTACCACTGAGTTACATGTAACAGTTCTATTTTTTTATGTCCTCTAATCATTATTTGAAGACAGCTGTACTTTTGACATTCTTGTCTGCAGGGACTTGTTTGACACACTTTCAGCTTATATAGAAAATAATTTCCCCTTATTTCATTTGCAGTCAGAGTATTTAGATTCTGTGGATGGATGAATTTACACTTTATAGTGCAAGGAAGACACATGCCCAGATTATTTTTCATAATGGGTTTGAGCAAGGATGTAAGGAAATGTGGCATGGTCTAGATTGGAGTGCACATCTCATCAGTAACTAGAACAGCAGCTCAATATCATTCAGGATACAGCCGTCTCCTTGATCACATAGCATTGATACTTCCCAACAGAGGGATCTGAGAGGATTGGGTTACCATCATCCAATCTGAAGCTCTTTTCTTGGACATAACTTGCACCAACTCCTTTCCAAAGCCGTTTATCTCTTAATCATGTATGTTCCATTTATTACGATTGCCATTAGTTTGGTTATTCATCCTTGGCCTAGTCATTTGGGCCACTCTAGTGAGGTTAGTTTTGTCCATATTCATGGCAGGGATGGGTAGTTGTGAGAGGGTCTTATTTTAAAAATGTTTTATTACACTATTAGGTACCTTTTCCTTTTATTCTTTATTGGATCTAATTCTGCACTACTGAACTTTTAACCACCATTTTGAGCACTTGGACCTGGCTTGCATTTAGATTTCTACAGAAGAAGGCAGTGGAAATTTGGGAACAGCTTATTCTGTATTCCAATTTTTACCCCCGATTGCAACAATGAAAGTCTTACTGAAGTGGAAAGAATTTATCAGGTATATAATCCTGTATGTCACACTACCTTCTTCTGTTTACTTTAGATAAAATGTTTTATGTGTGAAAAGAATATTAGATGGAAACTTTCTGTGAGTTTGTAAGTCAGTCAAAGACAGGAACCAATTGGCCTGACAGGTTGCTTTAGTTGCAAATGGTGATACAGATGAATGATTGATTGACTGATTGATTGATTCACTGATAGATGCAAATGTTGATAGATACAAACAGTGATAGATACACAGAGAGACATAGAGATATCAATACTAGTTTTTAACTAGAGATTGGATGTAGAAAAGAATTTTTCTAACTAAAGAATTCATAGTACACTTAACTGCTTCAACTCCTCAGAAAGTTAATTGTGTTCAACTCATGTTTTTGAGATTGCGTCTGAAAATTGATGGTAATTTTTTTTTATACTTCGAGTTCTAGGGTACATGTGCACAACGTGCAGATTTGTTACGTATGTATACATGTGCCATGTTGGTGTGCTACACCCATTAACGCATCATTTACATTAGGTATTATCTCCTCATGCTATCCCTCCCCCCTTCCCCCCACCCCACGACAGGCCCTGGTGTGTGATGTTCCCTGCCCTGTGTCCAAGTGTTCTCTTTGTTCAGTTCTCACCTATGAGTGAGAACATGCGGTGTTTGGTTTTCTGTCCTTCGGATAGTTTGCTGAGAATGATGGTTTCCAGCTTCATCCACGTCCCTACAAAGGACATGAACTCATCCTTTTTTATGGCTGCATAGTATTCCATGGTGTATATGTGCCACATTTTCTTAATCCAGTCTATCATTGATGGACATTTGGGTTGGTTCCAAGTCTTTGCTATTGTGAATAGTGCTGCAATAAACATGTGTGTGCATGTATCTTTTATTTATTTATTATTATTATACTTTAAGTTCTATGGTACATGTGCACAATGTGCAGGTTTGTTACATATGTATACATATGCCATGTTGGTGTGCTGCACCCGTCAACTCGTCATTTACATTAGATGTGTCTCCTAATGCTGTCCCACCCCACCCCCACCCACGACAGGCCCTGGTGTGTGATGTTCCCCACCCTGTGTTCAAGTGTTCTCATTGTTCAGTTCCCACCTATGAGTGAGAACATACGGTATTTGGTTTCTTCCTTGCCGTAGTTTGCTGAGAATGATGGTTTCCAGCTTCATCCATGTCCCTGCAAAGGACATGAACTCATCCTTTTTTATGGCTGCATAGTATTCCATGATGTGTCTGTGCCATTGTCTTAATCCACTCTATCATTGATGGACATTTGGGTTGCTTCCAAGTCTTTGCTATTGTGAATAGTGCCACAATAAACACACGTGTGCATGTGTCTTTATAGTAGTGTGATTTATAATCCTTTGGGTATATGCCCAGTAATGGGATGGCCGGGTCAAATGGTGTTTCTAGTTCTGGATCCTTGAGGAATCGCCACACTGTCTTCCACAATGGTTGAACTACTTTACCCTCCCACCAACAGCGTAAAAGTGTTCCTATGTCTCCACATCCTCTCCAGCATCTGTTGTTTCCTGACTTTTTAAATGATTGCCATTGTAACTGCTGTGAGATGGTATCTCGTTGTGGTTTTGATTTGCATTTCTCTGATGACCAGTGATGATGAGCATTTTTTCATGTGTCTGTTGGCTACCTAAATGTCTTTTGAGAAGTGTCTGTTCATATCCTTTGCCCACTTTTTCATGGGGTTGTTTGATTTTTTTCTTGTAAATTTGTTTAAGTTCTTTGTAGGTTCTGGATATTAGCCCTTTGTCAGATGGGTAGATTGTAAAAAATTTTCTCCCATTCTGTAGGTTGCTTGTTCACTCTGATGGTAGTTTCTTTTGCCATGCAAAAGCTCTTCAGTTTAATTAGATCCCATTCGTCTATTTTGGCTTTTGTTGGCATTGCTTTTGGTGTTTTAGTCATGAAGTCCTCGCCCATGCCTGTGTCCTGAATGGTATTGCTTAGGTTTTCTTCTAGGGTTTTTATGGTTTTAGGTCTAACATTTAAGTCTTTAATCCATCTCGAATGAAATTTTGTATAATGTATAAGGAAGGGATCCGGTTTCAGCTTTCTACATATGGCTAGCCAGTTTTCCCAGCACCATTTATTAAATAGGGAATCCTTTCCTCATTTCTTGTTTTTGTCAGGTTTGTCAAAGATCAGATGGTTGTAGAAGTGTGGTATTATTTCTGAGGGCTCTGTTCTGTTCCATTGGTCTATATCTCTGTTTGGTACCAGTACAATGCTGTTTTGGTTACTGTAGCCTTGTAGTGTAGTTTGAAATCACGTAGCATGATGCCTCCAGCTTTATTGTTTTGGCTTAGGATTGTCTTGGCAATGTGGGCTATTTTTTTGTTCCATATGAACTTGAAAGTAGTTTTTTCCAATTCTGTGAAGAAAGTCATTGGTAGCTTGATGGGGATGGCATTGAATCTATGAATTACCTTGAGCAGTATGGCCATTTTCACGATATTGATTCTTCCTGTCCATGAGCATGGAATGTTCTTCCATTTGTTTGTGTCCTCTTTTATTTCGTTGAGCAGTGGTTTGTAGTTCTCCTTGAACAGTTCCTTCACATGCCTTGTAAGTTGGATTCCTAGGTATTTTATTCTCTTTGAAACAATTGAGAATGGGAGTTCACTCATGATTTGGCTCTCTGTTTGTCTTTTATTGGTGTATAGGAATGCTTGTGATTTTTGCACATTGATTTTGTATCCTGAGACTTTGCTGAAGTTGCTTATCAGCTTAAGGAGATTTGGGGCTGAGATGATGGGGTTTTCTAAATATACAATCATGTCATCTGCAAACAGGGACAATTTGACTTCCTCTTTTCCTAATTGAATACCCTTTATTTCCTTCTCCTGCCTGATTGCCCTGGCCAGAACTTCCAACAGTGTGTTGAATGGGAGTAGTGAGAGAGGGCATCCCTGTCTTGTGCCAGTTTTCAGAGGGAATGCTTCCAGTTTTTGCCCATTCAGTATGATATTGGCTGTGGGTTTGTCATAAATAGCTCTTATTATTTTGAGATACGTTCCATCAATACCCTGTTTAATGAGAGTTTTTAGCATGAAGGTTGTTGAATTTTGTTGAAGGCCTTTTCTGCATCTATTCAGATTATCATGTGGTTTTTGTCGTTGGTTCTGTTTATATGCTGGATTACGTTTATTGATTTGCATGTGTTGAACCAGTCTTGCATCCCAGGGATGAAGCCAACTTGATTGTGGTGGATAAGCTTTTTGATGTGCTGCTGGATTCGGTTTGCCAGTATTTTACTGAGGATTTTTGCATCGATATTCATCAGGGATATTGGTCTAAAATTCTTTTGTTGTGTCTCTGCCAGGCTTTGGTATCAGGATGATGCTGGCCTCATAAAATGAGTTAGGGAGGATTCCCTCTTTTTCTGTTGATTGGAATAGTTTCAGAAGGAGTGCTACCAGCTCCTCTTTGTACCTCTGGTAGAATTCGGCTATGAATCCGTCTAGTCCTGGACTTTTTTTGGTTGGTAGGCTATTAATTATTGCCTCAATTTCAGAGCCTGATATTGGTCTAGTGAGGGATTCAACTTCTTCCTGGTTTAGTCTTGGGAGGGTGTATGTGTCCAGGAATTTATCCATTTCTTCTAGATTTTCTAGTTTATTTGCGTAGAGGTGTTTATAGTATTCTCTGATGGTAGTTTGTATTTCTGTGGGATCAGTGGTGATATCCCCTTCATCATTTTTTATTGCGTCTGTTTGATTCTTCTCTCTTTTCTTCTTTATTAGTCTTGCTAGTGGTCTATCAATTTTGTTGATCTTTTCAAAAAGCCAGCTCCTGGATTCATTGATTTTTTTTTTTTTGAAGGGTTTTTTGTGTGTCTGTCTCCTTCAGTTCTCCTCTGATTTTAGTTATTTCTTGCCTTCTGCTAGCTTTTGAATGTGTTTGCTCTTGCTTCTCTAGTTCTTTTAATTGTGATATTAGGGTGTCAATTTTAGATCTTTCCTGCTTTCTCTTGTGGGCATTTAGTGCTATAAATTTCCCTCTACACACTGCTTTAAATGTGTCCCAGAGATTCTGGTATGTTGTGTCTTTGTCCTCATTGGGTTTAAATAACATCTTTATTTCTGCCTTCATTTTGTTATGTACCCAGTAGTCATTCAGGAGCAGGTTGTTCAGTTTCCATGTAGTTGAGCGGTTTTGAGTGAGTTTCTTAATCCTAAGTTCTAGTTTGATTGCACTGTGGTCCGAGAGACAGTTTGTTATAATTTCTGTTCTTTTACATTTGCTGAGGAGTGCTTTACTTCCAACTATGTAGTCAGTTTTCAATAAGTGCGATGTGGTGCTGAGAAGAATGTATATTCTGTTGATTTGGGGTGGAGAGTTCTGTAGATGTCTATTAGGTCCGCTTGGTGCAGAGCTGAGTTCAAGTCCCGGATATCCTTGTTACCTTTCTGTCTGGTTGATCTGTCTAATGTTGACAGTGGGGTGTTAAAGTCTCCCATTATTATTGTGTGGGAGTCTGAGTCTCTTTGTAGGTCTCTAAGGACTTGCTTTATGGATCTGGGTGCTCCTGTATTGGGTGCATATATATTTAGGATAGTTAGCTCTTCTTGTTGAATGGATCCCTTTACCATTATGTAATGGCCTTCTTTGTCTCTTTTGATCTTTGTTGTTTTAAAGTCTGTTTTATCAGAGACTAGGATTGCAACCCCTGCTTTTTTTTGTTTTCCATTTGCTTGGTAGATCTTCTCCATCCCTTTATTTTGAGCCTATGTGTGTCTGCACATGAGATGGGTCTCCTGAATACAGCAGAGTGATGAGTCTTGACTCTTTATCCAATTTGCCAGTCTGTGTTTTAATTGGAGCATTTACCCCATTTACATTTAAGGTTAATATTGTTATGTGTGATTTGATCCTGTCATTATGATGTTAGCTGGGTATTTTGCTCGTTAGTTAATGCAGTTTCTTCCTATCATCGATGGTCTTTACAATTTGACATGTTTTTGCAGTGGCTGGTACGGTTGTTCCTTTCCATGTTTAGTGCTTCCTTTAGGAGCTCTTATAAGGCAGGCCTGGTGGTGACAAAATCTCTCAGCATTTGCTTGTCTGTAAAGGATTTTATTTCTCCTTCACTTATGAAACTTAGTTTGGCTGGATATGAAATTCTGGGTTGAAAATTCTTTTCTTTAAGAATGTTGAATATTGGCCCCCTACTTTCTTCTGGCTTGTGGAGTTTCTGCCGAGACATCCGCTGTTAGTCTGATGGGCTTCGCTTTGTGGATAACCCAACCTTTCTCTCTGGCTGCCCTTAGTATTTTTTCCTTCATTTCAACTTTGGTGAATCTGACAATTATGTGTCCTGGAGTTGTTCTTCTCGAGGAGTATCTTTGTGGTGTTCTCTGTATTTCCTGAATTTGAATGTTGGCCTGCCTTGCTAGGTTGGGGAAGTTCTCCTGGATAATATCCTGAAGAGTGTTTTCCAACTTGGTTCCACGCTCCCCGTCACTTTCAGTTACACCAATCAGACATAGATTTGGTCTTTTCACATAGTCCCATATTTCTTGAAGGCTTTGTTCGTTTCTTTTTACTGTTTTTTCTCTAAACTTATAATCTTGCTTCATTTCATTCATTTGATCTTCAATCACTGATACACTTTCTTCTAGTTGAATCAGCTACTGAAGCTTGTGCATGTGTCACGTAGTTCTTGCACCATGGTTTTCAGCTCCATCAGGTCATTTAAGGTCTTCTCTATGCTATTTATTCTAGTTAGCCATTTGTCTAATCTTTTTTCAAGGTTTTTAGCTTCTTTGCGATGGGTTTGAACATCCTCCTTTAGCTCGGGAGAAGTTTGTTATTACCGATCGTCTGAAGCCTTCTTCTCTCAACTCGTCAAAGTCATTCTCCGTCCAGCTTTGTTCTGTTGCTGGCGAGGAGCTGCATTCCTTTGGAGGAGAAGAGGCGCTCTGATTTTTAGAATTTTCAGCTTTTCTGCTCTGGTTTCTCCCCATCTTTGTGGTTTTATCTACCTTTGGTCTTTGATGATGGTGACGTACAGATGGGGTTTTGGTGTGGATGTCCTTTCTGTTTGTTAGTTTTCCTTCTAACAGTCAGGACCCTCAGCTGCAGGTCTGTTGGAGTTTGCTGGAGGTCCACTCCAGACCCTGTTTGCCTGGCTATCACCAGCAGAGGCTGCAGAACAGAAAATATTGCAGAACAGCAAATGTTGCTGCCTGATCCTTCCTCTGGAAGCTGGGAGGTGTCTCCCAGTTAGGCTTCTCGGGGGTCAGGGACCCACTTTAGGAGGCAGTCTGTCCGTTCTCAGATCTCAAACTCTGTGCTGGGAGAACCACTGCTCTCTTCAAAGCTGTCAGACAAGCAAGTTTTAAGTCTGCAGAAGTTTCTACTGCCCTTTGTTCAGCTATGTATGCCCTGCTCCCAGAGGTGGAATCTACAGAGGCAGGCAGGCCTCCTTGAGCTGTGGTGGGCTCCACCCAGTTCGAGCTTCCCGGCCACTTTGTTTACCTACTCAAGCCTCAGCACTGGCGGACGCCCCTCCCCCAGCCTCGCTGCGGCCTTGCAGTTTGATCTCAGACTGCTGTGCTAGCAGTGAGCAAGGCTTCGTGGGTGTGGGACCCTCTGAGCCACGTGCAGGATACAGTCTCCTGGTGTGCCATTTGCTAAGACCATTGGAAAAGCGCAGTATTAGGGTGGGAGTGTCCCGATTTTCTAGGTACTGTCTGTCACGGCTTCCCTTTGCTAGGAAAGGGGATTCCCCAACCCCTTGTGCTTCCCGGGTGATGCAGTGCCCTGCCCTGCTTCGGCTTACGCTCTGTGGGCTGCAGCCACTGTCCGACAAGCCCCAGTGAGATGAACCTGGTACCTCAGTTGGAAATGCAGAAATCCACCTATCTTCTGCATTGCTCACACTGGAAGCTGTAGACTGGAGCTGTTCCTATTCGGCCATCTTGGAACCCGTTGCTGGTAATTTTTAACATCATCCAATTTTGTTTAAAGGAATGAAATGTAGGAAAATAATGCAATATTATGCTCACTTACTCAGTGAACAGCTGTTAGTTTGGACTGCCCACTCCGTTAGTCACTGTTTTAGGCACAAGGCATGAAGTGGTAAATAAGATGAATAAGTTCCTGCTCTCATGAAGATAATATCCAGGTGGAGAGACGTAGACTATAAGGAAGTAAACAACTAAAAAGATGATTTTGGGTTGTGATTAAAAATAAATAAACTGGGCACGGTGGCTCATGGCTGTAATCCCAGCACTCTGGGAGGCTGAGGGGAGCAGATCACTTGAGGTCAGGAATGCGAGACCACCTGGCCAACATGGTGAAACCCCCTCTCTACTGAAAATACAAAAATTAGCTGGGTGTGGTGATGTGTGCATGTGATCCCAGCTACTTAGGAGGCTGAGGCAGGAGAATGCATGATCCCGGGTGGCAGAGATTGCAGTGAGCCGAGATTGTGCCACTGCACTCCAGCCTGGGTGACAGAGCAAGACTTTGTCTCAAAAAATAATAATAATAAATAAACAGGGTAAAACACCTATCTGCCTCCATGCATAAAGAGGGTGATGTGGAAAAAAGTGACTAGGAAGGGCTGTAGATTGGTTGGTCAGGGAAGCCCTCTCTGAGATGGGGTCATCTGAGCTGAGACCTGCATGACAGGAAGGAGCCAGCCCTACAAATGCTAGGGGGAGGAACATTCCAGGCAGAAGCCCTGAAACAGGATGAGGAACATGTATTTCAATAAAAGAATTATATTTTGAGCCATCAAAAACAGAGCAGGCCCCAGCAGACAAGGTCAGAAATGTGGATTCTGACGACTTAGAATGTGGATTCTTGTTAATGTCTCTGGGTCTTTTTAAATTCTATAGTGATTCTAAACCACTGTGCACTCTCATACACCCTGTACTCTCAAGACAGCAGATACAATAATAAATTGGAACTGCACTGGTGCTTTCTTTCCTGAAGTATGCCTCCATTCTTAAAGTTGTAAATAGGACCCAAATTAAATGCTTCCAATTCAGATTAAGGACTACTGCTATTCTTTATTGCGATGTGAACTATGAAAGGGAACATTTAACATTTTAAACGTAAAAAAAATTTTTTTTTTTTTTTTTTGAGATAGAGTCTCATTCTGTCACCCAGGCTGGAGTACAGTGGCTCGATCTCAACTCACTGAAACCTCCGCCTTCTGGGTTCAAGCAGTCTCCTGCCTCAGCCTCCCAAGTAGCTGAGATTACTGGTGTGTGCCACCGCACCCAGCTAATTTTTGTATTTTAAGGGTTAAAGAGATGGGGCTGGGCTGAGTAACCAGCCTGTCATGTAAATTCTGGGAAAACCCAGGAAACACTGAATTTGCCTGTGGGATGGTGGGAGTAGGGAGAAGTCATGATGAATGGGTGTTAGAAGAGATAAACAGTGAGGGAAAGTACACAAACTGAAAAAGCACACAAAAATCCCAAAAACGAAGTGCACAACAGCAACAAAACTAACAGGAAAACAAAACTTGGGGGCATTTTTAAAATATTTGGTTTTTTTCCTTTTCAAGAACAGGAAAAACAAAAGATGGTGTAGAACATAAAACATAGGCCAAAAAAAGTAGACCTAGGCCAGAAAAATCAACTACCAAACTCTGGGTTCCTGTTGTTTTTCCATAATGCAGCCATCTGGCTCACAGTGGGTTCAGTCTAAATTCTAGTGTGAATAGGAGAATGAATTCAATTGGCATTTAATACTTGACATTCTTTTTTATTGTCTTTCTTTTGCATTAAATACTCCTTTTTCACAGAGAGCAGGCAGGCTTGCTCTAGATTCCCATGACTTCCTTCTTTCAGACTAAAATTGATGACTTACCCCATCATGTTGAGTAACACAAAGATTTCTCACGAATAATTTTTCCCAGATGTATGAAGTTCTTAGGAAGAAACTTTGAGTTAAGCAGTAAGTAGAGTTAAACAATAATTGGTACTGAACGTTAACTGCATGGCTCTTCATCTCTTTGTGTGTCCGTGTTTTTTAAATACATAATTTTGTTTACAATCTTATTAGTGAAGTAATTCATGCACCAGTCTTCTTGGCTTTGAATTACATTTATTTATAAGGAGTTAAATTGAGGCTGGGTGCGGTGGCTCACGCCTGTAATCCCAGCACTTTGGGAGGCTGAGGCGGGCGGATCACTTGAGGTCAGGAGTTTGATACCAGCCTGACCAACATGGCAAAACCTTGTCTCTACTAAAAATGTAAAAATTAGCCAGGCGTGGTGATGCACGCCTGTAGTCCCAGCTACTCTGAAGGCTGAGGCAGGAGAATCACTTGAACCTGGGAGGTGTAAGCTGCACTGAGCCAAGATCATTCCACTGCACTGCAGCCTGGGCAATAGTGGGAAACTCCATCTCAAAATAAAATAAATAAAAAATAAGGAGTTAAACCAAGAATATTTTCATAATGGCTTTTGGTTTCTTCGTTTTGTCTTTTTGTTAAGGAAACTTCATGCATTTTTTTTTAAATACCTTCACTGAGATGTAATTCACATACCATGTAATTAAATTTATATAATCACACACCCCATTTCAAGTGTACAGTCCAGTGATTTTTAGTATATTCACAGGTATGTTTAACCATCACCACAGTCAAGTTTCGAACAGTTTCATCACCTCAAAAAGAAACCCTGTGCTCTTTATTTATCACCCCCTTATCCTACCTGCTGTTCCCCCACCAGCCCTAAGCAACCACAAATCTACTTTCATTTTCCCGTTCTGGACTTTCATATGAATGGAATCATGTAGTGTGTAGTCTTTTGTGACTGTCTTATTTCCATACTTCATTCTCTTTTATGGCCACACAATTCACGCTATGGGTATGTCACATATGGTTTATCCATTCATCTGTTGATGGACATTGGAGTTGGTTCCACCTTTTGATATTATGAATAGTGCTTCTATGAATATTTGTGTAAACACTTTTGCGTGGACATATATTTTCATTTTTACTGGGAATATACCTAGGAGTAGAATTGCTAGGTCATATGGTAACTTTGTTTAATGAACTGCCAAACTGTTTTCCAAAGTAGCTACACCATTTTAGATACACACCAGCAGTGTATAAGGGTTTTATTTTCTTCATATCCTCACCAGTCCTTGTTGTTGTACGGTTTTTTCGTTGTATCTAACCTAATGTGCATGTGATGTGTTTTTGATTTGCATTTCCTTGATAACTAATGAGTTGAACATTTTTTCATGTGATTATTGGTCATTTGTATATTTTCTGTGAAGAAATGTTTATCCAAGTCCTTTGCCATTTTTTAAATTGGGTTGTCTTTTTGTTAGCTTGTCTGTGTCTGTTATTTTTTGTGATTATAAAGATAATACAGGTTCTAGTGGAAAATTATTTATTTATTTTTATAGAGATGGAATCTTGCTTTGTCGCCCAAGCTGGTCTCAAACTTCTGGGCTCAAGCAATCCTTCTGCCTTGGCCTCCCAATGTGCTGGGATTACAGGTGTGAGCCACTGTGCCCAGCCCGTTGTAGAAATTCTGGAAGCAAAGTATATATTTTTAAATAATTATTCAATGTACTTCCACCACAAAGCTATTGTATATTGTGGTGACTATAGCTCACAATATGTTGTATACTTGAAAATTGTTAAGAGAGTAGATTTTAAGAGTTCCCATCACACATTGATGGCCAGTTGATTTCAGACAAAAGTGCAAGAATACACAATGGGAAAAGGATAGTCTCTTTAATGAATTATGTTTGGAAAACTGGTTATCCACATGCAGAAGAATGAAATAGCACCCTGATATCAGACCACATGATTTCCATATGGAAAAATCAACTCAAAATGAGTTAAAGATTTAACATGAATCCTGAAGTTGTAAAACTACTAGAAAAAAATAGGAAAAACTACACAACATTGGTCTGGGCAATGATATTTTAGATTTGGCCCCAAAAGCACAGGCAACAAAAACAAAAATAGACAAGATTACATCAAACTGAAAAGCTTCTGCATAAAAAGGAAACAACAGAATGAAGAGACATCATACAGATTGGGAGAAAATATTTGTAAGCCATTTATTTGTTAAAGGGTTAGTATTAAAATATATTAAGAACTCAACTCTATAGAAAGAAAATAAATAATCCAATTTAAAAATGGGCAAGGAACCTGAATAGACAGACATTTCTCAAAAGAAGACATACAGATAGCCAATAGTTACATGAGAAATTGCTGAATATTAAGAATCATTAGGGAAATGCAAATTAAAACCACAATGAAATGTCTTCTCACACCTATGAGAATGGCTATTCTCAAAAAGACAAAAGATAACAAATGTTGGTGATGATGTGGACAAGGGGGACCCTTGTACACTGTTGGTGAGAATGTAAATTAGTACAGCCATTATGGAAAACAATATGGAAGTTCCTCAAAAAATTAAAAATAGAATTACCATGTGATCCAGCAATCCCACTTCTGGGTATTTATACAAAAGACTGGAAATCAGTATGTCAAAAAGATGCCTGCACTCCCATGTTCATTACAGCACTATTCACAATAGCCAAGTGTATTTATCTGTTCTCGCTGCTATAAAGAAATATTGGAGACTGGATAATTTATAAGGAAAAGAGGTTTAATTGAGTCACAGTTCCACATGGCTAGGGAGGCCTCAGGAAACTTATAATCATGGCAGAAGGCACCTCTTCATAGGGTGGCAGGAGAGAGAATGAGTGCCAGCAGGGGAAATGCCAGACACTTATAAAACCATCAGATCTCATGAAAAACTGTCACGAGAACAGCGTAGGGGAAACCACCCCTATGATTCAGTTACCTCCCACCAGCTCGCTGCCATGACACTTGGGGATTATGGAGATTACAATTCAAGATGAAATTTGAGTGGGGACATAGCCAAACCATATAATTTTACCACTGGCCCCTCCCAAATCTCATGCCCTCAGACTTGATGCCTTCCCAACAGTCTTCCAAAGTCTTAACTCATTCCAGCATTAACCCAAAAGTCCAAAATCTCAACTGAGATAAGGCAAGTCCCTTCCACCTATGAGCCTGTAAAATCAAAAGCAAGTTAGTTACTTCCTAGATACAATGTGAGTACAGGCATTGGGTAAATACACCTGTTCCAAATGGGATAAATTGGCCAGAACAAAGGAGCTGCAGGCCCCATGCAAGTCTGAAATCCAGTAGGGCAGTCATTAAACCTTAAAGTTCCAAAATGATTTCCTATGACTCTGTCTCATATCCAGATCGTGCTGATGCAAGAGGTGGGCTCCCATGTCCTTGAGCAGCTCCACCCCTGTGGCTTTGCAGAGTACAGCCCCCTTCCCAGATGCTGTCACTAGCTGGCGTTGAGTGTCTGTGGCTTTTCCAGACACAGTGCAAGCTGTTGATGGGTCTACCATTCTGGGGGCTGGAGGACAGTGGCCCTCTTCTCACAGCTCCACTAGGCAGTGCCCCAGTGGGGACCCTGTGTGAGGGCTCCAGCCCCACATTTCCCTTCTGCACTGCCCTAGCAGAGTTTCTCCATGAGGCCTCCACACCTGCAGCAAACTTCTGCCTGGACTTCCAGGCATTTCCATACATTCTCTGAAATCCAGTCAGAGGTTCCCAAACCTCAATTCTTGACTTCTGTGCACCCACAGGCTCAACACTACATGGAAACCACCAAGGCCTGGGGCTTGCACCCTCTGAAGCAATGGCCTGAGCTGTACTTTGACCCCTTTTAGCCATGGCTGGAGCTGAAGCAGCTGAGACGCAGGGCACTATGTCCCCAGGCTGCATAGAGCAGGGGGCCCCTGGGCCTGGCCCAGGAAACCATTTTTCCCTCCTAGGCCTCCAGGCCTGTGATGGGAGGGGCTGCTGTGAAGGTATCTGACATGCCCTGGAGACATTTTCCCCATTGTCTTTTGGTGGTTAACATTTGGCTCCTTGTTACTTATGCAAATTCCTGCAGCCGGCTTGAATTTCTCCTCAGAGAATGGGTTTTCTTTTCTGTCACATCATCAGGCTACATATTTTCCAAACTCTTACGCTCTGCTACCTCTTGAATGCTTTGCTGCTTAGAAATTTCTTCTGCCAGGTACCCTAAATCGTGTCTCTCGAGTTCTAGTTCCACAGATCTCTAGGGCAGGGGCAAAATGCCACCAATCTCTTTGCTAAAGCATAGCAAGAGTGACCTTTACTCCAGTTCTCAACAGGTTCCTCAAATCTGCATCTGAGACCACCTCAGCCTGGACTTCATTGTCCATATCACTATCAGCATTTTGGTCAAAGCCGTTCAACAAGTCTCTAGGAAGTTCCAAACTTTCCCACATCTTTTTGTCTTCTGAGCCCTCCAAGTCTCTAGGAAGTTCCAAACTTTCCCACATTTCCCTGTCTTCTTCTAAGTCCTCCAAACTGTTTAAACCTCTGCCTGTTAACCAGTGCCAAAGTCGCTTCCACATTTTCAGCTATCCTTAGAGTAGCACCCCACTCCCAGTACCAATGTACTAGATTAATCTGTTCTTACACTGCTTTGAAGAAATACCCAAGATGGATTAATTTATAAAGAAAAGAGGTTTAATTGACTCAGTTCCACATGGCTAGGGAAGGCTTCAGGAAACTCACAATCATGGCAGAAGGCGCCTCTTCACAGGGTGGCAGGAGAGAGAAAGTGCCAGCAGGGAGATGCCAGACGCTTAAAAAACCATCAGATCTCCTGAGAACTCACTCACTATCATGGGAACAGCATGGGGGAAACTGCCCCCATGATTCAGTTACCTACCACCGGGTCACTGCCATGACACATGGGGATTACAATTCAAGATGAGATTTGGGTGGGGACACAGCCAGCCCATATCACCAAGTTGTAGAATCAACCTAACTGTTTATCAGCAGATGAATGGATAAAGCACATGTGATACATATACACACAATGGAATACTATTCAGCTTTAAAAAAGCAAATGTGCAAATTCTGTCATTTGAGACAACATGGATGGAACTGCAGAGAGTAGAATGGTGGTTCCCAGAAGCTGCAGGGTGGGGAAAAAGGGGAGATGATGGTTAAAGGATACAGAGCCTCAGAGAAGAGGAAAACTTTCTTTTTTCTAGTTCTATTGCACAGCATAGTGAATATAGTTTATCGTGTATGGTACCTTCCAAAATCGCTGAGTAAAATTTCAATGTTCTCACCACAAAAATAAGTATTTGAGGTGATGGATATGTTAATTAGCATGATTAAATTATTCTACATGTATTCATAAATCATAACATCACTTTATACCTATAAATTTATACAGCTGTAATTTGTCAGTTTACAAAGATAAGTATGTGAGGTAATGCCTATATTTATTTAGCGATTCCACATTGTGTACATATATCAAAATATCATGTTGTACACCATAAATACAGTTTTTTTTTAAGTATCCCACCGACTATTTTTAGTTTTTCTTTTTTAATCCAATGACATAAGCACAGTTTCCTAAAATGGGAACTGACCCTCTCCTACAAAACATTTCATTATGGTTATATCTTCATGACATGAAAACAACTAGTTGAAAAGTGATGACTTTTTTAGTCTATTACCTGACTGTTCAGTAAGAATTGGTTTGACTACTTTTTTCACCCCACATTGAATTTGGTTCACTAGTTTAGTGGTCCCTCCCCCATGTCATCCCCACCCAGTATGTGTATTATGTTGTATTTTGGGGAAGATACAAAGAGAAAAATTGCTTTGCTGTTAATTGAATTTGGGCAAGCTACTTAATCTCTGCCTTCTCACTTCCTGCTATGAAATAGAGCTGATTATAGAAAGATGGCTGTCTCATGCGGCTAAGAGAGTATAGCCATCTCATGGGTTAAATGAGGTAACATGTAAAGCACCTGGCACAAAACCAGGACCTAAATAAACGTGTTTTTCCTAGCTCTGTGGCCACACTTACCTTTTTGGTTCCTCCTTTCTCTGCCCTCTCTGCCATGAGACCTTTGCATGTTCTGTTCTCACTACCTGAAGAGCTCTTCCTTTCATCTTTGCCTTTTTCTGGCTACCAGTTACCCTTTCAGCCTTTAGATTGCTCAAGCTTGTTTCCTCAGGTCCAGTCCTAGACCTCTAGGCTTATAACTGGGATACCAGCCTTCAGAGGAGTTTGTGGTTTACTGGCTTATAGTAATGTAATGTGATGCTTCATCTCACTCTGCCTCCCCAACTAGAAAGTCAGCTCCTTCAGGGGGAAGGCTGATTTTACTCACCACCACCTTCCCAGCACCCAGTGCTGTTTTTGTTGAAACAGTAAAGGATATGCGAATGCTATGGGAGGAGTAAACCAGTTTTTGAGTTTTTTGCTTGCTATACCAGCCTTAGTTGTGAGATGGAGCCCCTTGGTCAAAACAAATCACCACCTGCACTCTGGTCTTCTCACTTAACAGGGGAGAATTGCCACAGTTGTCTTCTGTGGTCCCGGGCAACTCTGTTCTTTGCCTCTTTGTTTCCATAAAGATGAAGCCCATCCAGAAAAGGTACTCATGCTGGCTGGGAGAGGTGGCATGGGGAAGGGGATGGACAGAGCAATTTGGAAGATCAGAGAGGCCTCTGCCCCTACGAAGGGCCATGCTTGCCACCAGTCTTCCTGCTGTGTGGTGCTCCCATCGCACAGGCTGCTTCTGGAGATGCTCGGGTTGTTCAGGCCCTGTGGCTTTTGGCAAGGCAGGAGCATCTGTGCTTCTGCTGACATAAAAGAGGGTAATAAAAGTGACACAGGAAAGCGGTGTTGTGAGGCTTTAGTGATGGTGGAGCAGTGTTGCTGAAGTCCCTCAGGGAGTTTGGATTTGATTGCAGTGAGTCTGGCTACATCTGAAGCCTATAATAGTTTACAGTACAAGATGCTATGTATAAGATGTCAAACATTTGCTTGGTAGAATGCTATGATTGTCAGGAGTTTACTTTTGCACTGAAAATAGTCTTGTTGGTTTGGTGTAAGTAGAGTCACATTGCAGCACACACACAGGCATTCATGCTTTTATGTTTGTTAATTGTAAGGAAATGTTTTCTCAAGGCAAGAGTCAAAGGTTAGCAGAGTGCCAAAGACCTTCTCAAAGAGGAAAGTCTCATTTTAGAAACTTCATTTTGTACGCCAAAACTTGCCTTTCAGTAGTCTCATGTAATGTTTTTGCTGACATGAGTTGAAAAGTGCATTCTGTTGTAAAGGAGGAAAAAAACTGAAGAGGAACCGTAAGCGTGATTATGAAGAAGAGAAAAGAGCAGGAAGAAAGTAGACATCATCCCAGATTTAAATTTCATATTGTTAAAATCATTTGGTTGCAAGCAGTAGAAATTTTCTATAACTAACTTAGATAAACAAGGACTTGTTGGACACCTGCTGTCCAACATTCACAAAACCTAAAGAAGAAAACTGAACTAGATCTAGTGTGGCTAGGGATTTCAGGGACAGGAATTAACAAATCTCCTGAGGAGGCTGCCATCAAAATGACTGTGTTAACTGTTGTCCATCCTGGTGTATTCTACTCACATTTCAGACTCCTGCGAGAGGCTGATTGACCTGGTTTGAATCTCGTGCCTACCCACTCGTAGTCCCTCCAGACCCCAGGGGGTGAGCGAAGGGTGTTTGCCTGAAGGAAGAGTGGAACAGGAGCTGGGCAGGGAAAAAAGAACAGATGTTCATTCTACTGGCCACATAGCCACAGTCAGTGGTAATGATTTTCCCTGGCCAGACTTGGTGGCCAGTAGTTACTAGTCTCCTTTCTCTTCAGAAACATCTGCTCTTGTCAGAGTTATAGCCTATTCTTGATGAGCTGCAGCAAAAATGTACCACTTAAATTGGAGATGGATCATTTCCTGAGGATCTCAGAATATCTTTTTCAGTTAGCTTTATAAAGTAATTGTCCAGATGGCCATTTAATTTGTGATATGGGATAAAGTAATCTAGGGGAAAAAACACTTCTTTAAAATGACTTTTTTTTTTTGGGGGGGCCGGGCACACTGGCTTACACCTGTAATCCCAGCACTTTGCGAGGCCAAGCTGGGTGGATCACCTGGGGTCAGGAGTTCGAGAGCAGCCTGGCCAACATGGCAAAACCCCGTCTCTACTAAAAAATAAAAAAAAAAAAAAGCTGGGTGTGGTGGCAGGCACCTGTAATCCCAGCTACTTGGGAGGCTGAGGCAGGAGAATTGCTTAAACCCTGGAGGTGGAGGTTGCAGTGAGCTGAGATTGTGCCACTGTACTCCAGCCTGGGTGACAGAGTGAGACTCCATCTCAAAAAAATAAAATAAAATGACTTTTTTTAAATTGTGAAGAATATAGGTTAAGATTATATTGCAGTAGTAACGTAATAATATATTCAGGATAAAAAATTGAAGTTAGATCTGAAATATCAACATCCTAAACTAAGAAAAACCTTTTAAATTAATGTACTCTTGTTTTTTTCTTCTTAGCTAATAGTAAATAACGATAGACTCACACTCCCAGGAAGGGTGAGGAAGGGACAATTCAGACCTCTCTAGACTCCATGCATGGCCTGGTTAAATCACTTTTTTTTATCAGCATCTCATTTTTCCTTCCAGCAAGTTTATATCCTCATTGAGGAAGAGTGTCTTGCCAGAAGATTATTGTGATAATTTTTATAAGATATGTATATTCTTTTCTGAATCTCAGAGTAAATATTCTTTGTCTTCCTAAATGAACTGGTAGAATGTTTACATTTTCATTCTATTTCTGTAGAATTTTTTTTTTTTTAATTGAAACAGAGTCTTGCTCTGTTGCCCAGGCTGGAGTGCAGTGGCGCGATCTCGGCTCACTGCAACCTCTGCCTCCCGGGTTCCAGTGATTCTCCTGCCTCAGCCTCCCTAGTAGCTGGGACTACAGGTGTGTACCACCACGCCTGGCTAATTTGTGTGTTTTTTAGTAGAGACAGGGTTTCACCGTATTGGCCAGGCTGGTCTCGAAATGCTGACCTCGTGATCCACCTGCCTCAGCCTCCCGAAGTGCTGGGATTACAGACATCAGCCACCGCACCCAGCCATTTCCGTAGAATTTATAGCCTCCCTGTTGCAGTGAGCTGAGATTGTGCCACTGCACTCCAGCCTGGGCGACAGAGTGAGACTCTGTCTCCAAAAAAAAAAAAAAAAAAGAATTTATACCCTCCCTATTTCTTCTCTCCCACTTCTGCCTTCTCTTCCACTTCTGCCTTCTCCCCTTGTTCCTCATAGTCCTTGGGCATGTGCTACTTCAGCAGAGACCTGGGTCCTCTTTTGTGAAATTCAGTCAACAAAAAGCTCAAGGAACAAGTTAAGACTGAAGACTGATCGAGTTCATGTAAGTGTGGTAGGATTGCATGGTGCCATTTGATATTAAAAGGCATGTATTGTTTAAGAAACTAAACAAAAGCCAACTGTGTTTGAACAACAATGTTTGTCAGTGAGCTAGCTAGATATGGAGGATAAAGATATGTATAGTGTGTTCCAGCCACAGACTAGATTGTGAAAAAGAGAACCAGCAAAAAAAAAAAAACCCGCAAAACAAAAAACCCTGCAACTTAATCTCAGAGTTCTCTCCTGTAATAGACAGTAATACATTTATAGTTAGAAAACTTCAATTTGGTTTGGCAATATCCCAACTATAGAACTTCAAATAACTGATATATATACCCAGACACAAAACTTTTTATCAACTGAATAGCCAGTTGTGGATTTTGAGCAATAAATGGGGGGGGGGGGGGAACTACTTTAAAAACATTAAGCCATGAGTTTATTCAATCTGTATCTTTGTCTTCTAGTAAGTAAATTTGCTTTCATTGTTAAACAGCAGCAACAAAGGGACACCAAAGATCTTTGCATACCTTACTTGGTTGTAAACTTTTTGAAGTCAAAGGTAATTTTTCTAACTTCTTTGCAGTAGCTAAAACTTACATAGCAGCCTCTTTAAGCAGGGAAAATTATTGTAAAGAAATTGCTCTTAGATAACTTTCCACTCAAGGGTTTTAAGCTTTTTGTTTTGTTTGTAAAATCTTTTACGATGAGCACTTTGTAAGTCTACTAGTTAGCTCAAAGCAGTTCTCCTTGAGGACCCACATCTACTCCAGGCTGGGAGACAGAGCGAGACACCATCACTTAAAAAAAAAAAAAAAGATAATAAATATAGAGGGAAATGAATTGTGATGCGGGCGTAAAAGTGCTGTCTGCATCGGCTCCCTTCTATTACTGCTTCCTAAAGTTGTTGTGAGGATTAAATGAGTTAATGTAGGTAAGCATTCAGAACAGTGCCTGGCACATAAGTGCTATGGATGTGTTAACTGTTATTATTGTTAAGAACGATCTAAACACAGTGGTCAGGAATGGCAAAGTCAAGAGTTCTGATAGGATACTATGGTTATTTAGACTCAAAAGCAAAGCTGCCAAAATCCAGCTGACCTTCCTTTTGATATTTAGAGGAAATTCTGTTACCTAAGACTGATATTTCATTATAGCCACTCAACAAATGTTCATTTGTACATTCTATGTGTTGGGCACTGTGCCAGGTACTGGGGGAGCTACAGAGACATGACATAAATATCACCATGAGGTGCTTAAAATTTAATTGGAAAGTTAATAAGAACAAAAATAACTATAGTAAAAGGCCAGTATGCTAAGTACAATAATAAAGGTGCAGATAATGTAAGTGAGCACTCAGAAGAGGGAGAGCTTACTTTCAGTTAGGAAAATCTCGAGGGCCGGGCACAATGGCTCATGCCTGTAATTCCAGCTCTTTGGGAGGCAGATTGCTTGACTCCAGGAGTTAAGACCAGCCTGCACAACATGGGGAAACCTGTCTCCACAAAAAATACAAAAATTAGCTAGGTGTGGTGGCACATGCCTGTAGCCTCAGCTTCTCGGGTGGGTGAAGTGGGAGGATCAACTGAGCCTGGGAGGTTGAGGCTACAGTGAGCTGCAACCATGCCACTGCACTTCTAGCCTGGGCAACAGAGTGAGACCTTGCCTCAAAAAAAAAAAAAAAAAGAAAAAAGAAAAAAAAAAAAACAATCCTGGAGGAAACAGTGCTTGACCTAGGTCTGAGTGGATGTGGCATTGATAGATGGACAAACGAAAAACAGACAATGCTTTTTATCAGTATCATTGGAGGACACAACATGAACAGTGGTGAGGGGGAAGGAAATGGGTCTATGCTCAAAAGAAGGTCCAAGCCAACCATCTTTATTATTTGCACATAACCTGTTATAAAATGATACTGCTCGTGTTCATAACAGTGGACCGTAACCATCTGTTGAGCATGATGCTGTTGCCAAGCGTTGTTGTTCAAGGTGTTTCATCCTTGTTCTTACATTCCATACAATAACCATATGAGTTAAGTGTTATTTTAGCTATTTTAGAGATGAAAAAAGAGCTACACAGAAGATGACTGTGCCACAATTTCAGCACAGAACTGGTTGGCGTAAAAGCCTCTGTTTCTTTCTGATATTCCTGGGTGCTGCTTGGAGATCACAAGTATTTGATTGACAGATATTAGACACATATGCTATCATCTTGAGAATAGAAATGGATACAAATTAGGATATTCTTCATTCTTGCTTCTGTATTTTCAACAAACAGGTTTTCTGCCTCTAGTGTTTCCTGGAAACACCAAATAAAAACATATTTTTGTCTTTGACCAAGAGTGTGCTTCTGAAAAACTTGCTCAGTGAGCATGCAATCAGTACAGCATTGGGTGTTCTGGAGGGAACATTCATTCTGGCTGTAGTGGCTTGAGGACCCATATCTACAAGCTTTGACCCGCTCCCTTTTCTGTGCCAGGTAAATAGTCTTATCTATATAAATCAAATTTGAACTCTTAGAATGAAACTCAGGGTCTTCTGTGCCCTGACTCCCCTCGCTTACTGAGTTTCTTTTTTTTTTTGAGACAAGGTCTTGCTCTGTCACCCAGGCTGGAGTGCAGTGGTGCAGTCTTTGCTCATTGCAGACTCCGCCTCCTGGGTTCAAGCGATTCTCCCACCTCAGCATCCCAATTAGCTGGGACTACAGGTGTGCGCCACCACGCCTGGCTAATTTTTTGTATTTTTTAGTAGATGTGGGGTTTTGCCATGTTGGCCAGGCTGGTCTTGAACCTCCTGGCCTCAAGTGATCCACCTGCCTTAGCCTCCCAAAGTGTTGGGATTATAGGCGTGAGCCACTGTGCCTGGCCCTGAGTTTATTTTCAAATCTGTAAAATGGCAGTAAGTGTACTTCTATAAAGTATATGGAATACTTGATAAAGTATTCACTGCTTTATAAATACATGATAAAGTATTCACTGCTTTATAAATACTGTTTTTATAATCATAGTCTTGTGAGACAGTTACATGCTCAGAGGTTTCTTTATAAATACGTAGGGGTCTTTGTTCCTACACTTGAGTGGCTTCAGATGGCTTATATTAGCTTTTGTCTCCTTTTTGGTGACAGACTCAACTGTTGTGTCTTTGTATTGGCATTATGCCTCCCTCTAATAGCCCACTCCTCCCTCAATTTGCTGCTTTTAATCAGCAGTCAACTAGGAAACCACATAATAGAACTTGTTAGCAGTGTGTCTAAAATTAAAGTCATTTTGTTCTTTTCTTTTACAGGAGATGATTTTTTTAAAAAAATCTGAATTTGTTTAAAACTTTTATATATTTTTTAAAATCTTGATAGCCTTTTAAAAATTGTAGGAGTTAATAATGCACGCACTTAATATTTTAAGTAATGCAAAAGTGTATAAAAAAATAAGTATGCGTTCCTCCCTCCCTTTGTCTTCCCAATACCTCCCTAGAAATAATCACTGTTAGCTGGTGTGACTGTACAAAAAAGGCATACACATAATATTGTACAACTTGCTTTTTTGACTGAACTATGAATTACTGATTTTTTGTGTTAATACATTTTTGGTTATCTATTGATACATAGCAGAACCCCAGAACTAAGTGGTTTAAAACTACGCTTATTATCTCATGGTTCCTATGTGTCAGGAGTTTAGAAGTAGCTTAGCTGGGGTCAGATCTGAGGTTGCAGTCATGAAGGCTTAACTGGGGATAGAGAATTTTCTTCCAGTGTGGCTTGCTCACATGGCTGGCTATTGGCAGACAGCCTCAGTTCTCTATATGAGGTTCCCCATAGGGCTGCCTGAGTATCTTCACAGCATCATGCCAGGCTTCCCTAAAAGGGAGTGGACTTTAAAGGGAGCTGGGAGGGAGCTATCCTTATTATGACCTAGCCTCAGAAGTCGTATAGCATCATTTCATTCTGCCCTGTTCTCAGAAGAGAGTCTGGTTAGGTCCACCCACAAGAGAAGTGGAATGAGGCTTCACTTTTTGAAGGGGGGCTTATCAAAGAATTTATGGGCATATTTTAAAACCACCACAGTATGTATAGCTGTATCTCATTCATTTGCATGTTTGCACTGTGTTACATAGTAGGGATATACCGTAATTTTTCCTTAGCCATGCCCCCATTTGTGGTTATTTTTACTCTTCTAAACAGTGCTGCAGTGAACATAAATACACACCTTTAGCAGCTTGAGCTAGGATTTAGCTAGATTCTTAGAAGTGGGATTGTCGAGTCAGTAGGTGTTGGGTTCTGAGGGCCTGAGAGGTAGCTCTCCTGTAACTAAAAAACCTCAATGTGTACTAACATGTTTTATCTTTCAGCTCTGTTCTGGGTAGATTGTTCAGAAAGGTATTGGAGTTAATCATTGCATGATGCCAGACTCATGGAAACATAAAACATCTTAAAACATAGCTCTTAGGATAAAAATTTTAAATACTGTGAGAAATGAATGAAATAGAGCTAAAGATGTCAACATGAGTGAAATTCATAAACATAATATTGAGTGCAAAAAGCAAATACATTTTGCATGATGCTATTTATATAAAATTTTAATGTATGAAAAGCACGGTATTATGTTGCTTAGAAATAGATTGGTGTGAAGTAAAAATAAAGAGAAATGTGTGAGAATGATAAACCCAGAATTCAAGATAGTGGTTATTCTGAAAGGGATGCAGTTGAGGAGGGGCACACTTTTTGGGGATTTCCTAATTGGCAGAATGATGAGAACACAGATGTTTGTGTTATTCTCTTCACTTTTTTTTTCCTTTTATTTGGAGATGGAGTGTTGCTCTGTCAACCAGGCTGGAGTGCAGTGACACAATCTCGGCTCACTGCAACCTCCCCCTGCCAGGTTCAAGCGATTCTCCTGCCTCAGCCTCCCGAGTAACTGGGATTACAGGCGTGTGCCACCACACCTGGCTAATTTTGTATTCTTTAGTAGAGACAAGGTTTCGTCATGTTGGCCAGGCTGATCTCAAACTCCTGACCTCAAGTGATCCACCTGCCTTGGCCTCCCACTGTGTTGGGGTTACAGGCATGAGCCACCACACTCGGCCATTCTTTCCACCTTTACCATCAACATTAGTGATGAAGTGTGTACACTGTATTGATTGATGATGATTCTAGTGCAGTGAAGATAGTGGTAAAATTAATGCCTAATCAATATGTACAGTTAATATCAAATACGCCAGACTCTAGAATTCAGGTAGATTTTTGTTAAGAAACACTAAACTAATGACAAGAGCACCAGGCTCAGAGCAGCTCAAAGACCTAAGTTAAAGTGTCTTCACTGCCACCTCCAACAGCACTTCAGGGCATTTATTTAACCTTCTGGGTCAGTTTTCTCATCTGCAAATTGGGAGGAGCAAACCCATCTCCCATTGATGTTCTACAGATCATGCGAAATTTTTTAAAAATTAAAAATATGAAAAGCATCTAGCATGGTGACTGCACACAGCATATGTTCAATATTTGCTTCCTCCTTCCCCAGATTACTGCCATCTTCAGTTTGGTACCATTACTAACATTAAACAATATGTGTTTTTAGTAACTGGCGAAGTTTCCATTTTTCCTTTGTCTTGCAAGAAAACATGTTCAGTATTAAATATTAAATTTTCTAGTGCCTTTACACAATGAATTAAAATTATTTACTAGTATACTAAACTGTACAGTTGTCATCTCTAGGGATTTCTTTTGTGCTGACATTCGAGCAGACAGTTTTTTTTTTTGCTGACTGAATATCTCTTTGTTGTGGTGCTTTGAGCTTGTTAATGACCAAATTCTTATGTGGCAGCTGCACATTACACATGCTTATTCCCCGTGTTTAGACCATAAATCTTCTGTAACTGAGTGACAGCACCACCTGCACAGCCTTTCAGGGTTGCAAATACAGCTCTAATAATGTTATTTCAAAATATTCCAGATGTGTTTTTTCACACATTTTAGTCCCGCTGTGACAATAAAATGATATTTTAGAGTATGAGAAGTTGTTGTTGTTATTATTTCATGTGGATTTTATAATGGAGACAGACTGATAGTATGTCTTGTATGCAGGTTTATAGAACATGGCATATCAAGAGTATTTGGTACATACCCAGTGGAGGTTTATAAAATACTTGGAGTAATTCTGAGCTTGTTTATGTTGTTATTTTTCTGCCTAAAGTCTGTTTATCCCCTAGTTTTTTTGTTGTTGTTTTCTTTCGAGATGGAGTCTTGCTCTGTCACCCAGGCCGGAGTGCAGTGGCACCATCTTGACTCACTGCAACCTCCGCCTCCTGAGTTCAAGCAATTCTTGTGCCTCAACCTCCAGAGTAGCTGGGATCACAGGCATGCACCACCCCACCTGGGTAATTTTTGTATTTTTGCAGAGACAGGGTTTCACCATGTTGGCCAGGCTGGTTTTGAACTCCTGACCTCAAGTGACCCACCCGCCTTGGCCTCCCAAAGTGAGCCACCAGGCCCGGTGGCCCCCTAGTTTTATCATTCTTAGTCAGCAATGTGTTAAAGGTTAACAGTGGAACATTGACACATTCACTCATCTGTCCTAACCAAAGCTTCTTGACTTTGTGATACTGCTCCTTGTGACTGGCAGCCTAATAGTGATGAAGTGCAGGGACTCCTTAGCCAACCTGAGGAAGTCTAAATCTTGGCTCCTCCCCTTACTAGTTTGTGACCCTAGGCAAGTTACTCAACCTCTTTGTGCCTTAGTTTCATCTGTAAAATGGGGATGACAATAACATCTGCCTCCTAGGGTTATGAAAATTACAAATGTTTATAAAATACTTAGAACAGCGTTCGGTGCAGAATGAGCACTGTTGAAGTATTCTTTGAATACTGCTGGGACAGACAGATACCTATAGAGCACACAGGGCTCAGCTTTTGTGAGCTCATTCCAGGTCAGATCTATGCCTAGACAGTAAAAGACATTTGCTGTTCTCTTAGTCACGTTAGTAATACAAACTGATAAGAATAGTGAGGAATATAAAACATTAACAATGATGCTTTCCCTTTGGCCAAACCTAACCAGAAGCCTTGGGGGGCAAGGGAGCCTGTCAGTGCAGTCTGTAAGTGTCACCTCTCAGGGCAGAGAGCAGGCTGGATGAGGATGGGGAAGGGATCTGGAGATGCAAATAGTTTCTAAGACAGAGTGTCTTAACTCCTATATAATTCATGTTTGTGCATATTTTTATATAAAAACCATTCTTCCCCATTGCCTTCCAGTATACTTTCTAAGTTTCTACAGAACGAAATTTGGCCTCAGCATGTAACTGGAAGGGAATATAAAAGTTCTGAGTTGCTTACAGTGTATTTCCTGGATTAATATTTCAAGGCTTAAAACAAGGGAGAAGCAGTTCATTTTCTGCCTAATCCATAAAAGCCATTCCAAGCATGGGAGAAATGTTGAAGAGCTGATGGATAGAATTGATAATGCTGCCTTGCAGCTAGAAATGCAGGCAGAACTACCCACCCCATCTTAATACCTCTAATCCACACTAATAATTTGTGTTCCTAAATAGAAAAATTGAATTCTCCTTTTAGATTAAATAAATCTGTTCCTTATTCAGCCATCTCATTATTCTTCTAATAGAGACCTATTGAGCTCACTTTACTATTTATGTCTTCAAGGGTATAATGCTAGTGTGGAATATACTGACTTTTAAAAGTAGTTTAAAAAATGCTTTTAAAAAGCCATTGTCTAACAGACTGGACACGCAGTTGCCCTGGGGAGTTTAGGTAGCTGAGAGCTGATGAAGGAGGAGACTTTCTAGTTCTCTTGGTGATTTCTTGCTAGAGTACCATTTAAAACTCCTTCTGGAGGTTTGTGAAGGAACCTTTCTTGCCTCACACCATTGGATTAATTTCATGTCCAGGCAGGTATACAAGGTACATGATTAACCCTGGTTTGACAATTGATGTTGATAGCTAAAAGTACTTATTCAGGATATGAGGAAACATGAATAAGGATTGAAATTAAATATGGATGAATGAATGAATGAACGTTTTTAGTACAACGTGTACCTTAATTTTTAGAATAGTAAACATGAAAAGCCATAAACTTGAATGCATGCACTTTTTGTTTTTCTTTTATTTTAGGCTCGAGGGTACATGTGCAGATTTGTTACATGGGTAAATCATGTGTGACGGGTTTGGTGTACAGATTATTTCATCACGCAGGTAATGAGCGTAGTACTCAATAGGTAGTTTTTCCATCCTCATCCTCCTCCCTGGTCCTACCCTCAGGCAGGTGTTGGTGTGTTATTCTTCCCTTCTTAGTGTCCATTGTGTACTCATTGTTTAGCTCTCACTTATAATTGAGAACATGCAGTATTTGATTTTCTGTTTCTGTGTTAATTTGCTTAGGATAATGCCTTCCAGCTGCATCCGTGTTGCTGCAAAGGATGTGATTTCATTCCTTTTTATGGCTGTGTAGTATTCCATGGTGTATATTATTAATACCACATTTTCTTTATCCAGTCCGCCACTGTTGGGTATCTAGGTTGATTCCATGTCTTTGCTATTGTGAATAGTGCTGCAGTTAACGTATGTGTGCATGTGTCTTTATAATGATTTATATTTTGGGTATATACCCAGTAATGGGATTGCTAGGTCAAATGGTAGTTCTATTGTAAGTTCTTTGTGAAATCTTCAAACTGCTTTCCACAGTGGCTGAACTAATTTACATTCCCACCAGCGGTGTATAAGCATTCCTTTTTCTCCATGGCCTTGCCAGTATCTGTTATTTTTTTATTTTTTACCATTCTGACTGGTGTGAGATGCTTTCTCACTGTGGTTTGATTTGCATTTCTCTAATAATTATGTTGAGCATTTTTTTAATATGCTTGTTGGCTGCATGTGTATGTTTTCTTTTGGGAAGTGTCTGTTCATATCCTTTCAATAAGGGTTGTTTTTTGCCTGTTCATTTAAGTTTCTTATAGATTCTAGATATTAGACCTTTGTCAGATGCATAATTTGCAAATATTTTCTCCCATTCTATAGGTTTTCTGTTTACTTTGTTGATAGTTTCTTTTGCAGTACAGAAGCTCTTTAATTAGGTTGCACTTTTCAACTTTAGCTTTTGTTGCAGTTGCCTTTGGTGTCTCTGTCATGAAAGCTTTGACAGGGCTAATGGCCAGAATGGTGTTTCCTAGGTTTTCTTCTAGGGTTTTATTTTTTTTTTCTGCTTCCCTCCCTTCCTGTCTTCTAGGGTTTTTATAGTTTTAGGTTTTACATTTAAGTCTTTTTAATTCATCTTGAGTTGATTTTCATATATGGTGAAAGGAAGGGGTCCAGTTTCAATCTCCTGCTTATGGCTAGCCAGTTATCCCAGTACCATTTATTGAATAGGGAGTCCCTTCCCCATTGCACTTTTTTTTTTTAAACTTTATCAAAGATCAGATGGCTGTAGTTGTGAGGCTTTATTTCTGGGTTATCTAACCTGTTCCATTGTTCCGTGTATCAGTTTCTGTACCGATACCATGCTGTTTTGGTTACTGTAGTCTTGTAGTATAGTTTAAAGTCAGGTAGCATGATGACTCTAGCTTTGTTCTTTTTGCTTAGGATTGCTTTGGCTAGTTGGGCTCTCTTTTGGATCCATATGAATTTTAGAAGAGCTTTTTTCCACTTACGGTGGTTTGATATCAATAGCACTGAATCTGTAAATTGCTTTGGGCAGTATGGCCATCTTAATAATATTGATTCTTTCTCTCCATGAGCAAGGAATGGTTTTCTATTTGTGTTATATCTGATTTCTTTGAGCAGTGTTTCATAATTCTCGTTGTAGAGATCTTTCACCTCCCTGGTTAACTGTATTCCTAGGTATTTGTATGTTTGTGGTGGGGGAAGGGAGTGCTGCTGTGAATGGGATTGCATTCTTGATTTGGCTCTCAGCTTGGGCATTATTGGTGTATAGAAATGTTACTGATTTCTGTACATTGATTTTGCATCCCGAAACTTTGCTGAAATTGTTAATCAGATCTAGGAGCCCTTGGGCAGAGACTGGGGTTTTCTAGTTAGAGAATCATCATCTGCAAAGAGAGAGTTTGACTTTCTCTTGGTTACCTGTTATGACTTTTTCTTGGTTTCCTGTTATTTCTTTCTCTTGTCTGACTGCCTAGGACTTCCAGTACTGTCTTGAATAGGAGTGGTGAGAGTGGGCATTTTTGTCTTGTTCTGGTTCTCAAAGGGAGTGCTTCCAGCTTTTGGCCACTCAGTATGATGTTAGCCGTAGGTTTGTCATAGATGGATCTTATTATTTTGAGGTATGTTTCTTTAATACCTAGATTGTTGAGGGTTTTTAACATAAAGGGATTTTGAATTTTATTAAAAGCCTTTTCTTTGTTTACTGAGATGATCGTGGTTTTTTTAGTTCACATTATGTGATAAATCACGTTTATTGATTTGCCTATGTTTAACCAACCTTGCATCCCAAGAATAAAGCCTACTTGATCATGGTGGATTAGCTTTTTGATGTGCTGGTGGATCAGTTTGCTAGTATTTTCTTGAGGATTTTTGTATCTATGTTTATCAGGGATATTGGCCTGAAGTTTTCTTTTTTTGTTGTGTCTTTGCCAGGTTTTGGTATCAGAATGTTGCTAGCCTTATAGAATGAGCTAGGGTAGAATCTCTTCTTAATTTTTTGGAATAATTTTATATTTTA
The DNA here is from genome assembly GCF_000001405.40 of Homo sapiens. Classification (NCBI taxonomy): domain Eukaryota; kingdom Metazoa; phylum Chordata; class Mammalia; order Primates; family Hominidae; genus Homo; species Homo sapiens. The sequence continues at coordinate 102,416,591 of NC_000011.10, read as the reverse complement.
TTAATATATGTCTGGTAGAACTTGACTGTGAATCGGTCTGGTCCAAGGCTTTTCCTGATTGGTAGATTTTTTTTTATTACTGATTTTATGTCAGAACTCATTATTGATCTGTTCAGGGTTTCAGTTTCTTCTTGGTTCAGTCTTGGGAGGTTGTGTGTTTCTGAGAATTTATCCATTTCTTCTTCCAGGCTTTCCAGTTTGTATACGTAGTGGTGTTCATAATAGTCTCTGAGGGTTTTTTGTATTTCTGTAGGGTTGGTGGTAATGTTTCCTTTATCATTTCTGATTGTGTTTATTTGGCTCTTCTCTCTTTTTTCTTTATTAGTCTAGCTGGAGTCTGTCAATCTTATTTATTCTTTCAAATAACCAACTTTTGGGCTGGGCATGGTGCCTCACACCTTGTAATCCCAACACTTTGGGAGGCCAGGGTGAGTGGATCACCTGAGGTCGGGAGTTTGACACCAGCCTGGCCAACATGGTAAAACTCTGTCTCTACTAAAAATACAAAAATTAGCTGGGTGTGGTGGCACATACCTGTAGTCCCAGGTACTTGGGAGGCCGAGGCAGGAGAATCACTGGAACCCAGAAGGTGGAAGTTGCAGTGAGCTGAGACTGCACCATTGCACTCCAGCCTGGGCAACAGAGCAAGACTCCATCTCAAAAATAATGATGATAATAATAATAATAATAATAACAACCACCAACTTTTGGTTTCATTGATCTTTTGTATGTTTTTTCACATCTCAATTTCATTGAGTTCAGCTCTGATTTTGGTTATTTCTTTTCTTCTGCTAGGACTGGGGTTGGTTTACTTTTGTTTTTCTAGTTCCCCTAGGTGTAAAGTTAGGTTGTTAATTTGAGGTCTTTCTAACATTTTCATGTGGGCATTTAGAGCTGTAAACTTTCCTCTTAACACTGCTTTAGCCATGTCTCACAGATTCTGATATGTTGTGGCTTTGTTTTCATTAGTTTCAAAGAATTTTTTTATTTCTGCCTTAATTTCATTGTTTACCCCAAAGTTAGTAATGAGCAGATTGTTTAATTTCCTTTAAGAGATCTTCCTGGTACTGATTTAAATTTTTATGCTGTGGTCTGAGGGTGTGGTTGGTATGATTTTGAGAATCGTAATTTGTTGAGAATTGCTTTATGGCTGAGCATTTGGTATGTGTCATGTGCAGTTTTAGAGTATGTGCCTTGTGCAGATGAGGAGAATGTATATTCTGTTGTTGGGTGGAGTGCTCTGTAGATATCTGTTAGATCCATTTGGTCAAGTGTTGAGTTCAGGTCCCAAATATCTTTGTTAGTTTTCTGCTTCAGTGATCTGTCTAATACTGTCAGTGGGGTTTTGAAGTCCGCCACTATTGTGTGGTTATCTTAAGAGTCTATAGGTCTCTGAGAACTTGTTTTATGAATCTGGGTTCTCCAGTGTTGAGTGTATATTTATATGGGATAGTTAAGTTGTCTTGTTGAGGTAACCCTGTATCATTATGTAATGCCCTTCTTGGTCCTTTTTGATTGTTATTGGTTTAAAGTTTGTCTGAAATAAGAATAGCAACCTCTGTTGTTTTTTGATTTACATTTGCTTGATTTTTCTTTATCCCTTTATTTTGAGCCCGTGGGTGTCATTGCAGGTGAGACTGGTCTCTTGAAGCTAGCTTACGATTAGGTTTTGCTTCTTTATCCAATTTGCCATTCTGTACCTTTTAAGTGGAGCATCTAGTTGGTTTACATTCAAGGTTAACATTGATATGTGTGGATGTGATCCTGTTACTGTGTTGTTAACTGGTTTCTATGTAAACTTGGTTGTGTAGTTGCTTTGTAGTGTCATTGGTCTGTGTACATAAGTGTGTTCTTGTGGTGGCTTGTAATAGCCCTTTATTTCCATGTTTATCCCTCTCTTAAGGACCTCTTCTAAGGCAAGTCTGGTGGTAATGGATTCCCTTAGTGCTTGCTTGTCTGAAATGAATTTTATTTTTCCTTTGCTCATGAAGTTTAGCTTAGCTAGATACGACATTCTTGGTTGAAATTTCTCTTCTTTAAGGGTGCCGAATATAGGCCCCCAATCTCTTCTGGCTTAGAGGGTTTCTGCAGAAAGGTCTGCTGTTAGCCTGATGGGGTTCCCTCTGTAAGTTACCTGCCCCTTCTCTCTGTCTTTAGTATTTTTCCTTTTGTGTTGGCCTTGGAGAATCTGATGACTATATGTCTTGGGGATGGTTGTCTTGTATGGTATCTTGCAGGAGTTTTCTGAGTTTCCTGAATTTGAAAGTTGACCTCTTTAGTGAGTTTGGGGAAATTTTCATGGACAGTATCCTCAAATATGTTTTCCAGATTGCTTGTTTTCTCTCCCTCTCTTTCAGGGATGCCAGTGAGTTGTAGGTTTTTGTCTCTTTACATAATCCCATATTTCTAGGAAGTTATCTTCATTTCTTTTCATTCTTTTTTGTTTCTTTGTCTGACTGAGTTGATTGAAAGAACTAGTCTTTGAGCTCTGAGTCTCTTTCCTCAGATTGGTCTCTTCTGTTGTTAATACTTGAAATCCTTGTCATGAATTTTTCAACTCTATCAAATCAGTTAGGTTCTTTCTTAAAATTGCTATTTTGTGTTTCAGCCCTTGTGTCATTTTACTGGATTCCTTAGGTTCCATGGATTGGGCTTCAACTTTGTCCTGAATCTTGATCTTTGTTGCCCTCCAGATTCTTAATTCCATGTCTGATGTTTTAACCATTTCAGTCTCATTAAGAACCATTGCTGGAGAGGCAGTATGGTTCTTTGGAGGTAAGAAGACACTGCAGCTTTTTGAGTTGCCAGAGTTCTTGCGCTGGTTCTTTCTCAGCTGTGTGGGCTTTGAAGTTGCTGTCCTTTGAGGCTTTTGCTTTTATATTCTTTGATGCCCTTGATTTGACTGTGGCATAAGTTGGGTTCATTTGACTGGCTTTATTTCAGAATGCTTTCAGGGGGCCAAGGCTTAGCTCAGCACTCCGGGGCTGTGTGCTCTAACCCTGGAGGTCTGGGACCAGGCCTACAGCTTTGTTTTCTGGCCCCTCGAAGTTAAGCACCTGCCGTGCTGGAGGGACTTAGGTGTTCCTGGTCCACTGGCAATAACATTCCAATGTGGGGGTGCCAGCAAAAGCACTTTGCCAGGACGGTGGCAGCAGGGTCCATGTGTATGTGCCAGTGGTGATGGGGTGGTGGGGTCCGTGCACATGTACACCAGTGGTGCATGCACTTTTAATTAAACTTATCTAGCTAGAGGAACCATCTCGAGATGGTTTCCAACAGTTTTGACAGAGCAAGTTTTTCCAAGTTCTTTCTCTTGGTGTGGATTAACACATACCTTAATAGAAACTTCTGAAGTATAAGTCTCACATTTAAGAGGAATACAGCCTTCAAAAGTTCTTAAATTTCTCTGAAATGGAAACATTTGTATGAGTTGCTGGAAGATGGTGTGCATTTTTTAAGCTTACTCTCACATCAAAAGTTCATTTTACCTTTCTTTCCAATATATGCATTTTTGCTATAAATCTCTCTAAGCATAACTTGAGTTGCATCCCACAAGTTTTTAGGTCATAGGTTCCTTATCAAAATATTTTTAAATTAATTTTTTTACTTTATCAATAATTGAGAAATATGTTACTTATTTTCTCATCCTTTGGGAATTAGCGTGTGAAGATTTCTGTAGTTTTTAGGTACATTGAAGGTATGTGAAGAAGTCAGATTTGTTAACATTGTTGAGAACCTGTCATTTCCTTATGAATTTCTTGGGGTCTGTTCTTTTGCTTAGAGATGTTGACAAAAGTCCAACTCTATAAAAAGTATCTACTTTTCTCCATCAGGTCTATCGTATTTTGTTTTATATATTTCTCATCTTGTATATGAAATATATTTTCCTGTTAGATTAATCCATTTATGAGATGTCTTTTCTTTTTAAAAAATTTCTAGTGATACTTTTCACCTTAAAGACTTGCATATGATATTAATAGAGTTGTTATCTTTTTTTTCTGGCCAGTAGTTGTATTGTAAAATTTCTTTTCTTTACTCTTACTTTCAATACTTTTTAGCATTTCTATATCTTATATTTAAGTTGTATTACTTATAAACAGTTAAATCCAGTCTCATAATCTCTGTCTTTTAAATGGCCTGTTGATTCTGTTTGCTTTTGTTTTTGAAATGGAGTTTTGCACTGTTGCCCAGGCTGGAGTGCAATGGTACGATCTCGGCTCACTGCAACCTCCGCCTCCTGGGTTCAAGTGATTCTCCTGCCTCAGCTTCCTGAGTAGCTGGGATTACAGGCATGCGCCACCATGCCCTAATTTTGTATTTTTAGTAGAGACAGGGTTTCACCATGTTGGGTCAGGCTGGTCTTGAACTCTTGACCTCAGATGATTCGCCTCCCTTGGGCCTCCCAAAGTGCTGGGATTACAGGCATGAGCCACCGTGCCTGGCCTCTATTTGCTTTTAATATACCTTTAATATGATGTATAGACTGGTTCTTGAACATGAGTAGAATTTCGCAGAGCTGAGAATGGGTGGGAAGCAGCCCAGGCACCTGAAGTAACATAACAAAGCAACAGAAATAAAAATGAACTGCCTGCTAGGGGATAGGTGGTAGATAGATCTTCCTCCTGGGGCAGAAGGGTAGGCAGCAGAGGGCAACTGGGGCCTTGTCTGTAATGGTGAAGAGTTCAGACATACCTTGGGTGCCCCCCAACTGTATATGCTCCAGACTGTGCTAGGCACTTGCACACGTTTTCCCAGAACTGTGTCTGACACTTTGATAGAATGAAATGAAAATATAAGACATCGTTCTTACAATTAATTCATTTGAAAAGATAAACAAGACCTGGGAAAATACTGTTTCTCTATAATCATACGGCACTTCCGACACCAGATGTGTGTTTTTTTTTTTTCCCACCTCTGCCAGTTCTCAGACATCAGCTGAGTGTCCTACAATCCAATTCAGTTCTGACTCTATCTACTACCTATCTGGATTTAGTGTCAGATCCCACCAGTTAAGGTCTCAGCCCACAAGACTGCCCTCAGTTTAGATGCTAATTGCACGTTCAGCTCTTGTACTCCTAATTAACTATAAATCAGGCTTTCCCATAACCCCCTCCTTGGGTTAGATAATTTGCTAGAATGGCTCCCAGAACTCAAGGAAACACTTTATTTACATTTATTGGTTTATTATAGAGGATATAACTCAGGAGCAGCCAAATGGAAGAGATGGTTAGGGTAAGGTCTGGGTGTGGAGGAATGGTGCGCAGAGCTTCGATACGCTCTCTGGGAACACCGCCGTCTCAGCACCTCCATGTGTTCACCAACTCAGAAGCCCCTCAGATCTCAGTACAGGAGTTTTTATAGAGCTTAATTTCTAGCTTTCCCAAAGGTTGATGGATGGGGCTGAAACTTCCAACCCGCTAATCACCTGGTATTTCTGGTGAGGAGCCCATCCTGAGGCTATCTGTGGGCCCTATGCTATGGCAGTTGATTAGCCAAAAACTCAGGTTTGAGCAAAAGGGGGGGTCCTCATGAATAACCAAAGACGCTCCCATCATTCAGGAAAATCCCAAGGGATTTTAGAAACTCTGTGCCAGGAACCAGGGACAAAGACCAAATATATTTTGTATTGTAACACACAAGATACATTAATTTTTAAAATAATAATAAAAGTTCAGAAAAATGAACAGTAGGTGTTCGATAGAAAGGAAATTGCCTGAGGAGGAGGTGAAAATCAAACTGGCCCCTGGCATACATATTGTAACTGTGTTGTTTCCTTCTTGTCCTTACTAGACCACCCTCCATGCTGATAAGGATCACGTCTCTTCTGTGTGTGCAGAGCCTCCTAGCATAGTTCTCGGTACAGAGAAGGTACTAAACCAGCCTATGGAAAGACATGAGGGAGGAGCAAGCTGTCAGCCTAACAGGGGTGTGATAAGGAGGAATAGCAGAGTGAATTCTGCTCCCTGGAGAGCAAGGATGCCAGGATGAGAGGCTTGGGGAGTTTTGAGCAGGAACAGAGGGAAAATATCAGTCTAGCCTGATGCTCTTGTGGCTGTGATTCATGCTTTTTTTTTTTTTTTGTAACTAACAGGGGTTATTGTGGATTGAGTCTGTGGAAACGGAATGGAATGGGCAAGACCTATGGGAAAAGCGTAAGGAAGCCTGGACACTGTCTACAGTGCCCCGTCAACTTTGCCCATCTGGTAGTCTCATCCCCTAGGAAGCCAGGCTGCTTTTCTCACCCTCTCTGCTCAGCTTCTTTGCAGTTCAATTCCAGTTCTGGGAATGAACAGGATCACCTTTCAGGCTATGTTTCCTTACACAGACCTGAACTATGTCTCGGTTGTTAGTTCTCATCGTCCTTAAGACAGGTCATTATCACTTTAACTGGAAGTGCCTCTTTCATTTATTGCCAGAGGAAACAAACATCCTATTTATGTTCATAGATATTAGTGGAATGAATGATAGTTTAACTAAAATGTGGTAGTAAATTTACTGCAGATATACTGTAACTTATTGGAATCCCTAGTTGTTACTTTTCTGTGATCATATACAATTGTTTTTCCCTTTTTAAATTTTAGTTTTTGAGTTTAAAAATTCAGGAATTTATAAAACATTTTCAGAAAATGTACAGTTCTTTATCATGATGTGACTTTTTTTAAGCTCAGTTTTCTCTTAGATTTTTTTTTTTTTTGAATCTAGATTTATCTAGTTTGTTTGTTTGTTTGTGACGGAGTCTTGCTCTGTCACCCAGGCTGGGGAGCAGTAGCGTGATCTCGGCTCACTGCAACCTCTGCCTCCCAGGTTCAAGCAATTCTCCTGCCTCAGCCTCCCGGATTACAGACGCCCGCCACCATGCCCAGCTAATTTTTATATTTTGAGTAGAGACAAGGTTTCACCATGTTGGCCAGGCTGGTCTCGAATTCCTGACTCGGGTGATCTGCCCGCCTGCCCGCCTGGGCCTCCCAAAGTGCTGGGATTACAGGTATGAGCCACCACACCCGGCCTGTCTAGGTTTTTTAAAAGATCTTTTTTTTTTTAATCTAGATTTTCAATAGTGTGGATTTTTGATCTCCAGGTAATTTGAATTCAGAAGAATGTTTAGAATGAATCTGTTGACTCCGTGCAATGAGGAAAGGCCTCTTTGCTTTCTAAGCAATGAATGTTTCTGGAATTACACTGATATTTAGTTGATGGGGTAAGGTTGTAAATTCTATAGGAAAGAGATTCTCAAGGTTTTCATGTTTTAAAAAATTCCCAGAACCCCATATAAGAGTTCTTAAATTTACTCAAGCTGCAGACCATTCTTAGAATCACAGACCCCTCAAAATAACTATGGCACCAGAAATTTATGGTTTATGTCTTGAATAGCTTAGTACTTTTGACAACTATACTAGGAAATGAAAAGCTGCTACTGTCCCATTTAAAAATAACTGAGATTTTTAAAAATTGGATGTGTATTTTCAACTCTGGTTTAAGTGTGTATTTGATGCCCTGATGAAAACAAATTGTCATCCTTAACTTTGAGATATTTAGGTTAAAGGAGAATAATATTATTAAATATTTAATAAATATTTTTGGACTCAAGGTTATAGGAATAAGGTTAAGTTATTTCAACACAGCAGAGATAGTCGGAATGAATCCAGACTTTGAGGAGTACTTTTACTTGAAACTAGAAAAATGGACTGCTTCACAGTGTCCTTGGCCTTGTTGCAATATGGTGGCTGTCTGGTATTAACAGAAAAAGGTCTGGGCCTCACTTTCTTCTTTTTGGGTGTTTGCATTGATAAATCAAAAATATCCCAGTAGTGTGTTCTTCCATAAGATGTTACTCGGATGGTAGTTACGGTAACCATGGGAGCTCGGATATCTCACAGTGCCTACTCCTCAGCCTCCCATAGGGAATTGTACAGTGCAGCTCTGTAGGGGAGTTACATTTAATGAAATTAATGGTTATAAAGAATTAATTGAGCACTTCTCAGGGACTGTGGGAAGTACTTAACACAGATTATATCAGTGAATTCTCCCAGACTCTTGTGATAGCCCTGATTTATAGACCAGAAAGGGTAGTGAATCTCAGAGAGATTAAGTAACTTGCCTAAGGTACCCAAGCAAGTAAATTGCTGAGCTGATCCAGAGCTTGAGCTTATACTCACCATGCCTAGGTAACATTACCAGGCTTGGTAAAAAGAAGAGCCAGCAAATGGAAGCTCTAATTCTAATCACAGAAAAATTAGGAGTAATAATTTTACCACCAAACAGGAATGAAGAACTGATTGGGCTGTTGGAATATATTTTTTACAGCAGTGCCAGACATCACTCATAGCCACGTGTGCATTCTTTGTCGTCTTTCACTGTGGGCTGAACACTGCAGCTGCTGGGAAGGAAGGTGCATGGATGGTGTTATTACAGCCCTTTGCTTCATTTTTCCTGTAATTATGTTAGTTGAAACCAGGAGTTAAATAGAGAAGTTCTTATATCTCTGATTGACATCTATAGATAATCTCAACTTTCATTAAAACAAGTTTTGTGAGTGGTTTGACAAGTATTTATGGACTTACTTCATATCATGGTGACTAGTTTCAAAGATCTGCAAAAGGAACCAGCTCAATAGAATCACTAGTGCCAGTTGTACCGTTGCACAGAGACATATTTTTTATAAATGAAAAAACCTTTGAAGCTGAGTGTATTAATTTGCTTGGGCTGCAGAAACAAAGTACCAGAAACTGGGTGGCTTAAACAACAGAAATTGATTGTCTCACAGTTCGGGAGGCTGGAGTCAGAGGTGAAGGTGTTTACAGGGTTGCTTCCTTCTGGGGGCTTTGAGAGAATCTGTTCCATGCCTCTCCTCTGGCTTCTGGCGGTTTGTGGCAATCCATGGCATTCCCTGGCTTGTAGAGACATCACCATGATCTCTGTCTTCATCTTCACAGGGTGTTCTTTGTGTGTGTTTGTGTGTCTGTCTCCAACTTTTCACTTTTAATAAGGTCACCAACCATAATGGATAAATAAGCCTAACCTAATGACTTAATGACCTTTGTAAAGATTCTCTCTCCAAATAAGGTCACATTCTGAAGTACTGTGAGTTAGGACTTCAAAGTATGAATTTGGGCAGGGTGGAGAGGGGAACAATTCAACCCTTAACACTGAGCATGGACAACTGTATGTCACACACAGCCTTCCCCTGGTGGCTCTACCCTCCCAACTGCACTAGCTGAGGTGTTATAGATAGAATGTCCAATTCACTGAATAAGTTCTATTTAGTAGGGTGCAGCTCCTGTCCAGAATAATACCAAAATAATAAAACTCTACAGTGATTCAAAATTGAAACTTGTCCCTTCTGCCAGCCCAGGCCTACTTCGGGCTTAGAAGCCTTGCAGTGGCAAAGCTAATGTTGTTGACTTCCTTGTTCCACCTCTTCTCCTCACTTCTGCTGTTTGCCACCCTTATGGAATCAGGCCTAGAGAGGCTTAAGGGACAAAAGCTGTTTGGTTGATGGCTGGGATGTTTTCATTTGGCACAGGTGCCCTCTGGATGGCAGATGTGTGGTTCTCATTGGTAGGTTCCTGGGAGATCCTCCTGCTAAGCCTCCCCCTTCAGCTCTTGGTGCAGTGGGCCTCTCCTCCAGCTGGCCCTTGCTTTTGGTGCTCCACCCCCTACTGGTGACCTCCCCCTCTCTAAGCTGTACTCTCTTGGGAAGCTATCTTTTTTTTTTTTTTTTTTGACGGAGCCTCGCTCTGTTGCCCAGGCTGGAGTGCAGTGGCGCAATCTCAGCTCACTGCAAGCTCTGCCTCCCAGGTTCACGCCATTCTCCTGCCTCAGCCTCCCGAGTAGCTGGGACTACAGGCGCCCGCCACCATGCCCGGCTAATTTTTTATATTTTTGGTAGAGACGGGGTTTCACTGTGTTAGCCAGTGATCGATCTCCTGACCTCGTGATCTACCCACCTCAGCCTCCCAAAGTGCCGGGATTACAGGTGTGAGCCACTGCACTCGGCCCCAGGAAGCTATCTTTTTTAAGGCAATCTCATGTCAGTTATCTTCCATGGAGTTTGATTTGGTCCATGGGAAACAAGAACCTTTGCTGTTAGTGGAGGTGTGGTCTACTCCCAGTGCAGCCTTTTAAACTTAGCTGATGGGTAGATAGAGCTCAGTCACAGTGTCTCATGTTTGTTAAGGCTTGAATCAAATCCTACTGTCTGTGTCCATCCAAGTCCAGTAGATGCTTGTCCAGCTCTTCAGGTAGTGCCCTAGAAGCCTTCCCAGGCTGGTGTAAGGTGGAGGATGGCATTCTCCTCTTTACCCCCATAGACAGAGGAGGGAGTGGACACCCTGCACACTGACACCCTCCAGCAACATATGCGCCTCAGATTCTTCAACCTTAGCTTATCGGAGGCTGGAGGAGACTGAGTGGCTAAGATGGGCAGACTTAGATAAAGCTTCACCCCTTGCAAGTCCCACAGGGATGGTCCATTCTGCATCTCTTTGCAGGTGTTAACTGTGCCACTCCTAGAGGTGCCAGTCAGCATTTCAACAGTTAAGGGAGAGGGAAGAAGACCAGAGTTGGGATGGTATCATTTGCAGAGGAAAACAAGTGACTATTTACTTATTACAGAAGAAGATTGGGTCATCCAATGTGAATTTGGAGAGCATCCTTGCATTTCATTTATGCTTAAAAGCATCAGGAAACACAGTTTAATGCAAAATTTCCTTTTGCCTGTTTTGTCAATTCATAGAAATCGACAAAGAAATTGACATAGAAATTGACAAAATTTTTTGTTTCTTTAGCACATTTGGATTGACTTAGCGGAGAACTAACCTATTATAGCTTCCTATTTTGGCCCATGTGACTTTGTACAGTATCTTTGAAGAATGTTTTATTATACCAGAGGGCAGGGGGAGGGGTGTGTGTGTGTGTTGAATCCGAAAGCAGCATTGTGTTCATTGTTTTATTCTGCGGGATCATTCTATTCTAAAGATAGGATATAAACGTTGGTTCTTTGCTGTATTTAATTTCATTGCAATAGAATCCATTCAGCATTTTTAAATAAAAGGTGATTATTTTAATGTTAAATTCTATTACTTATATCTCTATAGAACATTCAGACTTGAATAAGAAAAGATTAGTTCAAGTTCATTTGAACTTAGTGCATTTGTATTACCTACTTGGATATTTATTATTTATTTGCCTATGTAGTATAAAAGCGTTAATTCCTTTGGCCTTATTAAGAAAATAGATCAGGCCGGGCACGGTGGCTCACACCTGTAATCCCAGCACTTTGGGAGGCTGAGGCGGGCAGATCACAAGGTCAGGAGATCAGATCGAGACCATCCTGGCTAACAAGGTGAAACCCCGTCTCTAATAAAAATACAAAAATTAGCCAGGCGTGGTGGTGGGCGCCTGTAGTCCCAGCTACTCAGGAGGCTGAGGCAGGAGAATGGCGTGAACCTGGGAGGCGGAGCTTGCAATGAGCTGAGATCACGCCACTGCACTCCAGCCTGGGCAACAGAGCAAGACTCTGTCTCAAAAAAAAAAAGAAAAAAGAAAATAGGTCATACTCAGTAGAAGAGATCACAGAGACCCAAAGTTGAAGAAAGTAGTAGAAATTCCAGTAGTAAAACCCGATATGCAAGTAAGCAGCACTATTAAAACCAACTTGTTTTGACAGTTAAGTCAAAAATAAATATAGCTGGGGCCGAGCATGGTGGCTTAGCCTGTAATCCCAGCACTTTGGGAGGCCAAGGCAGGCAGATCACCTGAGGTCAGGAGTTCAAGACCAGCCAGGCCAACATGGCAAAACCCCGTCTCTACTAAAAGTACAAAAATTAGGTGGGCTTGGTGGTGCATGCCTGTAATCCCAGCTACTAAGGAGGCTGAGGCAGGAGAATTGCTTGAACCTGGGAGGCAGAGGTTACAGTGAGCCGAGATCGCAGGCACCGGCCCTCCAGCCTGGGGGACAGAGCAAGACTGTTTCAAAAATAGTAATAACAATAATAAATACATATAGGGGCCAGGTGCAGGGGCTCACACCTGTAGTACTAGCACTTTGAGAGGCTGAGGTGGGCGGATCACCTGATGTCAGGAGTTTGAAACGAGCCTGGCCAACATGGTGAAGCGCTGTCTCTACTAAAAATACAAAAATTAGCCAGGCGTCGTGGCATGTGCCTGTAATCCCAGCTACTGAGTAGGCTGAGGCACGAGAATCGCTTGAACCCAGAAGGCGGAGGTTGCCCTGAGCCGAGATCATGCCACTGCACTCCAGCCTGGGTGACAGAGTAAGACTTTGTCTCTAAGTTAAATAAATAAATAAATATCAATCTGTCTGTCTTTCAAGAATAAGGCCAAAATAGTTGTGGAAGATAGGATAATATATGAAGTATCACTTTTGGTACTTGACAACAGTGGCGGGGCAAGGAACCTAAGGCATTGGTACTGCTCTCACTGGGGGAAAGGAGAAAGCAGGTCCAGTGGTTAATTCTGTGTACCTTAAGTATGTGGACATATATAATAAAATGGGAGTATAAAGGTGTCTTAGTACATTTTGTGTTGCTATAAAGGAATACCTGAGACTAGGTAATTGATAAAGAAAATGTTTATTTAGCTCAAGGTTCTGCAGGCTGGGAAAGTTCTGCAAGCCCTGGTTTCTGGGGAGGGCTTTTATAAAGCTGTGCCACAACATGGCCGAGAAGGTCAAAGGGGAAGTGGGTAACTGCAAAGATAGAAAACCCGAGGAGCATCCTGGCTTTATAACAACCCCCTTTCATGGGAACTCATTTCCACAGGAACTGATCCAGTTTTGCCAGAATGAGAACTCACTCACTACCACGTGAAGGGCATCAAGCCATTTATGAGGGATCTGCCCCCATGATCCAGACAACTCCCACTAGGCCCCACCTCCCAAGACCGCCACATTGGAGATCAAATTTCAATATGAGTTTTGATAGGGACAAACAAACCAAATCCAAACCATAGCAGTAGGCAACATAGGAAACCAAAAAACCTGAAAATAAACTATGAGACAGGAAATGAATACAGAAATATATTACATCATATTAAATGGACAAAGACATATTAAAAGCTTTCATTCCCTAGACATTGTATCCTAATAGGTACCTATAGTTGTAAACGTTAGTTAAATTGTCGTGTTAAAAAGAAGATGCAGTATGAAATAAAATTAACACAGAAAGGTTTGCTTCTGGTTATAGGCCATATTTTATGCAAAAAGAAGGAAACCTTTGCTGGATGAAAACAAAAGTAATCGAAGTTTATTTTAAGGAGTATTGGCCGGGCACGGTGGCTCATGCCTGTGATCCCAGCACTTGGGGAAGCTGAGGCGAGCAGATCACTTGAAGTCAGGAGTTCAAGACCAGCCTGGCCAACATGGTAAAACCTTGTCTCTACTAAAAATACAAAAATTAGCCAGCATGGTAGCAGGCACCTGTAATCCCAGCTACTCAGGAGGTCAAGGCAGGAGAATCACTTGGACCCAGGAGGCGGAGGTTGCATTGAGCCGAGATCTTGACACTGCACTTCAGCCTGGGTGACAGAGTGAAACTCCATCTCAAAAAACAAAAAAGAAGTTAAGGAGCATTAACAAGATCTGTACCTATATGTTTCTGTTTACATTATACCCCCCAAAAAAGAAAAACTCAGTTGCAGGTATGAGCAAAGGTATTGTTTGAGTTGTGTATTTTAAATCACTAATTTTTCTTTTCATACAAAATTGGCTTTTGGACTTGTAAAACTTTCACAGATAGTTTTAGAACTGTCCTTCCAACTATGGGAAATTATTATTACCAGTATGACAGCTAGCCACATTCTGTGATGGTATCTCACTTCCTAATGCATAGTGGGAAGTTGGCTTTACTTTTACAAAAAATAACTCACTTGGACTTCCCATTCTACCAGGAGGGTTAGAAACATGCAGCTACTGATTTATTGTCCTCAAAGCCCCTTGGAAGGTATAGCAGAGAACTGGAAATTTAAAAACCATTTTTATATTCATTAGTTTATCCATCCATTCAACAGATATTTGTTGAAAGCCTATTATGTGATATGAAATACGTTGAGATGTTCAGACAGAGATGATTAAGACATGTCCCTGCACTGAGGGAACTCTGTCTTCTGGGTTGTTTTTTTTTTTCTTCATATCTTCCCCAAAATTTCTAACTTTATATAAATTTAGACTTGGTTTCTGTTGAGTCTTTTACTAGTTTGAGACATTTTATTGCAGTATAGTGCAAAGTATTAATGGGCTAAGTATGTTAAATGCTGCTGTATTTGTAAGATCTCTTGCTTTGTCTGTGACCATGAAAGTCTCAGTGAAATGGGATCTTATTCCCTAAATCATAGCTCTGGTTTTAATGTTTCTTGATATTATTGCAGAGACTCTCCAACATGTGCCTTCTGACCATACAAATGAAACTTCCAACAGTACTGTGAAACCACCAACTTCAGTTGCCTCAGACTCCAGTAATACAACGGTCACCACCATGAAACCTACAGCGGCATCTAATACAACAACACCAGGGATGGTCTCAACAAATATGACTTCTACCACCTTAAAGTCTACACCCAAAACAACAAGTGTTTCACAGAACACATCTCAGATATCAACATCCACAATGACCGTAACCCACAATAGTTCAGTGACATCTGCTGCTTCATCAGTAACAAGTATGTATTAAAGCTGACCTTTTTTTTCCTATGCTGCAAGTAGTTAAATGCCACATTTAAGTCATTATTCTGTCTGGCAAAAATAATATAGAAACTTTATATGCCTAGATTTCCCTTAATTCCTAATTAAATGTTCTTAACACAGAAAATCAGAGAGCTTTAATTACAATGTTAAAAAAAAAAAAATAACGCTAAAGCCCTTTTTTGTTTTCTTTTGTTCTAGTCACAACAACTATGCATTCTGAAGCAAAGAAAGGATCAAAATTTGATACTGGGAGCTTTGTTGGTGGTATTGTATTAACGCTGGGAGTTTTATCTATTCTTTACATTGGATGCAAAATGTATTACTCAAGAAGAGGCATTCGGTATCGAACCATGTAAGTTTTGAATGGCCAGGACTTTTTAAAAAAAATTGTTGGTGCACATCTTTAATTATGATAGAATATCAAGCCAGTGCTCATCTCAGGGATGAATAATTGATAGATTTATGAGTTATATTCCCATTAACCCTTTTGGCCCAAAGTAAATTGTTTATGTACAAGCTTGTGATTATAATTATTTGCAAATGAAAATGGATGTATATACTTAAAAAAATGTATTTTACTAGTGTCAAACACACTTTACAGGAGACCAAAGTTAACCTACCCTGAAATTTTCACTTACTCATACCAATAATCGTAAGAAATACCAGTTCCCAGCAGGCTTTTGACTTAGTATGTCTGTGTCTGTTGTGGTACTAAATAGCATCCTTGGTAAAACCATGGCTTTTGTTTTCCACGACAAAGACAAAAAAAATTCCTCTGACAGCCTCATTATCCCTGAAAATTTAAATGAGTGGTTAGTATAAATAATATAATTTATCATTTTACCTGTAGCAAAACTCTCTTTTTAGATGTGCATTATCAACAAGACCTAATCCATGTTTACTCTACATGTAGCTCTATAGGTCTGATGGTTTGAGGATATATCCAAACTTTTGTTGCTCCAATAGTCCTTTTTGTTTTTGTTTTTTTGAGTCTTACGTGTTGTCTTAGTTCATGCTGACACAACAAAGTATCATACAGCTGGGTGCCTTAAACAGCAGACATTTAGTTCTCACACTTCCGGAGGCTTGGAAGTCCAAGATCAGGGTGCCACCATGGTTGAGTTCTAGTAAGGGCCTTCTTCACATGGCAGAAAGAAGGCGAGCTAGTTCTCTGACCTCTAATTGTAAGGGTATTAATTCTGTTCACGAGGGTTCCACCCTCACGACCTAACTACCTTCCCAAGGCCCCACTTCAAAATATCATCACACTGGGATTAGGGTTTCAACATACTCATATTGGGTGACACAAATGTAAGAGCTAATTCACTTTTTTTAGTGTTAATGTATATAAATACCATAGAACAGATGACTGTTTTCCAAAATTTGCCCTGTGGGTTAACATTTGACATACATGTGTCCCACACACACAGTTCCTATATCAAAAAGTGTGGGAAATGTTCAGTTGACTAAAGTAAACTAAGACAGTTTACTATAAGACTTCTCTAAGCCTTTAAAATATTGATATACATTATGATTTTCCAGGATGGAATACAGTATGAACTGTTTCCCAAATTTTTAACCAAAATACTTGTTGAATGAATAAATCCCTCCCCCTGCCCCTCTTCAATGGGAGCTAACACTGTCTATCTCTTGGAACTAGTATTGTGTGGAACACATTTTGGGAAATGTTGGAATAGGCCATTGGAATCTTCCAGTTTTGACACTACATATGATTCAGTACACATAAAAGTAAATCAAACTTCTTGATAGATTTTAAGAACATGGAAGTTTCCCAGATTTTCAGGTTACTGACATAAGCTCTAAATAAACATCGCATCATAAATGAAAATTGGATCTAACAGTTATATTACTAATACTTAAACAAAAATGATAATTTAAGAACAGATTTTTTTTTTTTTTGAGATGGAGTTTCCCTCTTGTTGCCCAGGCTGGAGTGCAATGGCACGATCTCGGCTCACTGCAACCTCTGCCTCCTGGGTTCAAGCTATTCTCCTGCCTCAGCCTCCCCAGTAGCTGGGATTATAGGTGCCTACCACCACGCCCAGCTAATTTTTGTATTTTTGGTAGAGATGGGGTTTCACCATGTTGGCCAGGCTGGTCTCAAACTCCTGACCTTAGGTGATCCTCCCACCTTGGCCTCCCAAAGTGCTGGGATTACAGGCGTGAGCCACCATATCTGGCCTTAAAAACATATTTTTAAAAGTTATATTTAAAGTTACGTTGCATATATTTATCATATCAAACTCACTTTAGCTTCCATGATCACATGAGATCAGACACATTCACAGTGGCATGGCTGTAGGCTCAAACTGATTTTAAAAGAATATTAAGGTGGTGGTTTGTCAGATTAAAGGCATATTCAGAAACATTCTTTTTTAAGGTCAATACATGAAAGAATACATAAAAGAAACCATGACTAAACAGAGTGCTTTGCAGTGGCTCTGTCACCCAGGTTGGAGTGCAGTGGTGCGATCACGGGTCACTGCAACCTCAGCCTCCTGAGCTTAAGTGATCCTCTTACCTCAGCCTGCTGAGTAGCTGGGACTACAAGCATGCAATGCCACACCAGGCTAATTTTTAAATGTTTTATAGAGATGGTAGTCTCACTGTTTTGCCCAGGCTGGTCTCAAACTCCTGGGCTCAAGTGATCCTCCTTTCTGACCTCCTAGAGTTCTGGGATTAT
The DNA here is from genome assembly GCF_000001405.40 of Homo sapiens. Classification (NCBI taxonomy): domain Eukaryota; kingdom Metazoa; phylum Chordata; class Mammalia; order Primates; family Hominidae; genus Homo; species Homo sapiens. The sequence continues at coordinate 102,399,186 of NC_000011.10, read as the reverse complement.
AAGCATGAGCCACTGTGACCAGCTAGAAAGAAATATTTAATAGGGACTTACAAATAGAAGCTATGTCTGTGTCTATGATTGCAGCAAGACAAGATGGTGGATCCCCATGCCATTAACCCCCAGATCTTTAACCACTACAGTATATTGGATACTTAAGGAACTTTACACAGAACACTGACCATTTTGATTGTGCAGCTTGAAATTGTTCTAATCCTACTTTACTAACAAATAGGAACATAAGTAGTTTTGACAGAAAAAACAAAACAAAGTAATTGTAACTTTTAATATATTACAGAGATGAACATGATGCCATCATTTAAGGAAATCCATGGACCAAGGATGGAATACAGATTGATGCTGCCCTATCAATTAATTTTGGTTTATTAATAGTTTAAAACAATATTCTCTTTTTGAAAATAGTATAAACAGGCCATGCATATAATGTACAGTGTATTACGTAAATATGTAAAGATTCTTCAAGGTAACAAGGGTTTGGGTTTTGAAATAAACATCTGGATCCTTATAGACCGTTCATACAATGGTTTTAGCAAGTTCATAGTAAGACAAACAAGTCCTATCTTTTTTTTTTTGGCTGGGGTGGGGGCATTGGTCACATATGACCAGTAATTGAAAGACGTCATCACTGAAAGACAGAATGCCATCTGGGCATACAAATAAGAAGTTTGTCACAGCACTCAGGATTTTGGGTATCTTTTGTAGCTCACATAAAGAACTTCAGTGCTTTTCAGAGCTGGATATATCTTAATTACTAATGCCACACAGAAATTATACAATCAAACTAGATCTGAAGCATAATTTAAGAAAAACATCAACATTTTTTGTGCTTTAAACTGTAGTAGTTGGTCTAGAAACAAAATACTCCAAGAAAAAGAAAATTTTCAAATAAAACCCAAAATAATAGCTTTGCTTAGCCCTGTTAGGGATCCATTGGAGCATTAAGGAGCACATATTTTTATTAACTTCTTTTGAGCTTTCAATGTTGATGTAATTTTTGTTCTCTGTGTAATTTAGGTAAACTGCAGTGTTTAACATAATAATGTTTTAAAGACTTAGTTGTCAGTATTAAATAATCCTGGCATTATAGGGAAAAAACCTCCTAGAAGTTAGATTATTTGCTACTGTGAGAATATTGTCACCACTGGAAGTTACTTTAGTTCATTTAATTTTAATTTTATATTTTGTGAATATTTTAAGAACTGTAGAGCTGCTTTCAATATCTAGAAATTTTTAATTGAGTGTAAACACACCTAACTTTAAGAAAAAGAACCGCTTGTATGATTTTCAAAAGAACATTTAGAATTCTATAGAGTCAAAACTATAGCGTAATGCTGTGTTTATTAAGCCAGGGATTGTGGGACTTCCCCCAGGCAACTAAACCTGCAGGATGAAAATGCTATATTTTCTTTCATGCACTGTCGATATTACTCAGATTTGGGGAAATGACATTTTTATACTAAAACAAACACCAAAATATTTTAGAATAAATTCTTAGAAAGTTTTGAGAGGAATTTTTAGAGAGGACATTTCCTCCTTCCTGATTTGGATATTCCCTCAAATCCCTCCTCTTACTCCATGCTGAAGGAGAAGTACTCTCAGATGCATTATGTTAATGGAGAGAAAAAGCACAGTATTGTAGAGACACCAATATTAGCTAATGTATTTTGGAGTGTTTTCCATTTTACAGTTTATATTCCAGCACTCAAAACTCAGGGTCAAGTTTTAACAAAAGAGGTATGTAGTCACAGTAAATACTAAGATGGCATTTCTATCTCAGAGGGCCAAAGTGAATCACACCAGTTTCTGAAGGTCCTAAAAATAGCTCAGATGTCCTAATGAACATGCACCTACATTTAATAGGAGTACAATAAAACTGTTGTCAGCTTTTGTTTTACAGAGAACGCTAGATATTAAGAATTTTGAAATGGATCATTTCTACTTGCTGTGCATTTTAACCAATAATCTGATGAATATAGAAAAAAATGATCCAAAATATGGATATGATTGGATGTATGTAACACATACATGGAGTATGGAGGAAATTTTCTGAAAAATACATTTAGATTAGTTTAGTTTGAAGGAGAGGTGGGCTGATGGCTGAGTTGTATGTTACTAACTTGGCCCTGACTGGTTGTGCAACCATTGCTTCATTTCTTTGCAAAATGTAGTTAAGATATACTTTATTCTAATGAAGGCCTTTTAAATTTGTCCACTGCATTCTTGGTATTTCACTACTTCAAGTCAGTCAGAACTTCGTAGACCGACCTGAAGTTTCTTTTTGAATACTTGTTTCTTTAGCACTTTGAAGATAGAAAAACCACTTTTTAAGTACTAAGTCATCATTTGCCTTGAAAGTTTCCTCTGCATTGGGTTTGAAGTAGTTTAGTTATGTCTTTTTCTCTGTATGTAAGTAGTATAATTTGTTACTTTCAAATACCCGTACTTTGAATGTAGGTTTTTTTGTTGTTGTTATCTATAAAAATTGAGGGAAATGGTTATGCAAAAAAATATTTTGCTTTGGACCATATTTCTTAAGCATAAAAAAAATGCTCAGTTTTGCTTGCATTCCTTGAGAATGTATTTATCTGAAGATCAAAACAAACAATCCAGATGTATAAGTACTAGGCAGAAGCCAATTTTAAAATTTCCTTGAATAATCCATGAAAGGAATAATTCAAATACAGATAAACAGAGTTGGCAGTATATTATAGTGATAATTTTGTATTTTCACAAAAAAAAAGTTAAACTCTTCTTTTCTTTTTATTATAATGACCAGCTTTTGGTATTTCATTGTTACCAAGTTCTATTTTTAGAATAAAATTGTTCTCCTTCTAAAAGTTTTAAGTGTGTGATTTTGCTTCATTTCATTAAACTCAAGATAAATAGAAAACACTCAAAAGGGCAGATTGCAAGTGGGGTTGTCTGGGTAAGGAGCAGCAGCACCACCTGGGAACGTGTTAGAAAATGCAAATTCTTTGGCCCCAACCATGTTGAGTTGGAAATTCTGGGGTAGAGCTCAGCGATCTGATTGTGTTTTTAGAGACAGGGTCTTGCTCTGTCACCGAGGCTGGAGTGCAGTGGCACAATCATAGCTCACTATAACTAACTTTGAACCCCTTGGCTCAGTTCAAGCTATCCTCCAGCCTCAGCCTCCTAAGTAGCTAGGACTACAGGCATGCACCACCACACCCAGCTATTTTTAAAACATTTTTGTAGAGACGGGGTCTTGCCATGTTGCCCAGGCTAGTCTCAAACTTACAGCGTCAAGCAATCCTCCTGCCTTGGCCTCCCAGAGTGCTGGGATTACAGGACTCACCCACTGCACCTGGCCAGCAATCTATTTTAATGACTCTACCATGTGATTCTGATGTGCACCAAAATTTGAGAACCACTACTCAAAGGATTTTTATTTGCAGCTGCTGCTTTATTCGGCTGGACAGAATTTTAAAATTTGGTATACTAATGGTAGAAAATCTACCATTCTCTAGATAAATCAGTTACACATCCATTAGTGTATAGTATGGTATTTTCAACAGGCTTTTTCTTCTTTAAAAGTAGATATAATTTAGGCTGGGTGCAGTGGCTCACACCTGTAATCTCAGCACTTTGGGAGGCTGAGGCAGGCGGATCACCTGAGGTCAGGAGTTCGAGACCAGCCTGGCCAACATGCGAAACCCCATCTCTACCAAAAATACAAAAATTAGCCAGCTGTGGTGGCGTGTGCTTGTAATCCCAGCTACTGGGGAGGCTAAGGAAGGAGAATCGCTTGAACCCGGGAGGTGGAGGTTGTAGTGAGCCGAGATCACACCACTGCCCTCCAGCCTGGGTGACAGCAAGACTACGCCTCAAAAAAAAAAAAAAAAAAAACAACTAGATATAATTTATATCTGAGAATGGATTTAAATATTTGTTATAAGACAACCAAGGTAAAATGATGCTGTCTTAAGAAAAAAAAATTTTTTTCTTTGAGTTTTGCTCTTGTCACCCAGGCTGGAGTGCAATGGCATGACCTTGGCTCACTGCAACCTCCACCTTCCAGGTTCAAGCGATTCTCCTGCTCCAGCCTCCCTAGTAGCTGGGATTACAGGTGTCTGCCACCACGCCCAGCTAATTATTGTACTTTTAGTAGAAATGGGGTTTCACCATGTTGGCCAAGCTGGTCTCGCACTCCTGACCTCAGGTGATCCATCCACCTCAGCCTCCCAAAGTGCTGGGGTTACAGGTGTGAGCCACTGCACCCAGCCAAAAAAAAATTTTAAGTACCCTCCTATAGTCAAGCTCTGATGTCAGATTGCTTGGGGTTAAGTGCTTCCTCTACTACATACTAGCTGTATGACCTTGAGTAAGTTACTCCTCTTATCCTCCATGTCATCTGTAAAATGGGGATGGTAACAGTACTTACTGCACAGGGTTATTGCATGAGGATTATATAAGATACTTCATGTAAATTATTTAGGATACTGTCTTGCACAAGTGCTTTTAAAAAGTCTTATTAATCCCGACAAAGCCAATTTTCTGATACCCAAGGGGGAAAAAAAAAGTACCCTCTTTGGATATTTCTGCCTCCCTCCTCACTTTGCTATGGCTTCACAATGGCCACAGTTTACCCCCCCAACAACTTTAGGTGTGGGTATGTGTCTTGCTTTTAGTCCATAGGTATGAGAGTGGATGTAATAAACATGATGTCTGTTCTGGGGGTAAAAAGGCCCTCCTAACTTTCAGCTAATCACTTTTTTAAAATTACATTATACCCACCAAAAAATGCACAAATCAGAAGTATATGGAAATTTTGGCAAGTGATGTCACCAAAATGGTGGAGGAGATAACAGCCTTCATGCCCCGTCAAAAGAAACAAATACACACTGCTATCCACAAACCAAAATAGCCCTGGAGGGCTCAAGGGCAATTGTCTTAATATATGTATATATGTTTGTATGAATTAATGAATGGCAGGATCTCTCACTGTGTCGCCTATGCTGGAGTGCAGTGGTGTGATCATAGCACACTGCAGCCTCAAACTCCTGGGCTGAAGTGATCCTCCCACCTCAGACTCCCCAAATAGCTGGGACTCAGGTGCCACCATGCTTGACTAAGTTTTTGGTTGTTTTTTATTTTTGTTTCTGAGTAGAAACAGGGCCTCACTATGTTGCCTATGCTGGTCTCAAACTCTTGAGCTCAAGCGATCCTACTGCCTCAGCCTCCCAAACTGCTAGAATTACAGGCATGAGCTACTGCACCCAGCCTCAAGGGCCCATTAAAAAATGTGCAACAACCTAGTGGAGAATTAAAAGAAAAAATGCACATAAAAAATTGCTTATGAGATCAGAATTCCTGAGACACCAGAAGATGGCTAAGAAGAAAGGCAGGCACTATCGATATCAGTCATGTGGCCTGCTCTGCAGAGGATACCACCTTCTTTTGCCACAAAGGTAACCAACAGCCATGGCCATAGCAAGCTAGTTTGCACTCCAGAGCCAAGATCTCTCTGCATGTCCACACTCCAAACACCAGCTCAGCTGCCATTGAGAGCCCATGCTCCAGGCCCTGACTCCAAGGCTGGGCTGTGCACACCTATACCGCAAACAGTAAAGCCACTGCCATAGTAAGGGAGTTTACACCCTGGGCCCCAGAGCCAAGGTTTCTCTATGTGTTTACACCCTGGAGACCAGCTCAGTCATCACAGAGGGCCAGGCCTTGCCTCCACACTAAAGCCGCTGTAGCTGTGTGCACACTTGTGCTCTTGTCCCTGCCTGTTTCACAAGCTCCCATACTTCACCAGCAGGGTGTCTGTGCCCTGGGCACCAGTGCCATTACCACCCCAGAGCTATAGTCCCTTTACACATGCTGCTCTGTGGGCATCACTCATCAGACACCAGTTCCATTGCCACCTCAAGTGGGCTTGCATGCCAGACCCAGTGTCAAGAAGGATCCCTTTAGCCACAACTTCCCTGGTCGGGGAAAGAGAGATCAAGAGGACCCTACAGTCATCATCACCAAGCACCCCAACAGCCCTTACCACTGCTGCAAACACTGACAGTGTTGGTTGCTGAGGATCCCTGCAGTTTTCAACAGTGATCTCAGCTGAAAGAGCTACAAGGAGACTACACTGTTGCATCCTCACAGCTGCCAGAATCACTGCACCTCACCCAGCCAGTGCCCTCACATCCCCCTCTCACAGGGGAAGTCTTTCCTTAACAAAACCAGTCTTAAAAGTCTGGAAGAGGTGACTGCTGCACCAAATGCTCAAACATCAACGTAAGGTAAAAAGAAACATGAAAAGCCAAGAAAACATCAATATCAAAAGAACACAATAATTTCCCAGTAGCTAATGCCAGAGAAATGGAGAGCAACAAACTACATAACAAAGAATTCAAAGTAATCATTTTAAGGAAGCTCAGCAAACCAAGGAAATACAGAGGAACAATTCAATGAAATCAGGAAAACAAAATGAGAAATTTAATAGATTGAAATAAAAAAAGTTCCATAGCTGCAGAGTACAACAAATGAAAAATGCAATAAAGATACCAGGTTCAACATGGCTGACTAGATGCAGCTAGGATGTGCCTCTTCCACAAAGAGGAACCAAAATATTGAGTAAATCACATGAACAGATCTTTTAAGAGAGAACAGGCTGGGTGCAGTGGCTCACACCTGTAATCCCAACACTTTGGGAGGCCGAGGCAGGCGGATCACCTGAGGTCAGGAGTTCGAGACCAGCCTGACCAACATGGAGAAACCCTGTCTCTACTAAAAATACCAAACTTAGCCAGGCGTGGTGGCACATGCCTGCAATCCCAGCTACTTGGGAGGCTGAGGCAGGAGAATCACTTGAACCCGCAAGGCGGAGGTTGCGGTGAGCCGAGATCGCACCATTGCACTCCAGCCTGGGCAATAAGAGTGAAACTCCGTCTCAAAAAAAAAAAAAGAGAACACTGAAATTCAATAGAAGATGGGAGACACTGGTTAAAGAGGGAAGTAATAGGACTGCGTGCTTGGCATCACCAAGTGCCAGGACTGGCCCCAGACCAGGACCCAAGGAAAGGGTGAGTGAAGGAACTGTGGGGTACCACATTCCTGCCACAGGCCTCTGAGATCTTAGCTACAGAAGAGTTCCATGACCTCACAGACCTTTAGACTGGCAGAGGGAGCTAGGGAACTACGTGGAGACCACACACACACAGGTCACTTGAACTCATATAGAACCCCAAAGGCTTCTATGTGCTGGACAACTTAAGCAAAGCGTGACTCTGGGCACCAACCCCCAAGACTCTATGTCATGCCATAAGCTGCTGCAGCTGCTGCTGTCTGCCAGGCCAGGGAATGAGCACGGCCCAGGCACTCTCACTCTTATATGCCACAAAGACAGGCTACATCTGAGCATGCCCCATGCCTGCTCATCCCTCCCAAGACTGCCTGCCTGGCCATTCCCATGGCTTGTTGGGGAGGGAGGAGACAGGGGGAACCTGACCCCACAGTGTAGCCACCATTGCCCCATCTGAGTGTTTTGTTGGCAGCCTGGGGGCAATTTGCTCCTCCCTATCACAGCTGTTACTTGAGCCCAAGGGGCCAGTGGACAAGTCTGCTGACTTGGTACTTGTTCCCCAGGACTCAAGCACACCATCCAGGAGCATGGAGATTTATGATCTGATCTCAAGCAGGGTAGGAGCCCCCACTGTCAGAACCACAAAGAGCATGGTGTGGGTTCACGCAGTGGCAGGGAAGCATGGTGGCCCGCCCTCCATAAGACTAAAACAGAAAGGGTACGGCCTAATAACAATGGTTTCTGCCCCCAAGGAGTCACATGGCCTGTGGCTAGGCAATTTGAATGCAGTTGGCTTGGGACTAGCATAACCATTCTGTTCTGCTGCTGACAGCTAGATACTGGAGACCTACCAGCTCAGGGGTGTGGGAGCTGGGTGGGTCCCACTGCAATGTGGTACAGTGAAAACCCTGGGCTGTCCCAATTCCCCTGAATGGGCTCTGTAGCACAGGAGAGGCACCTCCCGGCCTCTCTGGAAGATTGCCCCAGTGGCCTGGAAGCTGACCCTAGACCCTTGCCAGCCACCTTGGCAGCAGAGCCGGGATGGGGACCACTGGGAACCCCATGGGCCCACTCATTGCCCAAGAATTCTGATACCTCTCCTGATTAACAAAGGCGAAGTAAAAATTTTACACCATCTCAACTACCGGGCGCCTGCAAGTGCCAGCTACTGGCTGGGAGGTCAACCTCCAGGGCCCATCACTTCTACTGACACCACTGGACAGTGCTTGGCCGCCTCTTTCCTGCAAGCTCCACCTACTGGCCCGTAGAGTGAACTGCACAACCCAATGTAATTCCTGCTGACTGAAGCACACAGCTCTGGAGAACGAGATAAGCCTCCCAACACCTCCACCTTCCCATCTCTGTAGGATAAAGTGAACCCGCTCACACACACAGTACACCATTACTACAACCTAAAAAACAACCAGCATTTGAGAAAACCACTACATTAAGGCTATTATTAATACAGAGCTTTGGCCCCCTAGAAACAAAGAGAAGCAGAATATGCACTTACCTTGCAATGCCCTACTTCAGAAATGAAGGAGAGATAAAGACTCTCAGACAAAAGCTGTGGGGGTTCATCTCCGCTAAACCTGCCTTATAAGAAATGTTAAGGGAATTCTTCCAGCTGAAAGAAAAGGATGCTAATTATTAACAGGAAAACATGAATATGAAATTCACTGGTTAAAAAGTAAGTACACAGTCAACTCCAGAATACTCTAATACCATAATGGTGGTTTGCAAATCAACTTATATCATTAGTATGAATGCTAAAAGACACAACTTTAGGCCAGGCATGGTGGCTCACGCCTGTAATCCCAGCACTCTGGGAGGCCAAGGCAGGCAGATCACCTGAGGTCAGGAGTTCGAGACCAGCCTGGTCAACATCGCGAAACCCCATCTCTACTAAAAATACAAAAACTAGCCGGGTGTGGTGGCGGGCACCCGTAATCCCAGCTACTCAGGAGGCTGAGTCAGGGAGAATCGCTTGAACCCGGGAGGCGGAGGCTGCAGTGAGCTGAGATTGCGCCACTGAACTCCAGCCTGGGCGACAGAGCGAGACTCCGTCTCAAAAAAAAAAAAAAAAAAAAAAAGGCACAACTTTAAAAAATAATAATAGCTATAATAATTTGTTAATGGATATATGATATAAAAATATAAATTGTGACATCAAAAACAAAATGGGGAGCATGGAGTAAAAGTATACAGTTTTTTTTAATGCAATGAAAATTATTAGTCTGAAATATCCTGTTATAAGATGTTTTATATAAGCCTCATGGTAACCACAAACTAAAAGCCAAGAGTAGATGCACAAAAAGTAAACAGTAAGGAATGAAAGCTTGCCACTAGAGAAAATCATCTAATCACAAAGGAAGACAGCAAGAGAGGAAGAAACAGAGGGTCTGCCAAACAACTAGAAAACAATGAACAAAATTGCAGTAGTGAGTCCTTATTTATCAATAATAATCTTGAATGTAAATGGGTTAAATTCTCTGATATGGTTTGTGTATTTGTTCCCTCCAAATGTCATGTTGAAATGTGACCTCCGTTATTGAAGGTAGAGCCTGACGGGAGGTGTCTGAGTCACAGAGGTGGATTCCTCATGGATGGCTTAGCATTATCCCCTTGGCGACAAGTGAGTTCGTGTTCTGAGTTCATGAGAGATCTGGTTATTTAAAAGAGTGTGGGACTTCCCCCCTCTCTTGCTTCCTCTCACCATGTGACATTTGACTTCACCTTCTGCCATGAGTAAAAGCTCCATGAGGCCCTCACCAGAAGCTGAGTAGATGCCAGCACCATGCTTCCTGTACAGCCTGCAGAACTGTGAGCCAATTAAATCTCTTTCCTGTATAAATTACTCAGTCTTAGGTATTCCTTCATAGCAACACAAAATAGATGCACACATTCTCACATGAAAAGACAGAGCAGCTGAATGGGTAAAGGAAAACAAGACCCAACTAAATGCTGCCTACAAGGACACACATGGTTTGAAAGAGAAGGGATGGAAAAAAGATATTCCATGAAAACAGAAACCAAGAGTGCAGAAGACACTATAGTTTTATCAAATAGAATAGACTTTAATTCAAAAACTGCAAAAAGAGACAAGGTAAGTAAATGACAAAGGGGTGAATTTGCAAGAGGATGTAACAATTGTAAATATATATGCTCCCAATGTCAGACCTCCTAAATACAGTCGTACCTCAGTATCTTGAAGGACGGGTTCCAGGCCCCTGGCAGATACCAGAAGACATACATATTCAAGTCCCATAATTGGCCCTGCAGAACTCTGCAGATACAGATTTTACATCCCACGAATACCATATTCTTTATATAGGTTTGGTTGCAGATGTGAAACCTGCTGATACAGGGGGCGAATTGTATTTACTGCAAAAATCTGTATATAAGCAGACCCACGCAGTTCGAACCCGTATCGTTCAAGGGTCAAACTGTATGTAAAGAAAGAAAAAACGCGTTCCTTTCTGATCTGAAGGAAGAAATAGCAACACAGCTGAAGAGGACGTTAATACCCCACTTTCAACAATGGACTTACCATCCAGACAGAGTATCAGTAAGGATATATTAAACTTGAACTACGTACATCAAACCAAATGGCGCTAAAAGACATATACAGAACATTCCAACTAACAGCAGCAGGATACAAATTCTTCTCAAGCACACACAGAACATACTGCAGGAGAGATCATATATTTGACCACAAAACAAGTCTTTATAAATTTAAAAGACTGAAATAACATCAAGTACCTTTCAAACCACAATGTTATATAAATAGAAACCTAAAAGGAATTCTAGAAAATTCAGAAAGATATGGAAATTAAACAGATGCACCTGAATAGCCAATGGGTCAAAGAATTAAAGGGGATATTTAAAAATGTCTTGAGACAAACAAAAGTGGAAACCCAACATACCAAAACTTACAGTATGCAGCAAAAGCAGATCCAAAAGGAAAGTTTACAGCAATAAATGCCTACGTCGAAAAAAGAAGAAAAATCTGATATAAACAACCTAACCTATCACCTCAATCAACAGAGTAATGAGACAACTTACAGAATGGGAAATAATATATGTAAACCATACATGTGATGAGGGGTTAATATTAAAAAATATATAAGTATCTGAAGCAATAGTAAGAAAACAACCCTATTAAAAATACAGGCAAAGGATCTGAATAGCCATTTTTCAAAAGAGGACATACAAACGGTCAACAGATACATGAAAATATGCAAATCACGAATCATCAGGGAAATGCAAATTAAAATCATGATATCTCACAACTGTTAAAATTGGCTATCATCAGCTGGGTGTGGCGGCTCATGCCTGTAATCCTAGCACTTTGGGAGGCCGAGGTGAGTGGATTGTCTGAGTTCAGGAGTTCAAGACCAGCCTGGGCAACATGGCAAAACCCTGTCGCTACTAAAAAAATACAAAAAAATTAGCTGGGTGTGGTGGTGCACACCTGTAATCCCAGCTACTTGGGAGGCTGAGGCACGAGAATCGCTTGAACCTGGGAGGTGGAGGTTGCAGTTGACCGACATCATGCCACTGCACACCAGCTTGGGTGACAGAGCAAGACTCTATCTCATTAAAAAAAAAAAAAAAAAAAAAAGGTTATCATCAAACAGACGAAAGATATCAAGTGTTGGTGCATACGCAGGCAAAAGGGAACCCTTGTATGCTGTTGGTGAGAATGTAAATTAGTATAGGCATTATGGGAAACTTGTGGTGGTTAAAACAACTCCATATTGGATGCTAATCCACCATGTTGACTTCTGATTAACCCCAGTTCCGGGAATGCCTCTAAGGTTTCCACTTTCACTTACTTTCTGTAAATCCTGTCCTTAGGTCAAAACAGTCTTGATGCTCTCATAAACACATACTTACCATAAATCTTGCCCTTAGGCAAATTCCTTATGATAGAAAAGCCCTGGGTCTAGGGGCTAACAGTACAGGGATCCACCATCTTACAGTCACTGGAGACATGGCTTCTATTTGTAAGTTCCTATTTTCTTTCTGAGAAACTGGATTTGTCAGCCTCTTTCTTTGGCCTCACAGCTCCTCAGCTTTACCTACTCACTATGGAACAAAACTATAGTATGGAGATTCCTCAAAAAATTAAAAATAGAACTACCATATTATCCAGCAGTCCCACTTATGGGTATTTACCTAAAAGATCTGAAATCAGCATGTTGAAGAGATATCTCTACTCCCATGTTCATGAATATATAAAGAAAATGTGGTATACATACACTATGTAAAACTATTTAGCCTTAGAAAAGAATGAAACCCTGTCATTTGTGATAACATGGATGAACCTGGAGGGCATTATGTTAAGTGAAATAAGCCAGGCACAGAAAGACAAATACTGCATGATCTCACTTATGATATGGGAATCTAAAAAAGTTGAACTCATAGAAGCAGAGACTATAATGGTGGTTACCAGAGGCTCTGGGGACTGGGAGTTCATCAAAGGATATAAAGTTTCAGTTAGACAGGAAGATTACATTCAAGAGATCTACTGAATATCATGCTGACTATAGTTAACAACAATATGATGTAGACTTGAAAACTGTTGAGAGTAGATTTTAAGTATTCTGACCACAAAAGAAAATGAGGTAATGCGTATGTTAATTTTCTTCATTTAGCCATTCCACAGGGTATACATATGTCAAAACATATTATACAATATGTAATAAAGTTTTGTCAACTTTAAAAGTTTTTTTTTTTAAAGTACATAGCACAATGAATCATCACAAAGTGAACAAACCTATCTAACTCCCGCTTAGGTCAAAGACTAGAACATTACCAGCACTCCAGAAGTGCCCCTGGTATTCCCAACCATTCTTCCCTAGTTGTTAGATAACAACTGACTTTTAACACCATAGATTAGTATTGCCTGATTTAGAACTTTATAAAGCAGAATCAAGCTTCTTTTGCATATGGGTTCATTGCATTTAATTTCATAGGAAAACTAAATTTCTGTTCTATGCAAGGAATCAATATATGGTATATACAATCTACATTTTCATTAAATGTTTATAGCCAAAACCAGTTTTCATTATATCCTCTGAAAATGCTTCAAATAAATGTTTATTTTTGATCCTTGCAAATGTTGTGTATGAGAGTGCAGAGAAACCAACAACTTCTGAAGAAATAATGCATACTAAAATGAAACATTTGATAAATACAAACATTTTATGCCTACTCTGCTATTGTGTGATCATACAGATTAGTGGGCTTGTAGTAGAGGTTAGAACCCAATTTAACAGACATCTCCGGATATAAGCAGCTGACAACCTCACAAAAAAGAGGAAGACAAGTTGGAAATCTAAGATTAAGACCTGGAAGATTTCTATTGTGAACATAAAGAACTCAGCTTCCTTCTCTTTTCCTGCAGCTATACCCATCCATCTGATACGGAAGGGGGCCAGGGAAGTGCTGGAAAGGGAAGGGCTTGGTCCCTTCAAATGATATGGAAGTGGGGAAGGGAAGTGCTGGGTAGAAGAGGGCGCAGTCCCTGGCTAGGGTTCCAACCCCACGGACCTAGGTGAGGACAGGCATTTTTGTTTTCCTCCCCAAATGTTGCATTTCCCAAGACCACCCTGGCCTGCCACAGCCCCATCCTGTGCCTATAAAAACCCTGAGACCCTAGCAGGCATGGAACAGGAATTAAAAGAAATGAAGGAATGTGTAAGCAGAAACTCAGTTGTATGTAAGAAAACCCAGTTCCCCCTGAGAAAGACAAAGAGAAAGAGCTGGAGTCCTTTAAAAATTAACTGCCTGTTTTTCTGTGGCTAGTGAGCCTTATCTCTCCTCCTTTCCCAGGCATTGTGAAGACCCTGTTTCTCTGGCTGTGCAGCTGCAAGGTCAATAGACAGATAAACTCAAGTCATAAAACATGTTTTTCCTTGAAAAGTAATAAATGATGTAATGCATGTCTCAATTAATTAAATAACTGTCTTTGTTTCTCGCTTCTGTAATATGCTTCCCCCTGAAGAGATCTCCCCCCACCCCAAGAAATGCTTAAAAGGTAACTTAACTCTTTGTTCAGGGCTCAGTCCTTTGGATGTTAATCCGACTAGGCCAATGCATCTAAATAATGAATATCCTCCTCAACCCCATCGGTCTCTCTGATTCCTTATCAATCCCGCCACAGGCAGACAAACAGGCAGCTGGATGTCGAGAGGGGGCACATGAGCAGAGGAACACACAAGCAGCTGGACGTCAAGAGGACATTGAGGGGAGCACGCCAGCACACCAGCAGGCCATCAACCAGCGGAATGAGGTGGAGAGTTTGGCTGGGGCAGTTGAAGGAGAGCCCGGACCGCCGAGCGGCCAGACTCCAGGGGAAAACCATCTCCCTTCTGGCTCCCTCATCTGCTGAGAGTTACTTCCACTCAAAAGCTTACACTCATTCTCCAAGCCCATGTGTGATTCAGTTCTTCTGGTACACCAAGGCAAGAACCCTGGGATACAGAAAGCCCTCTGTCCTTGAGATAAGGCAGGGGTCTGAGCTAACACGAGCCACCTACGGACAGCTAAACTAAAAGAGCACCCTGTAACACATGACCACTGGGGCTTCAGCTGTAAAAATTCACCCCTAGACCCTGCCATAGGGTCAGAGCCCTACAGCCTGCCCATTGGTATGCTCCCCTAGAGGTTTGAGCAGCGGGGCACTGAAGAAGCGAGTCACCCTCATCGCATGCTCTGCAAGGGGGACAAGGGAACTTTTCCTGTTTCACATCCTAACCCTCTTCCTTCTCATCTCAGGAAAAGATGGCCTTTCTGTGCAAAAATATCTAGATTTATCACCTCCCAGCTACTCAAAGACTTTTCCCCTTTCTATTAAAACATTAATCATAATCACTTTAAAAAAAATTTTTTAAGAACCAGGTAAAGTGCCACCTCTTTTACACAGAACTTTTACCACGCTTCAAACCTGTTCGTTTTCTATTTTTCTTCTATTCCTTGTTCTCTGCTGCTAGTGCTGCTGCTTCAAAAAGTTGAGAGGAAGGCATGTATCAAAAGGTCTCTCAGGACATGTTGTTCTATCCTGTTTCTCTGCTGTGGGATCAGGAATGGAATTTCCAGGAACCTCCAGTTCTCTGCACCCAAGGGTATATAAAAGGAAAAAAATCAGCTGATAAGGAACACTTCCTAACTCATTCTATGAGACCAGTATTACCCTGATACCAAATCTAGACAAACATACCACAAAAAACTAGAAACCAATATCCGTTACAAATACAGATGCAAAAATCTTCAACAAAATACTAATGGTGCTTTATGAATGTGGCTTCAAGCCTAAACAACTTGCCTTCCCAAACCCCTTTTATATGGAAATCCAATTCTGCCACTACATTGTTCTTTGTGAATAATACCTAAAATCATATAACTCCTCTGCTTAAAAACCTACAGCTCTTCTTTACCTAAAGAAAGAAGTCTAGATAGCAAAACCCATAATTTGTAGTCCTCTTAAGCGTGGTCCCCATCCTATCTTCCCAACCTTGTTTCCCATTATTCACCTTCATCGACCCTACAACTACTTTTTGCAAAAATGATTCAGGCATTTTTGTCTTTCTTCGTTTTTCCCTCTTCCTGGAAAATACTTCCCTATAACTCCATTCTCCAACTTTGCATATTTTAACCCTATTTAATCAATACCCAATTGAGATGCTATTTCATCTGAAATTCTTTTAAAAAAAGTCCCCATAGCACTTTATCTGAACCTCTCTTATGGTACTTATTTCCTACTTTGGATTAAAATATCTCCAAGCCTCAGTAAAACAAGAGTAGTATGTTTTAATTCATAGGACAACTCCCTGTTCTCTGACAATGCTTGCTCTTTTGCACCTCTGTGCCTTTACTTTGCCAAACCTATCACTAATCTCTAGACCTGATCCTGTTTTTTCACCTGTGTGTGTAAAAGATTTTCCAATATCCTGAATTGTGCTATACTACGAACTACTCTAACAACCAAAATAGCCTCAAAAATGGATACTTTAAGTAATGAATTCTGTCTGAAACAGAGGTTGTACATGTACTTGTCAGAAATACTATAAGGAGATTTTATATTATCAAATAGGACAGAGAAAATATCTTAGTGTCCATGTAGCTTTGAAGCTGAAATTATGACTTCTATATTTACAGAAAAATAATTCGGTATTTGCTTGCTGTCATGGAAAAATAAAGATATTCAAGACCTACTACTGAGTGAAAAAGCAACCTTAAGAACATTTCTATAACCATATGTATGTAGGCATGTGTGTATATACACACCCCCACACAGTGAATACATACCAAATTTAACAGTGATTACTACCAGGGAGGGGACTGAAAGTACTAGTGGGGAGAAATTAAAGGGGATTCAAACATTTTACCTTATATACTGATTGTTTGAAACTTTTACAACAAATATCTATTCTAAAGTATTTACCTGCCTTAAAACAAAACAAAACAAAAAAAAAAAAACTGATTGGAACACAATGCTATGACTCAGTCTATCCAGGTCTGATATGAAACAGGATGCTTGCTACTTGGGAATCAGACCTATGACACCGTCTTTAGCAGAGCCCACTAATGAAGAACACAGAAGTCATGTGCAGCTCTACATTAGACCCTACTACAGCCCTGTGAGGAATAAGCAGGACAGAAATTCACCCTCACAGAAAAGCTGAGGACCAGAAACAGTTGTAAAGGGCTTGCCGAAGACCTCATTAAACGGCAGAATTAGACTTAGAGGCAAAGTCTTTGGATTTGAAATTCAGGGCTCTTTACCTATTACCTTTCATTATCAGAGCTGCTAAGGCTTAAAAGCTCCAAGGACTCGATGGTTAAAGCCTATCTGGACACCATACCAGAAAGATAACAGGACCTAACACAATAATCAATTATTACCATAGTCTTTCCATTTCTACTAAGCTATCTAAATCTTCTTCCCCTGAATAATCACGCATATCCCAATGGACCAAGTAGGCAAAAGAATCTATTATGGACTTGTGGGGCTCAATAAATAACATCCCTTTTAGGCAAGTTTAGAACCAATAAAAGGAGTCATCACGTGACAATGAAAACATCATGTTTATCATTGATAAAAGATCTGAAGGATGATGCTTTCGTGTAGATTTCCTAATATGAATGCTAGAAGGAAACAAACTTTACCAGTCACTGGCCCCTGTGACGCCAACATCACAGAAGGACAGAGTATGCTCTCTTCAGACAAGCTGCCTCCCAAAGAGAAAGAAGAAAGAAGGGATTGAGCTACTGGGCATATCCATGCTTCTCTCCCAAAAGCACCAAGACGATAAGCGCAAGGGAAAAAAGAGTTCCTTCTATGTTGAAGAAAACCTAACAGATAAGACTAAGTATTCTCCCTTAATACAATGCTTCTTAGATTCATTTTTTGTTTTTTTAATCAGTCTAATGGTTTTACCACACACCAGTGGTTCTTAAATGCTGGTCCACTGACCACCATTGTGTCTGCACCAATCACTGCAAATGTCAGCACAGTGAAAATAGCAAATAGCATCTTACTTCTGTTTTGTTGTTGCCTCCCACGTTCAAACAATTCTCCTGCTTCAGCCTCCGGAGTAGCTGGGATTACAGGCGCCCGCCACCACGCCCAGCTAATTTTTGTATTTTTAGTAGAGATGGGGTTTCACCACATTGGCCAGGCTGGTCTTGAACTCCTGACCTCAAGTGATCAGCCTGCCTCGACCTCTCGAAGTGTTGGGATTACAGGCGTGAGCCACTGTGTCCCGCCAGCATCTCAGTTCTACTTTTAATTTTTTCAGAGCACCTAAAAGGGTTGAAAGAACTGCTACTATCTACTGATAGGTTTCTTTTACATATAGTAGGGGATACTCATTGAAATGTTACACCTCTAGAAAAAATTTAGGTGTGTCTTTAAAGCTGACCATTCGTTGTCCTTTGACTTATGGAATGGCAGTCAACAAGCAATGAGTCTCTTAGGTTGCTAGTGTTGAGAAGAGCAAACTATTCAGCTCTGGTACTTGAGCTCTTTTAAGAAAAGATGTGGGAAACAAAGGAGAAGCCTAACTAATAATCATACAATTCCTCCCATTTAGGTTAAGACAGGGAAGAAAGAGATCCAAACACAAGTTAAGAATGTAGTAAACTAAAGTATGGGCTGGATGTGGTGGCTCACACCTGTAATCCCAGCACTTTGGGAGGCAGAGGTGGGTGGATCACCTGAGGTCAGGGGTTTGAGACCAGTCTGGCCAACATGGTGAAACCCCGTCTCTACTAAAAATATTAGCCAGGCGTGGTGACGGGTGCCTGTAATCCCAGCTACTCAGGAGGCTGAGGCAGGAGAATCACTTGTACCCAGGAGGCGGAGGTTGCAGTGAGGTGAGATTGTATCATTGCACTCCAGCCTGGGCAACAAGAATGAGACTCCATCTCAAAAACAAACAAACAAAAACTGAAGTATGGTTTAGCAAGAGATTTAAAAAAAAAAATGTAAATGTTCTGGAGCCACTTCCACCTGGACTGTATACAATTCACACTCTACCACTTGTTATCTCTAGCAAATTACATGGTTTCACTGGGCCTCAATTTCCACATTTGTATTATAAAAAAGAGATAACATGTTTCCTACAGTTTTAAGGATTATGGAAGGCAATAAAAAACCTAACAAAGCATCTGACATTCATCTGTCTGCTCAACATAATGAGCACCTGCTAGGACACTGATTATCATCATTAAGAGGGCAAAAAAGATAAGAGACTAAAACCCTAATCTCAAATCCAGGTCCATTTGAGAAGTTTGCAAGCAGATAAAGTATAAATTACACTATGTTTAGTTATATTTTTTGCATTATTTTTACTGAATGTGAAAAACACAGACGTCTTTAAACTGACTAGCTGAATAAAGCCAAATAAGGTAACTCTTTTATAAATAGATAAAAATCATAAGTTGCTACAGTTATACTAGATGGCAGCCCATGTTAACTTTTAAAAATGTAAGTATAGCTTATTAGGACAGTTTGTTAAAAAAGCACAAGCTAAGGAGCCAGGCAGATCTGTGTTCAAATCTTACTTTGCAAAATTGCTGAAAGGATCAGAGCCGATGTGCTTTAAAGTATCTATTAACGGCAGTTTGTATTACTTGGCTAAGGCTGCCACAACAAAGTACCAATGACTGGGTGGCTTAAACAACAGAAATTTATTTTCTTACAGTTCTGGAAGCTAGAAGTCCAAGATCAAGGTGTTGGCAGGTTTGGATTCTTCTGAGGCCTCTTCCTCGGGTGTCTTCACATAGTCACTCCTCTGTGCATCTGTATCCTAATCCCCTTTTCTTAGAGAACACCAATCATGTTGATTAGCAGTCAACTATATCATCTCATTTTACCTTATTTGCCTCTTTTAACAACCCTATTTCCAAATACAGGTACATTCTGAGGTACTGGCAATTAGGACTTCAACATACAAATTTGCGGGGAACACAACTGAACCTACAGCACATCTCAATTGTTTAACGCATTTAGCACTGTATCTGGCAAATGGGATCCTTGATAGAGTAGCTATTATAAGCAAAATAAGAAAAAAGAGAATAGTTTTTAAAAAGATGTAATAGTATCCTGTGACAACAAGGGGGATTAGTTTTATGACTTAAGACATATTGGGCTGTTCTGACTAAAGGACTTCTAATTTGATTCCTTGACGGAGCTAATTATCCCTTTGGCAATCACAAGTCCAGGATGAGAGGCAGAGAAAAGTTAACGTTTTAACATTGTTCTGAGTCTACTGAATTTGAGGGGGAGGAAAGAATTCCCTCTTTATATTCCCTCCATAATGGCCGGAGAGAGTTTCTCTCATGAGGTCTTGAACCTAGGTATATGCATTTGGACTTACATACATGTATCAGCATATCAGGATGGAAACAAAGGCAAGAGAAGAGACTGGGGTACACAGAAATTCTTACTCACTCTTCCCATGTGTTCTCTAAAGGAATCCAAAAGAGTTGTGAGGTGAGAAGAAAAATGGAGAGTTTTTACTATTAGACTTCCTTATCTACCTGGCTTCAGAAGTCTGCCACAGAGTGAGATCTAAGAAAGGTCAAATATGACTGGACCCAGAAAGGAGGTACTAACCATTCATTGCCTGTATGCCTCCTCACCCCATCAACACCTATGCAACAAAGCAATTACACTACTGTCTGAAAATAATGCCTATTTATCTAATTTAAGAGTTTTCTGAAATTAATGTTGGATTCATTTTTCATCCAACATTGTATCTATAACATACAAAGCAACAAGACACTGTCATCTAAAGAAATTTCACAGATAACATTATTTTAACAACACTTAATAATTTCTCATGAATGCAATTTTTTACTTAATAGCTGGCATTTGAGTACAAGGAAGACACATGAAAATTACTTTTTAAATCAGGAAAGAAAAAATATTCTGGTAACACAATCTTTTTAAAGCACTTTATTGAGATGTTTCTCACAAACTAGGGGGAGAAATAAGAGAAAAATCCTTATTTTAAAACACAAGTGAAAAGCACCAAAGACAATTCGGCACCATAACTCTGATGAACTCCAGAGTTCCTGGTTTCCAGTTCTTTTCTACACTATAATTTAGTATTCAAAGCTTTCTGAAAGAACAACAAATCCAGTAACTCCTGAAATGATGCATAACAAGCAGTGACACTACTCCCTTAGGTACACATACATACTAATATAGTTCACCAAACATAAATCTTCCCTTGTAAATAAACAGATTAAGATTAAATATATGATACCATCTTTTCAGAAACAAGATTATTAGTACCAAAGCAGACTAGAACATGAATGTTACTAATTGAAAAACTCATAATTCCCTTTTTACTTTAGATGGCTTCAAGTGTTCAACAATATTTTAAAGACCTTTTTATGCAGGTTAAAATATAGACTATTTTTCTTTAAGAGAGAAATGTACGAACAGTACCCTTGATTATACCCCTGCAAATAGGGCATTTTCTTAGAGAAGGGGCACATTCCTGGCATACTACCAGATGACCACAAGGAATAAATACAACAGAAACTTCTTTGTCCATACACACTTTACAAGTTCGTTCTTCTTGCAACCTCCTCAATTGTTCTTCCAGTGACAGACCTAATAACAAAAAATAACTTTAGTGAAATTGTTTCCACTTCATTAAAAAAAAAGGGTAATAGTTCATGTTGGTTTTAAATCTTTGTTTTACCTGAAACATCTTCTGTTGGAATATACTTCATATTCTTATCCACTGAGGAAAGAAAACATAAAAACCATTACTCTACTAAATACAAAACTGAGCCACCGCATCTGGCCAGTCCTAAGAATTTCTAAAATAATTTTCCCAACAAACTCACCAAATAAGTTCTTATACAATGTAGAGTCAATTTCTTTTAGACAGTTTTTGAAGATGTTGGCCGCAGCATTTCCTTTAACCAAAATGGTATCAATCAGTTCTCTCGCTTGTAAAGGTATCTGTGTTTTTTGTTTAATAATATCATGTTCCTGTTTATTAATTACATTGGCCTTTAAAAGATTATCCAGGATAGGAAGCACACATGTCAATTGTTGAAAGAGAGCCATTCTGTTCTTCCGAATTAATGACAAATCATCTTCATTAAAAAAAGAAAAAGAAATCCATTAGATTTTAAACTCCTTTAACTATACTCATATAGTCACTAATAACCAACCCTACAAACAATTTAGGCACTAAATAAAGTTCAAAAAAGAACAAAGTAACTTGTTTGCATTTGTAAGTTTGTTGTTTGGAAAACTTCCAGAGGAAGTCTCTGTTTAATTTTTAAGTCTATATATTTACATGTCCTAGAACTCCGCTTTTACTTTATTTTGTTGCAAGAGATTTGTAGAAGACAGTAAAAATTTCCCCCCACCATATATAATAATACTCTTGTATTTCCATTATATCATTTTACTTTTGTAAGCACTTTCATAGTAATTTGTCTCATTTGATACAGTGATCCTGTCAATTAAACAAGGCGAGTATTACTGCCTCTCATTTTTACATAGGGAGAAAAAAGACTCAGAAAAGAATGAGTGGCCTAAGATCACAAGAAAGAATAAGCTGCAGAACCAGGCATCCTAGACCAGTGTTCTTTTCAACACCCCATACTTAAGACGTGGTATTGTAGTATTGTAGGGTTTGAGTTGCCAAGTCAAAACAGACCTAGGTTCCAGTGTTGGCTAGGCCCACTCACTAGCTATGTGTCCTCATCCTTCCCCATACACCTCAGTTTCCTCATCTGTAAAATATACATAACGGTACCTTCCTCAAAGTTGTAAGGATTGAATAATACATGTAAAGCATCTGGCACAATATGTGGTACATAGTTAACTACCATTATTATTTTATAAATGTCTATGTTTATAGCAATTAAAAAAAACTACCTAAGAATCAAGCCTGACCTTTTTTTAAAAAGCCAATGTTTTTCCTTTAATATCGCATCACATAAAACTCCACAGTTAATTTATATTTATGGAATATGGTAGTTCCTTCTTTTGGTATCTGAATCATTATAAAATTTGTCTATTTTCAGACTTTCAAAAAAATTTAAAAAGTACATCTCTACAAAGTACCAGTTTAATGAGAAATAAATTATAAAAACAGAAGCCTATCTTCTTTCCCCTTTTACATCTCTCTAGAAGTGAACTGCTCTATTAATCTCAAAACTATAAAATTCCATTCTGTGACAACTTTTTCTTCTACCTAAATAATTCCTCTCACTGCTAACCAATTTGTTCTTCACCTTTTCAAGATCTCCATGTCATTCCCAATTCTACTTGCACAAGAGCTATCTCCTGGCTTTGCTTCAAACCTCCTATTCTAATCTAGGTAGCAGTCAGGTATTTCAATGAAGTTCTCTATATTAGCACCCTTAACTCATCTTCCGTATTCCTTACTTGCCCTTTCCCCTATTAACACTGCCAAATCTGTAATTCAATACTATTTTCCAACCCATACAAAGTATGAGAAAGTCATAAATCTAAGGTGACAGTGATTTCATATAACCTTAGCTGGATTTCATTACTACTTAACAATCCTTAAATTGACTTTTCTTAGGCCCTTTCTTTCACCAAGTCCCTCCCACTTCCCAAGTCAATCTACCTAATGCTTAAAAAAAAAAAAAAATTGACGTGCTAGGAGCTGTGTTAAAGTGTTTTATTTGCAATATCTCATTTAATTCCTACAGCAACCCTATGGGAGTCATACTATTATTATCCCCATTTTACAGATGAGAAAGCCGATGTCTGGTTGAATAAATAGCCAAGCTAGTAACTGATAGAACTGGAATTTTTTTTTTTTTTTTTTTGAGATGGAGTCTGGCTCTGTCACCCAGGCTGGAGTGCAGGGGCACGATCTCGGCTCACTGCAAGCTCTGCCTCCCGGGTTCACGCCATTCTCCTGCCTCAGCCTCCCGAATAGCTGGGACTACAGGCATCCGCCACCATGCCCGGCTAATTTTTTGTATTTTTAGTCAAGACGGGGTTTCATCGTGTTAGCCAGGATGGTCTCAATTTCCTGACCTTGTGATCCGCCCGTCTTGGCCTCCCAAAGTGCTGGGATTACAGGCATGAGCCACCGCGCCCAGCCTGGAGCTAGAATTTAAACACAAATCTGTTTCAATGTAGAAGTCCAGACTTTAAATATTTTGCTACACGGTCATGCAATAAGGTACTCTTAAGTTATTCCTGTCTTTACTTACAAGCTTAAAAAGAAAGCATCTTCCAACGCAATACTCCAATACATATGCAACCTTCGCCTCTCTGCTGGCCCTTTAACCCTGTCTTTTGCACACTAGTCTCGCCAGCTAGTGTATATACTCCTTGACAGCAACCACTGTGATTAGGCACAGTATTTGGCACTGGTGCTCATGCTCAACAAATATTTATTGAAGGAGGGGAGGAGCCAAGATGGCCGAATAGGAACAGCTCCGGTGTACAGCTCCCAGCGTGAGCGACGCACAAGACGGGTGATTTCTGCATTTCCATCTGAGGTACCGGGTTCATCTCACTAGGGAGTGCCAGACAGTGGGCGCAGGCCAGTGGGTGCGCGCACCGTGTGCAAACCGAAGCAGGGCAAGGCATTGCCACACTTGGGAAGCCCAAGGGGTCAAGGAGTTCCCTTTCCGAGTCAAAGAAAGGGGTAACGGACGCACCTGGAAAATCGGGTCACTCCCACCCGAATATTGCGCTTTTCAGACTGGCTTAAAAAACGGCGAACCAAGAGATTATATCCCACACCTGGCTCGGAGGGTCCTACGCCCACGGAGTCTCGCTGATTGCTAGCACAGCAGTCTGAGATCAAACTGCAAGGCAGCAGCGAGGCTGGGGGAGGGGCGCCCGCCATTGCCCAGGCTTGATTAGGTAAACAAAGCAGCCAGGAACTCGAACTGGGTGGAGCCCACCACAGCTCAAGGAGGCCTGCCTGCCTCTGTAGGCTCCACCTCTGGGGGCAGGGCACAGACAAACAAAAAGACAGCAGTAACCTCTGCAGACTTAAGTGTCCCTGTCTGACAGCTTTGAAGAGAGCAGTGGTTCTCCCAGCACGCAGCTGGAGATCTGAGAACCGGCAGACTGCCTCCTCAAGTGGGTCCCTGACCCCTGACCCCCGAGCAGCCTAACTGGGAGGCACCCCCCAGCAGGGGCACACTGACACCTCACACGGCAGGGTATTCCAACAGACCTGCAGCTGAGGGTCCTGTCTGTTAGAAGGAAAACTAACAAACAGAAAGGACATCCACACCGAAAACCCATCTGTACATCACCATCATCAAAGACCAAAAATAGATAAAACCACAAAGATGGGGGAAAAACAGAACAGAAAAGCTGGAAACTCTAAAACGCAGAGCGCCTCTCCTCTTCCAAAGGAACGCAGTTCCTCACCAGCAACGGAACAAAGCTGGATGGAGAATGACTTTGATGAGCTGAGAGAAGAAGGCTTCAGACGATCAAATTACTCTGAGCTACAGGAGGACATTCAAACCAAAGGCAAAGAAGTTGAAAACTTTGAAAAAAATTTAGAAGAATGTATAACTAGAATAACCAATACAGAGAAGTGCTTAAAGGAGCTGATGGAGCTGAAAACCAAGGCTCGAGAACTACGTGAAGAATGCAGAAGCCTCAGGAGCCGATGCGATCAACTGGAAGAAAGGGTATCAGCAATGGAAGATGAAATGAATGAAATGAAGCGAGAAGGGAAGTTTAGAGAAAAAAGAATAAAAAGAAATGAGCAAAGCCTCCAAGAAATATGGGATTATGTGAAAAGACCAAATCTACGTCTGATTGGTGTACCTGAAAGTGATGGGGAGATTGGAACCAAGTTGGAAAACACTCTGCAGGATATTATCCAGGAGAACTTCCCCAATCTAGCAAGGCAGGCCAACGTTCAGATTCAGGAAATATAGAGAACGCCACAAAGATACTCCTCGAGAAGAGCAACTCCAAGACACATAATTGTCAGATTCACCAAAGTTGAAATGAAGGAAAAAATGTTAAGGGCAGCCAGAGAGAAAGGTCGGGTTACCCTCAAAGGGAAGCCCATCAGACTAACAACGGATCTCTCGGCAGAAACCCTACAAGCCAGAAGAGAGTGGGGGCCAATATTCAACATTCTTAAAGAAAAGAATTTTCAACCCAGAATTTCATATCCAGCCAAACTAAGCTTCATAAGTGAAGGAGAAATAAAATACTTCACAGACAAGCAAATGGTGAGAGATTTTGTCACCACCAGGCCTGCCCTAAAAGAGCTCCGGAAGGAAGCACTAAACATGGAAAGGAACAACCGGTACCAGCAGCTGCAAAATCATGCCAAAATGTAAAGACCATTGAGACTAGGAAGAAACTGCATCAACTAACGAGCAAAATCACCAGCTAACATCATAATGACAGGATCAAATTCACACATGACAATATTAACTTTAAATGTAAATGGACTAAATGCTCCAATTAAAAGACACAGACTGGCAAATTGGATAAAGAGTCAAGACCCATCAGTGTGCTGTATTCAGGAAACCCATCTCACGTGCAGAGACACACATAGGCTCAAAATAAAAGGATGGAGGAAGATCTACCAAGCAAATGGAAAACAAAAAGAGGCAGGGGTTGCAATCCTAGTCTCTGATAAAACGGACTTTAAACCAACAAAGATCAAAAGAGACAAAGAAGGCCATTACATAATGGTAAAGGGATCAATTCAACAAGAAGAGCTAACTATCCTAAATATATATGCACCCAATACAGGAGCACCCAGATTCATAAAGCAAGTCCTGAGTGACCTACAAAGAGACTTAGACTCCCACACATTAATAATGGGAGACTTTAACACCCCACTGTCAACATTAGACAGATCAACGAGACAGAAAGTCAACAAGGATACCCAGGAATTGAACTCAGCTCTGCACCAAGTGGACCTAATAGACATCTACAGAACTCTCCACCCCAAATCAACAGAATATACATTTTTTTCAGCACCACACCACACCTATTCCAAAATTGACCACATAGTTGGAAGTAAAGCTCTCCTCAGCAAATGTAAAAGAACAGAAATTATAACAAACTATCTCTCAGACCACAGTGCAATCAAACTAGAACTCAGGATTAAGAAACACTCAAAATCACTCAACTACATGGACACTGAACAACCTGCTCCTGAATGACTACTGGGTACATAACGAAATGAAGGCAGAAATAAAGATGTTCTTTGAAACCAATGAGAACAAACACACAACATACCAGAATCTCTGGGACACATTCAAAGCAGTGTGTAGAGGGAAATTTATAGCATTAAATGCCCTCAAGAGAAAGCAGGAAAGATCTAAAATTGACACCCTAATATCACAATTAAAAGAACTAGAGAAGCAAGAGCAAACACATTCAAAAGCTAGCAGAAGGCAGGAAATAACTAAGATCAGAGCAGAACTGAAGGAAATAGAGACACAAAAAAACCCTTCAAAAAATCAATGAATCCGGGAGCTGGTTTTTTGAAAAGATCAACAAAATAGATAGACCGCTAGCAAGACTAATAAAGAAGAAAAGAGAGAAGAATCAAATAGACGCAATAAAAAATGATAAAGGGGATATCACCACTGATCCCACAGAAATACAAACTACCATCAGAGAATACTACAAACACCTCTACACAAATAAACTAGAAAATCTAGAAGAAATGGATAAATTCCTCAACACATACACTCTCCCAAGACTAAACCAGGAAGAAGCTGAATCTCTGAATAGACCAATAACAGGATCTGAAATTGTGGCAATAATCAATAGCTTACCAACCAAAAAGAGTCCAGGACCAGATGGATTCACAGCGGAATTCTACCAGAGGTACAAGGAGGAACTGGTACCATTCCTTCTGAAACTATTCCAATCAATAGAAAAAGAGGGAATCCTCCCTAACTCATTTTATGAGGCCAGCATCATTCTGATACCAAAGCCGGGCAGAGACACAACAAAAAAAGAGAATTTTAGACCAATATCCTTGATGAACATTGATGCAAAAATCCTCAATAAAATACTGGCAAAACGAATCCAGCAGCATATCAAAAAGCTTATCCACCATGATCAAGTGGGCTTCATCCCTGGGATGCAAGGCTGGTTCAATATACGCAAATCAATAAATGTAATCCAGCATATAAACAGAGCCAAAGACAAAAACCACATGATTATCTCAATAGATGCAGAAAAAGCCTTTGACAAAATTCAACAACCCTTCATGCTAAAAACTCTCAATAAATTAGGTATTGATGGGACCTATTTCAAAATAATAAGAGCTATCTATGACAAACCCACAGCCAATATCATACTGAATGGGCAAAAACTGGAAGCATTCCCTTTGAAAACGGGCACAAGACAGGGATGCCCTCTCTCACCACTCCTATTCAACATAGTGTTGGAAGTTCTGGCCAGGGCAATTAGGCAGGAGAAGGAAATAAAGGGTATTCAATTAGGAAAAGAGGAAGTCAAATTGTCCCTGTTTGCAGACGACATGATTGTATATCTAGAAAACCCCATTGTCTCAGCCCAAAATCTCCTTAAGCTGATAAGCAACTTCAGCAAAGTCTCAGGATACAAAATCAATGTACAAAAATCACAAGCATTCTTATACACCAACAACAGACAAACAGAGAGCCAAATCATGAGTGAACTCCCATTCACAATTGCTTCAAAGAGAATAAAATACCTAGGAATCCAACTTACAAGGGATGTGAAGGACCTCTTCAAGGAGAACTACAAACCACTGCTCAAGGAAATAAAAGAGGATACAAACAAATGGAAGAATATTCCATGCTCATGGGTAGGAAGAATCAATATCGTGAAAATGGCCATACTGCCCAAGGTAATTTACAGATTCAATGTCATCCCCATCAAGCTACCAATGACTTTCTTCACAGAATTGGAAAAAACTACTTTAAAGTTCATATGGAACCAAAAAAGAGCCCGCATTGCCAAGTCAATCCTAAGCCAAAAGAACAAAGCTGGAGGCATCACACTACCTGACTTCAAACTATACTACAAGGCTACAGTAACCAAAACAGCATGGTACTGGTACAAAAACAGAGATATAGATCAATGGAACAGAACAGAGCCCTCAGAAATAACACCGCGTATCTATAACTATCTGATCTTTGACAAACCTGAGAAAAACAAGCAATGGGGAAAGGATTCCCTATTTAATAAATGGTGCTGGGAAAACTGGCTAGCCATATGTAGAAAGCTGAAACTGGATCCCTTCCTTACACCTTATACAAAAATCAATTCAAGATGGATTAAAGATTTAAATGTTAGACCTAAAACCATAAAAACCCTAGAAGAAAACCTAGGCATTACCATTCAGGACATAGGCATGGGCAAGGACTTCATGTCCAAAACACCAAAAGCAATGGCAACAAAAGCCAAAATTGACAAATGGGATCTAATTCAACTAAAGAGCTTCTGCACAGCAAAAGAAACTACCATCAGAGTGAACAGGCAACCTACAAAATGGGAGAAAATTTTCGCAACCTACTCATCTGACAAAGGGCTAATAACCAGAATCTACAATGAACTCAAACAAATTTACAAGACAAAAACAAACAACCCCATCAAAAAGTGGGCAAAGGACATGAACAGGCACTTCTCAAAAGAAGACATTTATGCAGCCAAAAAACACATGAAAAAATGCTCATCATCACTGGCCATCAGAGAAATGCAAATCAAAACCACAATGAGATACCATCTCACACCAGTTAGAATGGCAATCATTAAAAAGTCAGGAAACAACAGGTGCTGGAGAGGATGTGGAGAAATAGGAACACTTTTACACTGTTGGTGGGACTGTAAACTAGTTCAAGCATTGTGGAAGTCAGTGTGGCGATTCCTCAGGGATCTAGAACTAGAAATACCATTTGACCCAGCCATCCCATTACTGGGTATATACCCAAATGACTATAAATCATGCTGCTATAAAGACACATGCACACGTATGTTTATTGCGGCATTATTCACAATAGCAAAGACTTGGAACCAACCCAAATGTCCAACAATGATAGACCGGATTAAGAAAATGTGGCACATATACACCATGGAATACTATGCAGCCATAAAAAATGATGAGTTCGTGTCCTTTGTAGGGACATGGATGAAATTGGAAATCATCATTCTCAGTAAACTATCGCAAGAACGAAAAACCAAACACCGCATATTCTCACTCATAGGTGGGAACTGAACAATGAGATCACATGGACACAGGAAGGGGAATATCACACTCTGGGGACTGTGGTGGGGTGGGGGGAGGGGGGAGGGATAGCATTGGGAGATATACCTAATGCTAGATGATGAGTTAGTGGGTGCAGCGCACCAGCATGGCACATGTATACATATGTAACTAACCTGCACAATGTGCACATGTACCCTAAAACTTAAAGTATAATTAAAAAAAAATAGAAAAAAGAAAAAAAAAAATTTATTGAAGGAATAAATGATTACTCAAAATACTTGTTTTGAGAGGCCGAGACTTAATACTATCTGGACGAATACAAAAATCAGTTTTCCTGTTATCCTTGGATTGGGCAGGTGGTTCTCATCAAGCCCCAGAATTTCATTGTAAGTTCTATTTTGTGTATGAGGATCACTTAGCAAGGATTAGGGAGTAAAGTATCCTATTAAAAATATGATTTGCAGAAACTTAAAAAAAAAAACAGGTTGAAAAAAGACCTGCATCCAACTTTAACATCTTGCTTTTTCAAAACAATTTAAATTTGTTATGTATGAGAAAGAAATGGAATACAGCTCAAGAAAGAGCTTATTATGCTAAAATTCTCTGATTGGCATAAATCAGAGAACCTCATCCGAAAATAAATGTATAGAAAAAAGCGGCAGTCAATGGTTCTCAACTAGAAGCAATTGAAAGGGGTAGAAAAGGAGGGATGGTTTCGAAATGACTGGAGGACTGCTACCAGCAGTTAGTGGATGTGAAACAAGCATGGTGTCCTGTAACATGTGAGACAGTCCTAAGAGCTCCACTGAGAAACAATGCAGGTGACTAACATCCCCAAATACCTGATGCCATTTCTTCAGCTTGTTTTTCCTTCTCCTCTTCTCTTTTTTCATCTTCAGCATTAAGAAGTGCTGACACAATATCATTAACTGTTTTATAGTTCTCTCCAGTTGTCAGGATTTTACTTTGAACTGTTTGTTTCACCAGGTCTCTATTAAAGCCCATTTCCAAGGCAGATTTAACCACAGGTGTATTCATCATGACAGCATCTTCTGAAGAACTTTCTCCAGGTCCAAAATGAATAACTATTTGAAAAGAAACATGCTAATATTAAATTCCACAAACATAAACCTATGGAAAAAAGTATCATGGCACAATCTTTATTCATCCTTTACTCTCATATTCTGGTAAAGGAGATGAGCTATATGCATCGATTACCTATAACTCCAATAAAAGTTTGAACTTCATAATGGTCAAATGAGAATACAATTAATATGCTATACTTTTTACAAAACCCACCTCTCTGGCTACATCCTAGACTTACTTAATGAAAGATTCTCTAAGGATAAGAATTAGGAATCTGTATCTTTTGAATATTTCCCAAATGATTCTGATGTATAGTCATTTCTGGAAACCAATATGCTATACGAACTTAGAAGTGAGAAATAATCTTCTCCAGCCAGGAAAGTGGGGGGAAATCACAAAGACTTCATGGAAAAGTGGCGCATTAGAGTTTGGACTTGAAGGATGGACAGGGTCTAGACAAGTGGATTGCTGAGGTAGAGAGAATAACATAAACAAAAATGGGAAGTATAGTAAAATAGAAGATCAGTTCACCCAGAAGATGTAGTGAAAAAGTATGGCTTCAGAAGTAATTAAGGCAGTATGATTTTAGACAGTGACAGATGCTCTGAAGAAAAAAGTAGTGTAAGGTCATTAAAAGAAACCAGGAAGCAGGAAGTCATTTTAGATAGGGTAGTCAGGGAAGCATTTTCTGCTAAGAGTCAATGCTAGCCCATATGATACTTTTATGAAAAAATACAAAAAGACATAATTCTTCAAGACACTACTGCCATCTTCTGGAAACTTATAATAAATATACAACGTCAACAATGTCCCCTCTTGTTCAAACACGCGTGGAATCCGTGTCCGAAGAAATGGCACCAGAACAAAGATTTAAATAACAAGGAATGAGCTCTATTTCATTTTTAAGCGCATGCCTTGAGGAAATACTTTATGTTCAAGATAAGAGACACATTAGAGGATCATTACAGCAATATTTACAGCAGAAAAAAAAAAACAGAAAATAACAGGAATAGCTCTCAATAGGGAATGGATAAATAAAATGCAATATATGCTGGACTACTGTGAAAAAATTTAAAAATATACAAACGAACTAAACTGGTATATACCTAGCCCATGCTACTGAGCTCTGGGTATTAGAAGTTAGAAACAGAACTGTATGTAAGCATCAGAGGGGAATTTGGCATTGCCTACAGCATTTAGTTTTCTTTCCCTTATGAAGAATGTATACATCTATTACATGTAAAATTATTAATACTGGGGGGAAAAAGGAGTGAGCTATGGAAATATCTCAAAGAAGTCTTCTAAGCAAAGAGAACAGCAAGTGTAAAAACCTTAAATTGAGGGAAAAGCTTGACATGATCAAGAAACAGAAAGAAGGTGGTAGAAGGTAAAAAAAGGAGGACAATGCCCAGATAAGCAGAGGCTTCCTAAGAGTTTATATTTTATTCTAAGTTTGGTAGAATATTCTAGGAGTGTTTCAAGCATGCAACTGATAAAACTTGACTTGTGTTTTCAGAAGATGACTCTGGCAGCTCGGTGGAGATGTTACTTTAATGGGGTAAACCAGAATCAGGAAGACTTGTTAGGATGTTAGACACAGATGACGGTAGTTTGGATTAGGTTAATAGTGGTGGAGGGCCGGGCATGGTGGCTCATGCCTGTAATCCCAGCACTTTGGGAGCCAAGGCGGGCGGATCATGAGGTGAGGAGATCGAGACCATCCTGGCTAATCCAGTGAAACCCCATCTCTACTAAAAAAAAATACAAAAAATTAGCCGGGCGTGGTGGTGGGCGCCTGTAGTCCCAGCTACCTGGGAGGCTGAGGCAAGAGAATGGCGTGAACCCGGCGGGTGGAGCTTCCAGTGAGCCAAAATTGCGCCACTGCACTCCAGCCTGGGCAACAGAGCAAGACTCCATCTCAAAAAAAAAAAACAGTGGTGGAGATGGTGAGATGTAGTCAGATTTGGCATATGTTATGAAGACAGAAATGAAAAGACTTCTGATAGATTAAATATACAAACTAAAGGAAGGAGAGGAATCAGAGATGATGCCTAACTTGAGCCAACTTTTAATGCTGGGAAATGAGTACCATTAACTGAGATGGGGAAGACCAAAGAAGGAACAAATCTGAGGGATGAAGAATGGGGAAGAAAATTTCCGGTTTGGTCATATTAACTCTACAATGTCTGTTACAGCCAAGTAGAGATTTAAACAGTTAGCTGGACATTCCAGCTTGGGGCTCAGGAAATGGAGAAATAAATTTAAGCTGAGCTATGAGGGGTACTCCAACATTTTGAAGTTTGAAAAAGGAGCAGCCAACAAAGGAAATTGTTCAGGACCAACCAGGGAAATAGAAAACCAAGAGTATGGGGTCTGATAAGTCAAGCAAAAAATGTGTCTTAAGAAAGATGAGGCCAAATGCAGTGGCTCATGCCTGCAATCCCAGCACTATGGGAGGCCGAGGCAGGCAGATTGCTTAAGCTCAAGAGTTTGAGACCAGCCTGGGCAACATGGTGAAACCCTGTATCTACAAACACACACACACACACACACACACACACTTAGCTGAATGTGATGGTGCATGCCTGTAGTCCCAGCTACTTGGGAGGCTGAGGTGAGAGAATCACCTGAGCCAGGGAAGTTAAGGCTGCAGTGAGCCATGATGGCACCTAACCACACTACAGCCTGGGTGACAAAGTGAGACCTTGTTTCACAAAAAGAAAAAACAACGACAAAGCACCCAGTGATTATCAAATGCTAATTAACAGGTCAAGTAGTGGATTTGCTAACACGGCAGTCCCTGGTTACCATGACAAGAACAGTTTCTAGCAGAACAAGTGAAAGAATGAAAGGTGAGGAAGTAAAACAGAGTTAAGCACAGATAAATCTTCCTAGGTATTTTGTTGTAAAGGGAAGCAGAGTAATAAGGTAATAGCTGAATGGGGACATTCATTCATGGAAATTTTCCTAGGATTAGCAAAAGTACATTATGTTTATATGCTAACATGAGTGATTCAGGAGAGGTGGAAAAATTGAAGACTCGAGAGAAAGGGTATGTCACTGCCAAAGTAACCTTCTTAAGTTGACAGTAGGGGATGGAATACAGAGGACAAGTAGAAGTAATGGCCTTAGAAAAGGGCAAGGACAATTCATCTTTTATGAACAAACAGAAAAGTACAAGGATAAATTATGTAGCCTAGTGGTTTTGCTGGTGAGGCAATAAAGCAGCTCTCTTTTGGATTCTATTTTCTTAGGGAAGCAAGATTATAAACTGACAGTAAGGTGGGAAGAGAGTGTTAGAAAATTATCAAGACAGAAAACAAGAAACAGTCATTTTAAAGATTGACAAAGTGATTTTATTAGGACCTATGGTAGAACTGCAGGGCAGCCTACTTAATAGCAGTGGTTATAAATTTTAAGAACAGCCCACACTGCTATCTATCTTTTCTAGGTCTATTACACGGGAGATAGTTGTCATGTACCCAGGTACTCTCCTTCCTATTTTCCAGTACTCTCCTTCCTATTTTCCAGTCAAATACTACCAAATCCTTCATCCAATCCTCCTGAGCCATGGTTTCTAAGACTCATACATCTTGGTCACCTTTCTCTGGTCCAGTTAACAAATCTGCCAATCTTTCTTGAAATGCTGTGCCACAAACAGAATGGCCCTTTGTAGATGTGATTGGCACATAAAACGGGATTACTACCTTAGCCATTTTAGACACAATAACATATGTATATTACATAAATTGACAGATGTGGCTAACATTAAGCTCTAATCAAAAGCTATACTATTTCCTGCCCTTGCACTGAAATACAACATACCTGACTTAAATACCTAACATCTAGTCCAATTCTTGAATCATATGTGAATTGACGTTTTCCAAATCATGCCAACTCACAGCAAACTCTTCTTTTCTGGAGGGTTTATTATTTGCACCGCTTATTTGGCATTGCTTTGAACTATTTTTTGTTTTTCTTTTGCTTATGTCTCATTTCTCCAGTTGGAATGTCAGCACTAAAAGTGATAAGTATAGCACTAGAACAAAAACTAGTACACTTTTAGGGTCCTCCACAGTGTCATTACACTCTCTCTCTCTCTCTCTCTCTCTCTCTCTGTGTGTGTGTGTATATATATATATATATATATATATATATATATATAATATTTATTAGCTGACTTCCCAGTATTTTTCCCTATGGCTTCAGAAACTCTTTTAAAAAATACATACTTTCATTCCTACCTTTTTTTTTGGAGATGGAGTTTCGCTCTGTTGCCCAGGATGGAGTGCAATGGCATAATCTCAGTTCACTGCAACCTCCACCTCCTGGGTTCAAGCAATTCTCCTGCCTCAGCCTCCCGAGTAGCTGAGACTACAGGCACATCACACCCGGCTAAGTTTTGTATTTTTAGTAGATGGAGTTTTACTATGTTGGCCAGGCTGGTCTCGAACTCCTGACCTCAGGTGATCTGTCAACCTCGGCCTCTCAAAGTGTTGGGATTACAGGCATGAGCCACTGCACCCAGCCTATTCCTAAAATTCTTATAAAAATTTACACTCTATACTTAAAATTATCTCATACATACTTGGTGGGTCAGCATTTTCTTCTCCAGTGGTATCTGAAGTTGACAACAGCTATGAAACAAGAGAAAAGTTAATAGGTAAAAGCAGATATCCCCAACAATCTGAAAAGAACAACACTAAAATAAGCTTACTTTAAGTAAATGTATATGTTCTTTTGAGAACTGAGTGATTTATGACCTTTGCTTTGCTTTCTTTTACCCTAATCACATAGATTTCCTTAAATTTCATGTCATCCCAAATTAGAAATCAAGTATTTCTCTAGTTTCAGGAAAGTAGAAAAATGTATCAGTGGTTTCTCATTTCATT
Organism: Homo sapiens; assembly: GCF_000001405.40. NCBI lineage: Eukaryota > Metazoa > Chordata > Mammalia > Primates > Hominidae > Homo > Homo sapiens. The sequence goes on along the minus strand of NC_000011.10, from coordinate 102,363,412 downwards.
TGGAAAATAAGATTTTAACTGGGTTACTCTCCAAGGGTCTCAGCTCCTAACAAGTTATTTTTTGTTTGTTTTTCTGGAAAACAGCAAAGAGACACTAAAGATCCTTCTCCAATCCCATCACAAATTTGTACAGTGGCAGCATAAATGATTTTTCAAAATAGTAAAAACAAAAAAACAATCTTTTTTAAAAAGCCCTCAAAAATCAAGTTGGTTACAAAAGTAAAAACCAAAGATGTCATTAACATGGATGAAAGTATGTACCTACAATTAATAAAAGAGAAATAAGCATAACTTCTAATATAGGTTGGTACAAAAGTGATCACGGTTTTGGCCATGACTTTCAATGGCAAAAATCATGATCACTTTTATACCAACCTAATAATATTTTTGTTATTATAAAGCAGAATTCAATGTTGTTAATTTTAAAAATGTATTTACCTGTTCAAGAAGATGAGGATATCTACCTTGAATCTCATCAACAAACTCTTGGCCTTTCATTCGTATCAAGAACTCACACCTAAAACATATGAGGAAAATTATTTTTTAAAATTGTTTCATATCAAATATAACCTGATCATTCTAGAAAAATGGCTTTCAAATCTTTCATTGTACTCCATAGTAAAAACATTTTACGTCACAACCCAGAACACATACATATCTAACAGGAACAAAATTATCATAAAACAATATACATCCTTCTGTGTGTTATATATCACGGTATTTTCTAATTCAATCCATTAACACAACAACAAAAAGAAAAGCGTCTGCACCTACAAAGGGGAACAAGTTGACTCCTGAAGAACACTATTATACACAATCTATTTTGTGCTTAAAGTGAACTACTTAACAGTTTCAGATACTATTAACTCAGTATTCCTAAAATGTGATCTTTCACAATACAATAACTGCTCATTTTTCTTCAATGTTCACTCTTCCATTACATTTGAGCCAGAATCCACTACCTTCCCTCCAAAAAATATGGAATCAAATATTTTTATCTATATATAATATGACAGTGTTTCTCAAATATTTGTTTTTAAACTGATAGGGCTTCTCAAAGATGTTCCAAGAAGTTCACATACCATCTATATCTATTCTATTCCTTTTGTTTCTTCAATAAATGATACTATACAACAGAATATTCATATGTTAAAAAAAAGGAACACTGACCTATGCCCATATTATATGCAAAAATAGTAAAAATGGATCATATACCTAAATATAAAACCAAAAACAATAAAACTTCTAGGAAAAAGCCTTGTCTTTATTTGTCTTTACATTGGGTAAAGAATTATTAGACAAAAGACCAAAAACATATTCCACAAAAGATAAAATTGATAAATTGACATCATCAAAATTGAAAACATCTGCTCTTCAAAAGACAATGTTAAAGAAATGAAAAGCCGCAGACTGAAAGTTTGCAAGAGTGACATCAGCAAGACAGCAGACTAGGAGACATCAGCCTTCTTCCACCCACAAAAAACAACAAACAGACAGCTATACACAAATACAGCTCTGGAAGAACTCACTAGCCCAATCAGCCTACAGCAATAAAGGGAAAAAAAAAAAAAAGGGAGAATAACCACACAGAAAGGACTGCTGGGAGATCTGCTTAGCAGAGACATCTGGAGATGGCTAAGAACAAGGGGTGAGGGCTACCTGTATCAGTCATGTGGTGAGTGCCATTACAGTCCTCAGTGGCAAAGACTGCTAGGCTCCTCCCCAGAGCAGGTCCCTGGAGACCTCCAATAACCCTCAAGATAGCCACAGACTTCCTGCAGGTTTCACAGTGAAGGACCCTATAGTGTTCATTGATGCCAACCCCAGTAGCCTACTTTGCAGAGGACACTGACAGCTTTCACCATTAAGGTAACCAGCACCCATTGCTGCTGTGAACCCCCTGGAGAGGGAGACACTACTGCACTCCTCACCCTGAAAAAAAGCAGCTCTTGCACTGCCCAGACAGTGCAGCCCCTAACCCCCACATATGCCCCAGACCCCAGAGCCACAGCTGCTTCACATGTACCTTCATGTAAGACCTTTGCTCTGTGGCTGCTCTAATCACACACTCTCCAGATCCCAGCTCTCTGGCTGCTCTGCACACCTGCACTCCGCACCCAACTCAAAGGCTGCTCTACGTGCACCCACATCTGAGGCACTAGAAGCACCACTGCTGCAGGCTAGTCAACATCCTGAACCCAAGACCCGCTGTCTTTCTGCAAACACTTGCACTCCAAACCTTGGCTCTGTAGCTGCTCCACAGGTGTCCACGCCATCAGAGACATCAGTGCTGCCACCTCCACCAACACAACAAGCCCAAAGCCAGAACCTGTGCCAAGAAGAATCCCCTTGGCCACAATGTCTCCCATGGGAGAAAAAGTGATGAAGAGGTCCCCAGCAGCCTCTGCCACTATAGACTAAAAAAAGCCTTGCTGCTGGTATGGATACCTGCAGCCTTGGATGTTGAGGACCCCTGCAATCCTCACTGACAATGATCTGGGCTAATGGAGCTGCATGGAGTTCACAATGCTGGGCCTTCCACAGAGCCAGAACCACCACACCTACTGGCTGGCGCCCTCACCCTCACCCTCACCCACAGGCAAAGATCTTTGCCCACAAAAAAAAAAACAAAAAAAACACACTAATCTGTAATGTCTAGAAGTAATTCGTCCATCAAATACACAGATAACACAAGGCCACAAGAAACAGAAAGAAAAAAAAAAAAAGAAACGTGACATTAGCAAAGAAACTCAGTAATTTTCCAGTAATCACCCACAAAGAAATGGAGATCTATGAACTAACAGATAAAGAATTCAAAATAATTGTTTCAAGCAAACTCAGTGAGCTACAAAAGAACACAGATAATGAAATAAAAAAATATATACAAACAAATGAGAAATTCAACACAGAGATAGGAATAATAAAAAGAAACAAATTCGGGAGCTGAAGAACATAACAACAAAAAATGCAATAGAGAGCATCAATAGCAGACCTGATCAAGCAGAAGAACCTGTGAACTCAAAGGCAGATCATGTGAAATTATCTAGTCAGAGGAGAAAAAAAGAAAAAAAAAAGAATAGTGGAGAAAGCCTACCTGAATTATAGGACACCATCAAGCAAAACAATATTTGCATTTTAAGAATTCAAGGCCAGGCACGATGGCTCACACCTGTAATCCAGCACTTTGGGAGGTTGAGGCGGGTGGATCACATGAAGTCAGGGGTTCAAGACCAGCCTGGCCAACATGGCAAAACCCCGTCTCTACTAAAAATACAAAAATTAGCTGGGCATGGTGGTGCACACCTGTAGTCCCAGCTACGTGGGAGGCTGAGGCAGGAGAATCACTTGAACCTGGGAGGTGGAGGTTGCAGTGAGCTGAGATCATGCCACTGCACTCCAGCCTGGGTGACAGAACAAGACACCATCAAAAAAAAAAACCCAAGAAAATGAAAAACAAACCCGAGAATTCAAGAAGGAAAAGAGAGAAAGGACAGAAAGCTGATTTAAAAAAAAAATGCTGAAAACTTCATAAATCTAGGGAAAGATATCCAGGTACAGGAAGTTCATAGGACCCCATAAAGATTCAACCCAAAGAAGACTTCACTGACACACATTATAATGAACTGGCAAAAATAGAAGATGAAAGAGAATTTTAAAACTGTAACAGAAAAGAAACTCATCTTCTACAAGAGAAACCCTATAAGACCACAAGTGGATTTCTCTGCAAAAACCTTGTAGGCCAGGAGAGAGTTGGATGATATATTCAAAGTGCTGAAAGACAAAACTACCAGACAAGAATATGTATCCCAGCAAAGCTGTCCTTCAGAAATGAAAGAGATATAAACAGTCCCAGACAAACAAAAGCTGAGGGAGTTTATCACCACTGGACGCGCCTTACAAGAAACGCTGAAGAGTTCTCCAAGCTGAAATGAAAGGACACTAATTAGCAACATGGAAACATATGAAAGTATGAAACTCACTGTTAAGATAAATATATAATCAAATTAATAATATACTAAATTTGTAATGGTCATGTGTAAATTACTTAATTCTAAAATACAGGTTTTTAAAAAAAAGTATTAAAAATAACTATAGCTTCAATAATTTTTTCATGAATACACAATATAAAATGCAAATAATGACATCAAAAACATAAAATATGTGCAGGAGGGTCTGAGTAACAGTACAGTTTTTTAATGCAATTGAAATTAAGTTGTTAGTGCTTGAAACAGACTACTATAACTATAAGATGTTCTATGTAAACCTCATGATAGCCACAAAGTAGAAACCAATAGTAGATGCACAAAAGATATAAAGGAATCAAAGCATACCACCACAGAAAATCATCTAAACACAAGGGAAGACAGCAAGAGAGGAAGAAACAAATAATCTGCCAAACAATCAGAAAACAATTACAAAATGACAGAAGTCTTTACCCATCAATAGTTACCTTGAATGTAAATGGGCCAAATTCTCCTATCAAAAGATAAAGAGCAGCTGAATGGATAAAGAAAACAAGATTCAGCTACAGGTTGTCTACAAGAGACTCAATTCACCTTTAAGCACATGCATGGGTATAGGAAAAAAGATATTCCATGCAAATGGAAACCAAAAGAGAGCAGAGGAAGCTAAAGTTTTATCAGATAGGGCAGACTTTACATCAAAAACTGTAAAAAGAGTCAGAGAAAGTAATTATATAATGAGAAAGGGGCCAATTCCACAAGAGGATACAGTATCTGTAAATATATATATGTACCCAACATCAGACCACCTAAATAAACAGAGAAAATATTAACAGATCTGAAGACATTAATAGATAGTAACACAATAATACTAGAAGACTTCAAAAATCCTACTTTCAATAATGGATGGGTCATCCAGACAGAAAATCAGTAAGGAAATATTGGACTTCAACTATACACTGGATCTAATGGATCTAACATACAGGTTGAATATTCCTTATCTGAAATGCTTGGGACTAGAAGTGTTTTGAATTTTACATTTTTTAGATTTGGGAATACCTGCCTTATGTTTACCAGCTGAGCATCCCTAATCCAAAAATGCAAAACCAAAAATGTTCCAAAGAGCATTTCCTTTCAGCATCATGTTGGTACTCAAAAAGTTTTAAATTTTGGAACATTTTGGATTTTGGATTTTTGGATTGGGGATACTCAACCTTTATACAGAACATTCCATCAAACAGCAGATAATACACATTCTTCTTAAGCACACAAGAAAAATTATCCAGCGTAGATCATGCAGCAGGTCACAAAACAAGACTCAACAAACTGAGGAAGACTGAAATCCTATCAAGTATCTTTTCAGACCACAATGGTATGTAACCAGAAATCAATAACAGAATGAAAGTTGGAAAGCTGACAACTATGTGGAAATTGAACAAAATACTCCTGAATAATCAATGGGTCAAAGAAGAAATCAAAAAGAAAATTTTAAAAAATCACAAGAAATATTAAAATTGAAATGCGACATAGCAAAATGTATAGAACAAATGCAGTTCTAAAAGGAAAGTTTATAGCAATAATCGCCTATATTTAAAAAAAATCTTAAATAAACACCGTAATTTTACATCTAAAGGAACTAGAAAAAGTTAGCAGAAGGAAATAACAAAATCTCATGAAATAGAGACTACAAAAACAATAGAAAAGACCACTAAAACTAAGAGCTGGATTTTGAAAAGATAAGTAAAATCAACAAAGCTTTAGTTTGACTAGTAAAAAGGAAGACGAAAATAAATAAAATCAAAACCAAGAGATGTTACCATTGATAACACAGAAACGCAAATGACCATAAGAGACTACCATGAACAATTATTCACCAAAAAACTGTATAACCTAGAAGAAATGGATGCATTCCTAGAAACTTGTAATTTATCAAGACTAAAATAAAGAAGAAATAGAAGATCTGAAAAGACTTATAACTAGTAAGGAGATTGAATCAGTAGTCATAACTCTTCTGACAAAGAAAAAGCCCAGGAACAGATGACCTCATAGCACAGTTCTATCAAGAAGAAGAAAGAAGAAGAAAGGAAGAGGAGGAGAAGAAGGAAGAGGAGGAGGAGGAGGAAAGAAGGAGGAAGAAGAAAGAAAAGGGAGGAGGAGGAAGAAGGAAGAAGAGGGAGGGAAGAGGGAGTAAGGAGGGAGGAGGGGGGAATACTTCCAAACTCATTTTATGAAGCCAAGCATTACTCTGATACCAAAGCCAGACCAGGACAACACAAGAAAAGAAAATTATATGCCAATAGCCCTGATGAGCACAGATGCAAAAATCCTCAACAAATACTAGCAAACCGAATTCAGCAGCCTACTAGAAGAATCATATATCAAGTGAGATTTATCCCTGAGATGCAAGGATGGTATGACATATGCAAATCAATAAATGTGATACCACACATTGACAAAATGAAGGATAAAAATCATATAACCAGCCAGGTGCAGTGGCTCACGCCTGTAATCCCAGCAGTTTGGGAGGCCAAGATGGGTGGATCACCTGAGGTCAGGAGTTTGAGACCAGCCTGGTGAAACCCCATCTCTACTAAAAATACAAAAATTAGCTGGGTGTGGTGGCATGCACCTGTGGTCCCACCTACTCGGGAGGCTGAGGCAGGAGAATCACTTGAACCCAGGAGGCAGAGGTTGCAGTGAACTGAGATTGCATCACTGCACTCCAGCCTGGGTGACAGAGCAACACTCCATCTCAAAAAAAAAAAAAAAATTAATAATAATAATAATAATATAAACATCTCAACAGACACAGAAAAAGCATTTGACAAAATTCAACACCCTTTCAGGATAAAAATTCTCACCAATTTAGCTATAGAAGGAATATACCTCAACATAAGGACCATAAATGGCAAGTGCACAGTTAACATCATACTCGATAATGAAAACCTGAAAGCTGGCCGGGTGCAGTGGCTCACGCCTCTAATCCCAGCAATTTGGGAGGCTGAGGCAGGTGGATCACGAGGTCAGGAGTTGGAGACCAGCCTGGCCAACATGGTGAAACGCCATCTCTACTAAGAAATTACAAAAATGAGCTGGGTGCAGTGGCACGCACCTGTAATCCCAGCTACTCGGGAGGCTGGGGCAGGAGAATCACTTGAACCCAGGAGGTGGAGGTTGCAGTGAGCTCAGATTGCGCCACTGCATTCTAGCCTGGGCAACAGAGCAAAATTCCATCTCAAAAAAAAAAAAAAAAAAGCTTTCAGCTTTTCCACTAACATGAGGAACGAGACAAGGGTGCTTACTCTTGCCACGTCTATTCAATATAATACTGGAAGGGTTAGCCAGAGCAATTAAGCAAGAAAAAGAAAAAGGCATCCAAATCAGACTGGAAGAAGTCAAACTCTCTGTTTGCAGATGACATAATCTTATATATATAGAAAACCCTAAAGATGCCACCAAAAACAGTTAAAACTAATAAACCATCCAGAAGTTGTAGGATACAAAACCAACTTACAAAAGTCAGTACTAACAATGAACTATCTGAAAGAGAACTTAAGAAAGTAATCCCATGTACAACAGCACCAAAACAATAAAATACTTAGGAATAAATTTAACCAAGGAGGTAAAAGAGAAACACAATGAAAAACATATGACACTGATAAAGGAAACTGAAAATGACAGAAATAAATTTTTAAACAATCTCGTGTTCTTAAATTATAAGAATATTGTTAAAATGTTCATACTACCCATAACATTCTACAGATTCAATATAATCCCTACCAAAATTCCAATGACTTTTTTATCACAGAAATAGAAAAACCAATCATAAAATTTGTACGGAACTTAAGGCCCAGAATAGCCTAAGCAATCTTGAGAAAAAACAAACAAAAAAAACAACTGGAGGCATCATACTTCCTAATTTCAAGCTATATTACAAAGCTACAGTAATCAAAACAATATGATACTAGCATAAAAACAAAGACATACACCAACAGAACAGAGAGCCCAGAAATAAAGCCACATATACAATCAATTAATCTTTGACAAGGGCACAAAGAACACACAATGTTGAAATGATAAGTCTCTTTAACAAACGGTGTTGGGAAAACTGGATATCCAACACCGTTTTTATGTAAAACAATAAAACCAGACCTCTATCTTATACCACCTACAAAAATTAACTAGAAATGGATTAAAGACTAAACATAAATCCAGAAACCATAAAATTCCTTAAAGAAAACGTAGGCTAAAAAGCTCCTTGGCACTGGTCTTGGCAATAATGTTTTGGGTATGACACCAAAAGCACAGGCAACCAAAACAAAAATAAACTGCGACTACAACAAGCTAAAAAGCTTCTGCTCAGCAAAGGAAACAATCGACAAAATAAAAAGGCAACCTACAGAATGGGAGAAAATATTTGCAAATTATACATTTGATAAGGAGTTAATATCTAAAATATTTAAGGAACTTATACAACTCAATAGCAAAAAAAAAAAAAAAAAAAAACCCAAATAATTCAGGTTAGAAAACGGGCAAAGGACCTGAACAGAAATTTTCCCAAAGATATACAAATGGCCAACAGGTACATGAAAAGGTGTTCAATGTCACTGATCATCAGGGAAATGCAAATTAAAACCAAAATGAAATATCACCTCCCACCTGTAATGATGCCTTATTATCATCGGAGACAAGAAATAACAAAAGTTGGCAAAGATGTGAAGAAAAGGGAACCCTTGACCATTGTTGGTAATTTACTACTGTCATTATGGAAAACAGTATAGAGGTTGCTCAAAAAACTAAAAATAGAATTAGCATATGATCTAGCAATCCCACTTCTGTGTACATATCTGAAGGAAATGAAATCAGTATCTCAGAGATATCTCTACTCCCATGTTCAAGCAGCTATATGGAAACAACTTAAGTGTCTACTAAGGGATGAATGGGGGATGAGCCTGGCTGGGCGTGGTGGTTCACGCCTATAATCCCATCCACTCCGGGTGGATCACTTGAGATCAGGAGTCTGAGACCAGCCTGGCCAACATGGTGAAACCCCGTCTCTACAAAAACAGAGTAATTAGCCGGACATGATGGCAGGTGCCTATAATGTCAGCTACTCAAGAGGCTGAGGCAGGAGAATCGCTTGAAGCCAGGAGGTGGAGATTGCAGTGAGCCTAGATGGTGCCACTGCACTCCAACCTGGACAACAGAGTGAGACTCCATCTCAAAATAAATAAAATAAAATAAAATCCTACCATCTGCAACATGAATGAACCTGGAAGGCATTATGCCAAGTGAAATATGCCAGAGAAAGACAAATACAACTGGCCCTTGAACAACACAGGTTTGAACTGCACATGTCCATTTACACCCAGATTTTTCTCAACCAAATGCAGATCACATTTGCAGATGTGAAACCCACATATTTGGAGGGCTGAATTTTGGATGCACAGGTTCTGCAGAGTCAACTTCTGGACTTCAGTATGTGCGAATTTTGGTATACATGGGGGTCCTAGAACCAGTCCTCCGAGCATACCAAGGGACAACTATACTGTATGGTAACCAAACTCACAGAAACAGAGAGTAGAATGCTGGTTGCCAGGGATAAGGGGGTAGGTGAAATGGGAAGATGTTGGTTAAAGAACACAAACTTTCTGAGGATCTAATGTACAGCACATGGTGACTATAGCTAATAATACTGGACCTTATACCTGAAATTTGCGAAAGAGCATCTTTTAAGAGTTCTCACCAAAAAAAAAAAAAAAAAAAAAAAAGAAAGTTACTACATAAGGTGATGGATTTACTGAGATTAAAGATTATTCCCAGTTGAAATGTGGGCTGGGCTCAGTGGCTCATGCCTGTAAGCCCAGCACTTTGGGAGGCCAAGGCAGGCAGATCACTTGAGGTCAGAAGTTTGAGACTAGACTGGCCAACATAGCGAAACTGCGTCTCTACTAAAAATACAAAAACTACTGAGTGTGGTGGCGTGTGCCTATAATTCCAGCTACTCGGGGGGCTGAGGCTTGAACCCAGGAGGTGGAGGTTGCAGTGAACTGCCATCTTGCCACTGCACTCCAGCAGTGATAGGTGATGGAATGAGACACTGTCTCAAAAAAATAAAAAAAAGGAAAAAAGAAATGTGTTGTTTTCAGAGAAGCATTTACAAAACACGCCCCTACATCTTCTCCCTTAATCATTTAAAACAAAACACAAGTTACAAAAATAAAGATTTTGATTTTGTTTTATAAGGTACAAAATGTAGCAGTTCCAACACTGGAATTTGGAAGCTGTTTTTGTCTTTGATACCACAACATGGATTAAATTTCAAATTAATGTATATAATCCCATAGAGCCCAACATAATTAAGTCATTTAAAAGTCTGATAAAACATGCTTTTTAATTTTAAACATAATTAATAATTTAGTCATTTTTCAGTGTAAAAAAGTCAAAATTTATCTTGATATATTATTAATATTAATAACTTTAAAATACAACTTTTAACAATGTACTGATCCATAATAAAGTATTTGTTACTTCAAGTTTCTTTTTCATCATATATCATACAAAATGACGAAAACTTTTTAAATTTCCTGAAGGGGTTCAAGAGATTCTTCATTATTGTGAAAGACACTCACAGGTAAAAACATAATCTGTGATGTATGATTCCACTTATATATGATGCCTAGAGTAGTCAAATTCATAGAGACAGAAATAGAATGGTGCGGCAGGGGGCAGTGGCTCATGCCTGTAATCCCAGCACTTTCGGAGGCAAAGGTGAGCAGATCACTTGAGCTCAGGAGTTCAAGACCAGCCTGGCCAACATGGTGAAACCCTGTCTCTACTAAAAACCCTGTCTCTACTAAAAATACAAAAAAATTAACCAGGCATGGTGGCAGGCACCTATAATCCCAGCTACTCAGGAGGCTGAGGCAGGAGAATCGCTTGAACCTGGGAGGTGGAGGTTGCAGTGAGCCAAGATCGTGTCACTGCACTCCAGCCTGGATGACAGAGTGAGACTCCACCTCAAAAAAACAAACAAGGGCTGGACGCGGTGGCTCACGCCTGTAATCCCAGCACTTTGGGAGGCTGAGGTGGGTGGATCACGAGGTCAGGAGATCGAGACCATCCTGTCTAACATGGTGAAATCCCATCTCTACTAAAAAGTACAAAAAATTAGCCGGGCGTGGCAGCGGGCGCCTGTAGTCCCAGCTACTCGGGAGGCTGAGGCAGGAGAATGGCGTGAACCCGGGAGGTGGAGCTTACAGTGAGCCGAGATCGCGCCACTGCTCTCCAGCCTGGGTGACAGAGTGAGACTCCGTCTCAAAAAAAACAAAACAAAAAAAAAAAAAAAGAGAAAGACAATGGTGGTTGCCAGGATGTTGGGGAATGGGATAATGGTGAATTAGTACTTGATGGGTAGACAGTTTCAGTTTGGGAAGATGCAAAGGTTCTGGAGATGGATAGCGGTATAATCGCAGAACGGTTAAGAATGTACTTAATGACACACAACTATACACTTAAAAAATGGTTAAGATGGTAAATGTTATGCCTATTTTATCACTATTTTAAAAAATTATCTAGGCCAACCCCTCCTCATTTTACAAACAACGTCCAAGTTCACATAGCTACTCAATTACAAAGACAATTTAATTCTATTTCTACTAATAACACTGCCCCTAAATTATTTCTAGGCTATAATAAAAAAAGACACTGCTAGAGACAAAGTGGCTAAAAGGAGGTAAATGACAAAAAAAAATTGTACAGAAAAAATAATTTACAATTACAATTAAAATGGGCAGTCAGATATGCTTTTTTCTTTTTTTTTTTTTTTTTTTTTTTGAGACAGAGTCTTGCTCTGTTACCCAGGCTGGAGTTCAGTGGCACAATCCTGGCTCACTGCAGCCTCCGCCTCCTGAGCTCAAGCGATTCTCCTGTCTCAGCCTCCCGAGAAGCTGGGACTACGGCCACGCGCCACCACGCCCAGCTAGTTTTTGTATTTTTAGTACATACGGGGTTTCACCATGTTGGTCAGGCTGGTCTCAAACTCCTGACCTCAGGTGATCCACCTATCTCGGCCTCCCAAAGTGCTGGGATTACAGGTGTGAGCCACCACGCCCATCTAAGATATGCTCTTAATACATGGACTTTTACATTTGACTTATTCCTGCATCCATTCTATGTCCCTTCTTGTTTTCCTGTTCTTACCTTTTTCTAACGTCTTTTTAATCTATTTTATATGTCTTTGTAATCCTTAAGTACTCTTTAAAAGAAATGGGAAATAAATAAAATGTACGGTCATACTTGTAACTGACTTACAAAAGTACACAGAAGACTGCAGAATATTTTTCAACAAAATAATTAAAGTTAAAATGTGATCTTTTAGAAGGATAATTCCCCAATGGCATAAAAGAGGCTTTGTTATAATTTAAAGGTAAACAAAATCATGTAGGCATGCCTACTTCTTTTAAGCACAGAGTTTTTTGTACAAATACCTTTTTCAAAACAATTACCTTGGAAACCACTTGGCATGTTCTACCCATGGATCATCTCCAGATTCCCAACACCTCAAGCCACCATCACAACAAAAGCATTTGACATCATCATTGCGACCTTCAGGAAAAAAAAGACTAAATATTGAAAACACGTATGTTCTAATATGTAAATTAAAATAAAATGATAAAATGTATAGTTATTTGCTTCTTACCCACATAATAAAAACCAGCACTTGCAAGCTGCTCAGGCTGAACTGGAACACTAGATGGCCAGTACATAAATGTTCTCATTCGAGCTGCATGTGTCTGCATGCTCAGATTTGAAATGCTAAACCTCAGAGTTTCTAGAGAATTTTCCAAAAATGGACAGTTGGGAAAATGCCTCCGGTGTTCTGACATAGCATCATCCTTTGGTTCCCAGTTACTGAGCTTCCCACCACAGGCAAAGCAGGCTACCCTATCTCCAGGTCCTATATAATAAAAACCAGCTCTTGCCAATTCTGATGGTGACAAAAAAGTTAATGGCCACATATGGTAGGTAAGAAATCTGGCTTCTTCAGTACTCATTGCATAACTGTAGGGGTTAGTCCTCGATGAAGAGATGTCTTCAACTGCTCTAGAATTAAGAGGGTTTGGAGAAAGGCTGGAGTAAGAACCACTGAACAAGCTACTATGTTCCAAGGTGGGAGATAATGAATGTGCAAAACTGTTTCTCATTGGAGACGTATTCTTAGAGGTGGATCCCAGACTAGCTGAAACCAGATTCTGAATAAAGCTACAGCTAGGATATAGCTGTTTATGCTTTTGAATAGGACTGTCTCCTAGTTTCCAGTTATCCAGCATCAGGCCACAACAGAAGCATTTGACCTTGTCATTCACACCAGTATAATAAAAACCAGCACGAGCAAGACTCCTTTCTGAGACAGGCACCCCGGCGGGGAAAGTTGAATATGTAGACATTCTGTAGAGTTCACAGGAAAAGTCATACTTCATTTTTTGTTTGTTGCTGTTTGTCCAATCTGACAAGATCGTGCTATCTTCCATTATACTCTTAATGTTTTGATACGAGGGACCTGGGAAAAGTCTTTGGGAGGCAGTTTTGTGCATGAGTAGGTGACAGTACTGTTTGATAGCTAAAACATTCACATGAAATTTCTTCACATGAACTAAGATTTTTACCACAAAAAGAAATCAATGATAGACTCTTATGTAGAATTTACTACACTTTCTTTACTGGATTTATCTCAGTTTATATTCAGGTAGGATGAGTATCTCTCTGAATTACCAAGATACTACTTAGAACACAACTCTTTGGGGTTGTAGTAACTCTTTCAGGTAACCTAAGTGCTATTTGTTCATAATCTTGAGTAATACTAACTTAAAGCCCTGAAAGGTGGATGCACTTCTGAAAATATTAAAACTCCTTGATTTTTCACAGAGATTTATATTAACAAAATTCTAAGCAACTATAGAATACCTAAATTATGCCTTTTATTTATATTTGGTTACAAGCTATGAAGCCTGAATAACAGACCAATTACTGATTATGCCACAAGGTAAAAAATTATATGCAGGCTTCTTTCCCTATAAGCACTTTAACATGACAACCCAAAAAATCTCATTTTATTCCAATAAACAAAAGTAATTAAAACCTTCATATGGTCACACTATTTAAAAGCTAAGTTCACACAGCTTATCATCATAGTATTTACTTAAGTGGGCTAAATTACTTCAGCTGACAACTTTTGGGGGAAGTCAATACCCACAAGCTTTGTTGAACCTGTGCCTGCTATAGTGCTTGATGTCAAATGAATTTGGCTTAAAGTTCAAAAACTGTAAACTCTATCTTTGTTAAATATCATTTGTATTTGTTTCCATTTCCTGCAGCATCATGTTGACTTTCTTCCTAACTTTGTATACCACTATTATTCTTGATCAACTGAAGGTATTTTCTCCATAAACTTAGTTAGCCATAAAATTTCCACAGCACACTTTTTACACTGCATTTAAAAACTAAATAACCTGTTCATCATTTAAGGACTATTCAGCTATAATTATCAGTCATGTTGTAAACATTAATCAATTTATCACAAGATAAAACTTGTCCTTTCTAGTGTTATCAGAAACGCCTAACAAAATATTGTACTACCAAAAAAGTACTGCTTAGCATAAAGTATCAGTAATCAACTCTACTAGCCTTCTTTCTGAAAACTCTTCAATGTTTTAAAAATATAATTCATACACAAAATTACACTCCATAGAATTCAAACTATATCCCTTTATAAAGTTTCGAGATCTCCATAATGGGATTTATTACTGCAGGGGGACAAAATAGGGATAGGGAGATTCTTCAGGGTTGTAAATCTGAAAAGAAAAAACAAAAAGTATTTTAGAAAACTGTATGTGCATGCCAAATAGAACTTACATACTCTTCAATTTATTCAGTAAAGTCTAAGAATAATTCACACTTTAGATAATACATCTTAATTCCAGCAATTTGTCACAACTTTCTAAATGAAAAAGCTATTAATTAAAATAAGTAAATGCAACATACTCCCCATAGCACTAACTATACGTGTCTTTAAAACGCACAACTTCAGAGACAGATGGAAATTTTCACACAGGAAACATTTTGTCCTTGCTCTCCTCCCCTTTTCTGGCCTAAAGGTAACTCTGGCACTCTGCTGGAGGCAAAGGCACATTGGTTAAAAAGACAGACAGACACTCCACTACACCCTGTCAGCAGCAGTACAGCAGGAATTAAGACAGCAACGTTAGTTTGTAATATCAAGTCTCTCCACGACTAGGAAAACTGCAGTAAAATGCACCACGAGTTCATTAATATAAACTCTTAAACTCTGCCATTCCCTTACAATTTCAAAGCAACGACCACAGAAAGCAACTCGAAAACAAAACCTAACACAGTGGCCTGTGAAACAGTGGCTCCGGCACTACGACCACTGGCATGATTGCTTTAATTACACCCGGTCTTATATCCTATCTTTAAATGAAAGATTTTTATCTACGTGCACCGCACTGCTGCATTCTCTTTACGCAAATTGCAGCTGGGCAGGGGATAGGATGGAAGGGAAAAGAATAGAAACTATGGGATTTACCCAATAATTTCCCAGAGTTGCTTCTCACAATACACAACAGACGACTACTGGAATGACAGAGCGCAGTGGCAACTATGAAATATGAAATATCGCCGCCACCGAAATATCTTCGTTTCAATGTATTACATTAAAAGAACGCCGAGGGCTAAGTTTAAAACCTTGCAAAAACTGCGAGAAAACATCTTGGTCAAAGTCCAAGGGCCAGAAGAGTGGGCGGCGGCCAGAGGCTTGAAAACAAGTCATTTTAAAAATCGCTTTGACTGCAAGTCTCGAAGTTGGGGCTTCCGAATCCAATAAAACCTTGGCGAGAGTAGAAAGCAGAGAGCCCCCGGCGACCCTCGACCCTTGGCCGAAGGGCCTCAGGCCCCGTCCTTCCTCGTTCGCCGCCACATCAGGGAAGTGGGCCCCCGCGGGCCCTCGCGTCCCCACCCGCCCCACGCCGCCCGAGCCCGGAAGGAGCAGCACTCACCGCAGTGCGGGCGCAGCAAACACGGAAGCTGCGCGGCTGCCTAGAGGCCTCCGCAGAGCCGGGAATCAGCGGCGCCGACAAGGAGATACGGCCCGCTCGGCTCGGATCAGCCCGGGCGCTCCCGAAGCCCGCCGCCCCATCCGGGCTCACTCTGACGCACGATGACGTCAGCGCGCCCGGCCGAGGACCAGCGTTAGCCGCCGCGCGAGGGCGCCCGGGAGGCTGGGGCCGGAAAGCGGAACCGAGAGCGCTTTCCGCCGTGCGGCGATGAACCTCCGGGAAAGACGCTGGGAGGCCAGGATGCCCGGCGCAACTGGACGCTCATCGGGAGTCACGGGGTCGGCCCTCAGGGGAACGGGGACTATCCGTATCAACTCGGTGTTTGTTCGTTTTCTTCACCTTGCGGTTTGTGCCCTCTCCACATTTCCTCTCTGTGTCTACCATTCTCCTGGGGGACGTGGCAAACCGTGAGCCGCTGCGTTTGAGTTTTGGGAAACCCTGCGGAAACGCCCTGGCGCCGGTGGTTTTGCGCGTCCTACCCTGTGTCACCTCAGGGTTATGATCTGGCCCCTGGCAAGGCTCCCCAAGTGTGATGCCTCCCCCCGTCCAGATGACTGCATTTTGAGGATGGAGTCAGTCTGGTGGCATTTTTTGCTTAAGTAAACAATTGTAACCGTTTGTGTAGCATCAGCGTTCAACAGCTGCCTGTGCAAATCGAAAAAAGCGAAACTTTGGAAACTAGGAAGCATCAGATGAATAATTCTGAAGACTTGATGTCAACGGGAGTATCTTGTTTTTAAACTTTTGGTTTTCTGTTCTGGAGACAAACAGTTCATATGCACTAAAGAAAAAAGTGTCATTATTTCAGATGCTCATTGCCAGCAAAGAGAACTGTATTGCAAGTCAGGCTTCACTCCCAGTATTTTCTGAATGTTTCAATAAAATGAAATATATACGTCTGCCTGTGTATTGGTGTACATGCACATATAATTGTACATAAACCAGAGAGGAGCCCAATTTTTTTTAATGCTTAGGTAATAGAAAATTTGTAAATAAAAACCCTTGGCTTTTGCTAGTCATGGACCTTTTGTATCCCCCCGCCATACTCCCCCAATAGTGCCATAGACACAGTGTCGTGCAGTAAATGTTTGTGGTATGACAACCAACGAACGACTTTTGAAGTTGACGCTCTTTGCCCGTTGAATCCGATGCTTGCTTCTCTCTGGGGAACTCCAAGGGGCAAATATTTAAAAAACTTCCAAATAGCAAGCCACTTAATTAGGGAGCCGGGGGAATTCCAAGACCCTGAACCATTTCCCATTTCCTGTCTGTGTCATTTCTGCCTGCCAGTCAGTCACAGAACAGGAGGTCTACTGTTCCAATGTTAATAGTCAAAGAAAGTGAGTGTAACAGTTTGTAATACAGAGAAAAGAAATGCCATGGCTCCCAATGACTAAAAACTTCCAAAAATGCACCTGGGGCTTGGTAGTAGTTTAGTATTTAGTTCAAGTCACTATTTCTCGGAAGGTTTACAGAACATTCCTAACACATGTGGGAAAATATATATAGCAAGAATTGTTCATTCTGAACTCAAGATTATTTCTCTTTTTCAGTTCTTGTCCTGACCAAAGCAGTAAGATAATGAATATACTTAAGTATAGGGGAAAGCTTGCATTTCAAAAACTCAAAAGCCTTAGATATTTTTAACAAAAAATATTTGTAATATTTACATATAATAAATAGTACCTCATAACTTTTAATCTTGTATAACTTTGTAGTCTAGTGTTACAGCTAGTTAATTCAGTTACCTGTTTATTCAGTTAATTTTTTTTCATTTTGCTAGTATAAAGTTGCTGTTAATCTTAAAAAAATAAGCTATGTATGTCTGCTGCAGTTGCCCTTCTAACGTTTTTCACATTTATGTAGAAAAAAAATTTACAGTATTTAAAACAATTTTGAAGAAGAAAAGTAAGATTGGAAGGTCTTGTCCTACCAGGTAATGAGTTACAATAAAGCCATAGTAATTGAGACAGTCTTGTATTATTAAACGCCCTAAGATGGACAATTAAAGGAAGGAGATACAGAGCCCCAAGAAGAGACCCATATCTATGTATTTGGGAATTTGATATACTGGCATTATGTATTAATGAGAAAATGATTAATTACTCAATAAGTAATGCTGAATGAATGGTTATTCTAATGGAAAATAAAATTAGATCACTACCATATACTATTTAAAAATCTCTGCCGGATTTTTTTTAAAAACCCTCAAAAGTAAACAGCCATCATTATGAATCCAGGGATTTAAAGAAGTTTGGTGAGTTGTAATCCACTGTAGCTATTACCACTATTAGTGCTCAAGTTGTTTATTTTAGGCCGGTGAGAGTTTACTCAGGTTGGCTCCTGAGTCTTTCTGATACTTTCCTAGTAGTCTTTGCTTTCCAGGCTCATTTTGTGTATTTCTTACTCCATACCCATAATAAGCCATTACTCCTAAGTGCCCTGGATCCTTTAGTGGGAAATGATATTTAAAGAGCATAATCTGGATGTCTCCTTTAAGCTGGCGCTGCAAGGAACAACAAAGAAACAAACAAAAAATGTTTGTCGTGTTGTTAATGAGTTTGATTGTTTCTATACCTGTTCAATGGACAGAGCTGGTTAGTATGGGTTTGTTTTGATTTGGTTTTTGTCTTTTAAATCAAATATATTATGAACTCATTGATACTTCCGATTCAAATTCAGGAAGTCAAGGTTTTATTTAACCTCTTTGATTACACATCTGTAACTCCCTTTATTTTGAAAATCCTTGGTCTCCCCTCTACTTTTTCCTTCCTGCCCTATAAGTAATGACTTAAACACTTTTTATGATTCATTTTTTCATTTTAAAAATGTAATTATGCATGTTTATACCTACCCTTTTCTTAGATAAACAGTAGTAGCACATTTTCTCCACCTTTTTTCACTTTATAATAAATTCTAGAGATTGTATAATACTAACATATAGAGCTATTCCTCATTTCTATATAGTACTCCATTGTGTAGATGTGCCATAATATATTCAACTTGAACAATGTAATTCAGAAAGCAGCCAAAAACTGTTAGGGCCGTGTCAAAGACTAAGGAGCCAGCCTGAATAAGCTCCCCAGCCATAGATAAAATTAGTACCATAATATATTCAGCTACTTCCCTATGGATGGACATCTGGGTGGTTTCCAGCCTTTTGCTATTACAAATAGTGCTGTAATGAATAATCATGGGAACACATCTTATTTTAGGATATATTCCCAGAAGTTAGTTCAAATGGTAAATCCATACATAAATTTGCCTAATATGGCCACATACCCATCCATGAGTATGTTGGCATTTTGCAATCCAATCAGCAATGTATGTGAGTGCCTGTTTTTCCCACAGCTTCATCCGTGGAGTAAGTTGTCAGACATTTGGATTGTTGCCAACCTGTTAAATAATAAATAGTATTTCAGTTCAGTTACCATTTTTTATTGCTATATTATGAATGGGATTGAAAAACTTTTCCTATGCATCAATTGTATATGTAATGTTTTATTTATTTTTTAAGTTAGGTGAGTATAAAAGAATGTTAGGATTGGTTGTGAGGTATTGTTAAAGAAAAAAAAATTCTGACGTTTGTTAAAATGGTAAGGAAGACTTTATTCAGGACTGTGCAATCAAAACATTGTAATAGGGAAGCAAGATTGGGCTCAACTGGGAATACAGCAAGGACAGCTGGGGTATTTATAACCAACAGGTAGAGTAAGGAGGGTCAGTGGATAGAAAAGTACTAAAAGGAGACATCAGGGGTGGTAGGATTCTTGCTGAAGGCAGGCTAAGGGCTTATACTTCAGAAGTGGAGAATGAGGAACTTGATCAGATACCCAGAGTGGCGGGATCCTCACTAAACTGACAGGATTCTTATTAAGACTGAGGTAGGCCGACAATTACAGGTGGGGTAGGGCCCAAAGTCAAGGCCTAGTCAAGAAGAGGGCTCAGAAGAGGCTCAGAAGTTTGGTCAAAGAGATAGTCTTTGTCAGTATGTACACAAATGACATGCATATATTCCTGAATTTTTGAATTTTTTAAAAAATTCAAATAGGACATTAAGAACTTACAAATTTGGGTCACATCAGAACTTCCCTTTCCAACTTTTAGTCACTTGCAGGCATCCCAAGCATTATGTTTTCATCTGTTTAAAAAAAAAAAGTCACTTTATATTTCTGTGGTAAGACTTTGGGTTTTAATTTTCATAAAACCCTTCATTAGGGTTTTGGAACTAGAGAGGATCCAATAGCTCCCTTGATTTAATCAGTTTATTTTGTATATGAGCACTCAGCCAAGGTAATTGCTAAAAAGATTTTTATAGATAATATTGAGACTCTTAAAATCCAAGACAGCTTTAAAATGTTGGCATCTGTATCAAAAGTCAGGTTTTAAAAATTTACAGAAATATTATTTAAAGGCTTAATTAGTAAACCTTAATAATTTAATGTAAATTAGAATTTCAGCAACTCCAGTTTCAAAAATCAATGAATTAAAAGTTAGGAAAATAAAGGTGTTAAAGACGGCCTGAGTATATTGGGCGCATATTGTTTGCTTCTTCACGTCAGTCTGGGACCATTAGCTCAAAACTTACCTTATCTAAGCTCAAAATTTTATCCATGTAATTGCTCAAATGTAGCTCCGATGGGCCGGGTGCAGTGGCTTACGCCTGTAATCACGGCACTTTGGGAGGCCAAGGCAGGCAGATTGCCTGAGGTCAGGAGTTTGAGACCAGCCTGGCCAACATGGTGAAACCCCATCTCTACTAAAAATTACAAAAATTATCCGGGCATGGTGGTGCATGCCTGTAGTCCCAGCTACTTGGGAGGCTGAGGCAGGAGAATCTCTTCAACCCAGGAGGTGGAGGTTGCAGTGAGACATTGCACTCCAGCCTGGGATACAGAGCAACACTCCATCTCAAAGAAAAAAAAAAGTATATATATATATATATATATATATATATATATATATATATATACATACACACACACACACACACACACACACACACACATAGCTCAGATGGCCATGTTTTTAGCCATTTAGAGTCTGCCTGCTAGCCAAAGATAAAACCGTACCTGGCATCTGTTAACCAAAGATAAGACAAAGCATAGAGCTATAAAAGACCCCAAACCTCTGCTGCCCTTCCAAGTTCTCTAACTCAGAGACTCCCTATCTTATCTTGTAGCTGTACAACATCCTAGACAGATAAACCCCATTTCTGCTTCTCCCCTACCCCAGGAGTAGTTCCCTTGCCTTCTTCCCCTTCTGCATGGTGGCCATACACCTCTGCCTCTGGAAGGTGTCCAGCTGTGAGGGATGTCCTCCTTACATGCAGTCTGTCAAGCACCACCCAAATAAAGCTTGTTGCATGCTACTGCCACCTTGTGGTCACATCTCTTCTTTGATCAGCCCCAAAATCCTTGAACTCAGAAAAACCTTATGTTTAGGAGAAAATAGTCACAAGAAATACTGACAAACACAAGGCAGAGAGGACCTTGTTCTTCCTGTACATATTTCCTGTCAAGGAAGGAAAAAAGAATTCTAGGATCCCAAAAGCCGATGGAAGTCCAGGAAAAGCCTTTCCTATGGATTTCCAGAAGGCAATCATGCAAGGGACTAAGCCCACAGAGGCACAGAGATGTTAAATAATTGCCCAAGCTTACTCTGCTGTGATTGGAATCCGAAGACTGAACTTTCAATTCCTGTGCTACTGCCTCTCCTAAATTACAGTGTCTCAAATCAGATAATGAATATAGACACTTAGTACATTTGAGTTCCATAAATATCAAGCTGGGCGTGGTGGCTCACGCCTGTAATCCCGGCACTTTGGGAGGCTGAGGTGGGTGGATCACTGGAAGCCAGGATTTCAAGACCAGCCTGGCCAACATGACGAAACCCCGTCTCTACTAAAAATACAAAAACCAGGTGTGGTGATGCACACCTGTAATCCCAGCAACTTGGGAGGCTGAGGCATGAGAATTACTTGAGCCTGGGAGTCGGAGGTTGCAGTGAGCTGAGATCACACCATTGCACTCCAGCCTGGGCAACAGAGTTAGACTCTGTCTCAAAAACAAGAACAAAACAAAATACCAAAAGTAAATAAATGTCAGTTAATTGTTGTTATTAAGATTCTAATGCCTATATCTGTACCTTATGCTCTTTCCAGAGTTGAAATGCCATGCCTCCTCATCAGAAATCAGTTCCAATTCCCATCTCCTACATGAATCCTTTTAAACTAGGGTGATCTTTCCTCTCTAAAGATTCCTTTTGATATCTAAAGGCAGAATTTGGCCCATGATCTACTTTATCAATTATTCTGCCTTAGTACTTTATCAGCAGTGGTATTTAAAGAGGAAGAAATCTCTCACATTCCATGTTCACTCACAGGAAGCCATTCATTCATTCATTTACTCAATAAGGGTCTTTTCTGTCAGGCCCTGTGCTCAGTGCTACACATATAATGGTGAACAGAAAACATGATTATTGTCCTCGTGGAAAATTTGACAACAGACTATGGCATTAAAAACTGTAAATATAAATTGTGTTAAGTGTTATGAAGAAAAAGAACAAAGGGTCTACTAAAGAGACTATCAAAGGGATATAATCTAGATGGGAGAAGTCAGAGAAAGACAGTCTGAGAAAGTAACATGGAGGCTGACACCTGAAGAATGAGTAGGAATTTGCCAGGGAAAGAGTGAATGAAAGAAGATTCCAGTCAAAGACCCTGAAGCAAAAGAGAGTTTGACATATTTAGAAACTGATGAAAACCAAGGTGGCTGAAAGACAGTGAGCAATGGGTAGAGTGGCAGAAAATAAAGTTGAAGACTATCAAGGGACATGTTGACCTGAGGAGGAGCAGGAATATTGTGCAACTTGAAAAAATACCTGTTATTTGCACAGTACAAACTCTGCAAATGAGACCTTGCCTAAATCTTGACTCAAGATTTAGAAGTGGGCATGGTTTTTTTTGTTTTGTTTTGTTTTGTTTTTTGAGCTGGAGTTTCACCCTTGTTGCCCAGGCTGGAGTGCAATGGCGTGATCTCGGCTCACCGTAACATCTGCCTCCTGGGTTCAAGCAATTCTCCTGCCTCAGCCTCCCCAGTAGCTGGGATTACAGGCATGTGCCACCACACCCAGCCAATTTTTTGTATTTTTAGTAGAGACGGGGTTTCTCCATGTTGATCAGGCTGGTCTTGAACTCCCGACCTCAGGTGATCCGCCCACCTTGGTCTCCCAAAGTTCTGGGATTACAGGCATGAGTCACCACGTCCGACCAGGAGTGGGTGTAGTTTTTAAGAGATTGAGTAATACTGACCCACTGATCCTTTTTGTTTCAAGCGTACTTGTATTGCTTTTAAAATAGTGAATCTCTTAAACATCACATCTGTTTTGCCTGGAATTTTCTTTCTTTTTAATTATTTATTAAGACATGGTCTTACTATGTTGCCCAGACTGGTCTTGAGCTCCTAGACTCAAACGATCCACCTGCCTTGGCCTCCTAAAGTTCTGGGATTACAGGTGTGAACCACTGCATCTGGTCTTGAATTTTCTTAGTAACATACATAGTGTCTACTATGATGTGCAAGACAACAAAAGGAGGTGACATCTTCTCCAATAGGAGCTGAATATGGTTCAATCACATTGCCTGTGACCACAAAGGAACTTAATGGCTAATGGTATCAAGCGATATAAGGAAATTAAGAGAAAGGTTGGAATGGAAGCTATAATGAGCATGGCTGAAGTATGAAATTAAGCCTGCTGCAAAGTCCTGTATGATCACACTTAATATATTGAGGTTTAAACCCAATGACTGAAGACCACGTTGGCTGGTAGGTGGGGTTGGAGGCAATCAAATGGATTAATGCATGTCAAGCACCTGAAAACATCTGACATTTGGTCAGCAAATAGATCTACCATTATTATCTATGGTGATTTATTTTTTCCAAAACAAAATGTCAAAATAACACTTAGGGAAATAACATATTTGAATAAATGGGTTGGTTATAATAGCTATTTATTACCATAATGAGAAATGAACAAAAGTTTTACAGTGAGATGACAAAGTTCAAATATTATCTGTAGTATACAAGAACTAGATAAAAAAAAAAACACATGGTGCAAAAAGGGTGCCTACTATTTAAATACCCTATACCTGAGTTACAAATCACCTAAGCACAATTACAAATAATTCAGCCTAGCACCCATGCAGGACACTGGCTAGTACATGGGTAGCCAGCAGAGCCTCTTAGCAGAGGCAAAATCAATTGCATTTCAAGGAAATAAGTCTCCCAGCATCAGAATGCAGAGATGGATTCTTTCCTCCCCTCACTTGGTCCCTAATTGTTCTCTTTACAACACTAGCAGATGTTGGGGCTCAGAAAACCCAAAGTGAAGGCCTCAGAAGCAAAGTTTTTCTCTGATGTTATCCTGCCCTCCTGTCTCAGCCTCATTCTCCCTGAAGGCAAGCCACAGAAACTTGAATTCCTCTTCCCCAAGGTAGGTCATAGAAACTGGAACCATCTTTCCACAATGCCAGACTTACATCTTAAAGATAGTACTCTAATCTTTCCTCACCTAACTATGTAAGAGCTGGCCATAAATAAATTCTCTGACCTACCTTGCTTGATAGCAGGTTATAATATCCCCATCCCATACAGGCCCTGCCCTATATCCAGGAGGAAGGAATGCTGCACAGAGACCAAGAATAATCTGAACAGACAGGCCTTGCTGGGTCCCCAACCTGTGTCTATTCCCATTAGATCATATCCTTTTTTTCCAATCACTATTCTTCAGGGCTGTCCATTCATTATCAAACCTAAGCATAAAAATGCACAGTTTCCCCTGTAATTTTGGATCTTCATTACGAAGGCTCCCCGGTGATGTAAATCTGTGATTAAATAAATTTGTTAAGTTTTTCTCTTGTTAACCTGTCTTTTGTTATAGGATTGTCAGCTGTGACCCTTATGAAGGGGTCTTTCCCTTCTGCCCTTACAGAGCCATCTGCCCCTATACAGACATCTAGAACTGGTTTAGATGACTAGCCTTTGCCTGCCTTCCCCTGAGTATTCCCTATTACAGTCTTACTTCTGCTCTTGAAGACCTAATACCTCTATAAGAAGCAAAGGACAGAGTTATGACTCGGACGTGTTGAGTACCAATAACATAATGCAGAGGGGGACATTTTGTTGCACTGACAATATGAAACAGATTTATTTACCAGAACAACCTGTTGGTCCCAAGCATTGCTAACCAGTGTACTTTCTAAGTTTCAGAATTAATACCAAAGAGATAAGAATAAAACTCAGACCTTCTTCCAATAGGTGGGGCTGGCATGAGACTTCTTGAATGAATCAATAGAGAAGTGAATAAACAAACTTACTAAAGGGACTGTTTGATTCTTGTCTCAGGCATTCCATAATAGATTTTATGATGTGTTGACCCCGTGTTCTACAAGTGTCAATGAAGAAGCATCTTATGGGAAGGAGTATAAACTGTAGTTCAATATTTGAGAGGCTTTAAGAAGGTATGGAAAGAGTCTGGGAGTGACTAAACTATCCAATGTCATTGAAATAAAGCAATGAAGAATAAGAGTAATTTTTGTTGCTTTATTAAATTTTTTCTCACAGAATTCTTTATAAAAACACCATGTCCCTAAAATGTCATTCAACATATATGCACACCTTCGATGTATAGGACACTGATCAAAAAAGACAGAGAAATGTGTCCCTGGTGTTTTGTTTTTGTTCTGTTTGTTTTTAAAGGCAGGGTCTCAGTATGCTGCCCAGGATGGATTCAAACTCCTGGGCTCAAGTAATTCTCTTGCCTCAGCCTGGGACTACAGGCACATACCACCACACCTGGCTTCATGTTCCCGGTATTAGTACAATGCCAAAATATTTAAAATTCTTAAAGGTTAACTCAAATATCTTAAGTTTTACTTCACTTACAATTTCAATAATGCTGAAATTTTGATTGAATATTGTGTTTGTAGTGCTACCTCTTTTTCGTTCATAAGAACAAAAGCCTATCATTCTCTTAGTTTCTAAAAAATATATGTTCATATGGTTTAGATACATATATAAATATGTTACACAAAACAATGTTTTTTGAGTTGTAAATAAATAAAAATTTTAAGGAAACCAAATTAGGATAAAAGTTAAAGTTATAATACATTTAATAAATTAATTCTAAAGTTTAGACGATGTTTTGGTTCTTCTTCATGAAAGAAATGTACGAACTGTACCCTTGATTGTACTCCTACAAATAGGACACTTTCTTAAAGAAGGAGCACAATCTTTGCATACTACTAGATGACCACAAGGAATAAACACTATGGACACTTCTTTGTCCATACACACTTTACATGTTCTTTCTTCTTGTAGTCTCCGCAATTGTTCTTCCACTGGTAGATCTAGAAAGAGGAAAGAATTTTTAATAAAAGGCAGTTTGCTTCTTCAGTGAAAAACTAAGAAAATAAAGACAATGTTCTCTATTGATTTAAAATATTAGTACTATTACCTGAAACATCTTCTGTGGGAATATATTTTATGTCCTGTTGCACTAAGGGAGAAAAAGAAAAAGCATTACTATGACAAATAAGGTTAATATTTAGCTATGGAATCTATTTTAAAAATGAACACTTTAGACTATAGCCAAATACTCATTTCAAGGCAACAGAAGTCTTTAATCTTTTTATGTAACTAATATCTATAAATTAGATTGATTTTTTTTTGAGACAGAGTCTGTCACCCAAGCTGGAGTGCAGTGGCACAATCACAGCTCATGGGAGCCTCTATCTCTCAGGCTTAAGCCATCCTCCCACCTCATCCTCTTGAGTAGCTGGGATTACCAGGCATACACCATCACAAATAATTTGTTTTAAAAATTTTTTGTAGTGATGGGGTCTCGCCACGTTGTCCAGTCTGGTCTCAAACTCCTGGGCTCAAGCAATCCACCTGCCTCAGCCTCCCAAGGTGTTAGGATTACAGGCATGAGTCACCACATTCAGCCTGAATTATTTTCAGTAGTCATAAATTATTAATAAGAGCGTATTTTCAATTGACTTAGAAAATTTTTAAAAATAATTTTCTATCACTCACCAAATAAATGCTCATATAACACAGCTTCAGCTTCTTGCAGAGAGTTTCTGAATACAGTGGCTGCAATATTTCCTTTTACTAAAATCGTATCAATCAGTTCTCTTGCTTGTAAAGACGTCTGTGTCTTCTGTTTAATAACATCATGTTCTTGTTCATTAATAATTCCGGCAGTTAGTAGACTATCCAGGATTGGAATTACACAAGTCAAATGTTGAAAAAGTGCCATTCTATTCTTCCGGATTAATAATAAATCATCTTTATAAAAAAGAAAACAAGCATAAACATGTTCAAACTCTGCTCACAAACTTCCTTCCAGTCCTATATATATAGCAGGATAAAAACTATCTTTAATTCGTAATCAGTAAGGCATTGATGTTGATTGCTAGGTTTAGGGGTGTCTCATCTCCTTTGCTTAATAATAATGTTATTATAATTATAATCCAGGGTGCAGTGGCACATGCCTGTAGCACCAGCTACTTGGGAGGCTGAGGTAGGAGGATCACTTGAGCCCTGGAGTCAGAGACCAGACTGGGCAACATAGCAATACCCTGTCTTAAAAAAATATAATAATAATAATAATAATGCTACTTATAGTAAGGACTAACATTTAGTGAGCACTGTGTTAAGAACTTTACATGTATTGATTCATTTCATCTTCACAACAGCTCTTTGAGGTAGGTCCTAATAGCCTCATTTAACAAATGAGAAAATGAAGCTGCAGTGAGGCAATTAAGTTGCCGAAGGACACCACAACTAGCAAAAATCAAACTGAGGTAGTCTGGTGTCATGTACTGTGCTTTCAATCATTTGGCAATACTGCTAAGCCTTTAACCAAATGGAACTTAGAACCCATTAAAATTGACGTTTCAATTCAATCTAGTCAAATTGGGGAAAGACAAAATCAAGAGAATTAAAACAATTTTTTCTTAAAGTGTCATTCTTCCATAAAATTTCTTTTATTATTTATTTATTCATTTTTAAAACAGAGTCTTGCTCTGTCGCCCAGGCTGGAGTGCAGTGGTGCGATCTCAGCTCACTGCAACCTCTGCCTCCCAGGTTAAAGCTATTTTTGTGCCTGAGCCTCCTGAGTAGTTGGGATTACAGGCATGTGCCACTACATCCAGCTAATTTTTTGTAGTTTTAGTAGAGATGAGGTTTCACCATGTTGGCCAGCCTGGTCTCGAACTCCTGGCCTCGAGTGATCCGCCCACTCCGGCCTCCAAAAGTGCTGGGATTACAAGTGTGAGCCATTATGTCCGGCCCATAAAATTTCTTTAAAATTCCATTTTAAGTTGAAATTTTAATTATTTCCAGAAATTAGACATATTGCCATTACCTAAATATTTTATAGTAAGCAGGGAAAGGCAGTAACAGCATTTTGAATAATAAACCCTATTTGTCAACGACTACCTTCTCGTCCTACAAGATATCATCTAATTCTCCTTCAAGACCTAGATTTTGTATCCATTGGTAAAACATTTTATATTTTAAAACTGCAGTTTTATTATCTCTTTGGAATATAACTTATGAATCTAAGTTTATTAATTTTCATATAGCTTACCATAATCCATAAAGCTGTTTCTAAAAAATAACTAATGACAGAGGCTGAGCTATCTGAAGAATTGTTTTGGGAGAGAGGATTGTTAGATTTTAGATACACTGACTTTGTCAAGTGATAGGACTCATAAAAAGAACCATTTAAGAAAGAATAAAAAATGGAAAAAAGAAAACAGCAAAAATCAAAAACAACAACCAGAAAATAAAGATGATGCTTAGTCAAAAAGACAAGGCTAAAGACATATTTTGAAAATAATGGAAGCTCTGAGAATAAATGAGAAAAGGGTCAGGAGCTAGAATAGTGTCTGGCACAAAGTTAATGCTCCATAAATATCTGTTGAACAAATGAACAATCAAACCTTAGTTCTATAATTTAAAGAGTAGGAATGAAAAGTAATGGTGAGAGGGGTAGAAGACTTAGAACTTAATATATTTTGTTAAATTATTTCTATTAGCAAAGTAGGGATATATTAGAAAATAAAAATACAAACTTGGTGTTGAAGTATACTAGTTTTTCAATCTAAGATTTATTTTTGTAATTATACGTAACCTAATATAATGCATTCTCTGAAGTTCTTAAGATTTCTAAAATTTAATTGCTAGTAACTGAGAAAAAGTCTCATTTCAAAGTTGTAGACTATATTCTGGTTTGCAAGTTCAGAAGACTTGAGTAGCTGGGATTACCAGGCATACACCATCACAAATACTTTGTTTTAAAAATTTTTTGTAGTGATGGGGTCTCGCCACGTTGTCCAGTCTGGTCTCAAACTCCTGGGCTCAAGCAATCCACCTGCCTCAGCCTCCCAAGGTGTTAGGATTACAGGCATGAGTCACCACATTCAGCCTGAATTAAAACAATTTTTTCTTAAAGTATCATTCTTCCATAAAATTTCTTTTATTATTTATTTATTCATTTTTAAAACAGAGTCTTGCTCTGTCACCCAGGCTGGAGTGCAGCGGTGCGATCTCAGCTCACTGCAACCTCTGCCTCCCAGGTTCAAGCTATTTTTGTACCTGAGCCTCCTGAGTAGTTGCCTTTGAAGCATATTATTAATTTTGTTTTTGCTTTTCTTTCTTTCTTTTTTTTTTTTCTTTTAGAGAGTGTCTCACTCTGTTGCCCAGGCTGGAATGCAGTGGCATATGATCATAGCTCATTGCAGCCTCAACCTCCCTGGGCTCAAGTGGTCCTCCCACCTCAGCCTCCTGAGTAGAGCTGGGACTACAGACACATGCCACCACACCCTGCTAATTTTTATATTTGTTTATACAGACAGGGTTTTGCTATGTTGCCCAGCCTGGTCTTGAACTCCTGGGCTTAAGCGATCTGCCTGCCTCAGCCTCCCAAAGTGCTGTGATTACAGGTGTGAGCCACCACACTCAGCCATATTATTATTTTATTCTGGGAAAAAAAAAATCTTAAATTACCTCTTTATTTATATCCCTACTATTCTTGGGAAACTATAACGTAATCATTAACCTAAATGTGTTTTCATTCACTCACTCACAACACAGACTATATGCAGGCACGATACTAGGTAGTAGAGATATATATATAATGGTGAGGCAGAAACGCTAAGGGCTCTTTTTCACAATGTAAATTATTATATATTGTTGACTTGAAGTCATTTCTGGAGACTTTTCTGATTGTCTTTGAAAGAAATATAAATATTTTATAAGTGGATAGTTTTAGATTTTATGGGGTCTCTCAACAGTTGTGGAGATAAGTGTTCTCTTCTTTGAGCAATTGTTGGCTGATGACAAATGGCTACCACTAAGAAGGCTACAGGAAGGACATGCTTGCCTAATCTTCACAGAGAAAAGAGAATTTGATGAGGCTGGGCAAAGGTTAACCGTGACTGTATTGCTGCTACACTAGTGGTTTATAGACTGAGTAATTCACACTTTGGTGAATGTATGATGCTATATCACTATGGTCTGATAGGTTTGTCTGGGTTGGGTCAGAGAACAAATCCATCTTCATGGGCAGGGTTGGATTTATCCCTAAATGAAGTGGACAATCTGACTGTCAATCATCCTGTGAAGAAATAGATCCCAGATGGCCTTGCACAAGGATAAGGAGAAATCTTTATTCTCCTTCTGAGCTTTATGAATATTGGGGGGGCCTGAATTTTGATAAAGGAAAACATTATTGGGACATTCCTAGTGACTTGTGTAAACTTGCCAAAGCTACACAGAGATGAACCAGAAGCTAGGCAGGGGAGATTTATGAGGATGAGCCCGGGGGCACTAAGAGAGGTCACAGCTAGTTGCAGCTGTAAATCAACATTTGTGATATAATTCCCTTCCGTTTTCCTTAAGTCTCCAGTAAGAGCTTGTTAAAAGTTGCAGTCTGTTTTCAGCTGTGTTGAAGGGACTTATAGGTCTGGTCCATGCTTGGGAAAGGAGAGATCAGCATTTCTTTTTGTCTAGGACAGAATGATGATAGCAGTCAAAACAGCCAGATGAGAATGTATGTGCCCAGAAGAGTTTTTGTGAAGGGCAATAGAGAACATAGTGGATACGTTTAGTATGGAAGGACATGAACAACTTGTCCTAAGAGATTGTGAAACAGTATACTAGGACTTGCCTAAATAATCGACGGATGCTCTGGAAGACTCAGTTCTTGTGTGGACAGGTAGGGGACTTAATAGTAATTTGTGTATTAATGTATAGTCACAGGCTAAGACATGCTTTTATGCTAACATTAAAATTAATAACCATCCAGCCAGGCACGGTGGCTCATGCCTGTAATCCCAGCACTTTGGGAGGCCGAGGCGGGCGGATCACTTGAGGTCAGGAGTTTGAGACCAGTGTGGCCAACATGGAGAAATCCCTTCTCTACTAAAAATACAAAAATTAGCCTGGCATGGTGGCAGGTGCCTGTAATCCCAGCTAAGGGAAGGAGGCACGAGAATTGCTTGAACCCAGGAGGCAGAAGTTGCAGTGAGTTGAGATCATGCCACTGCACTCCAGCATGGGTGACAGAGTAAGACTGTCTCAAAAAAAAATTAATAATTGTCCCTGATCCCACCCTGATTTACTCCAAAGGGGAGTGAGCAACTAGCCTGGGATTAAAAATGTGCCATGATGCAACAAGGATTCCATTTTCAAAGCGTTAAGAAAAAAAAAATGTGCCATGAATGCATAATTGGACACAACGTCAGCTATCCAGAGAAAAAAATATGAATTAAGGAAAAACATGAAAAATACTTTTGTACATCATACATTTTTGACTTATGAGCAACTCAAATATATTTGAATATGAATAAATTTTTCAGCATTTGAATTCAGAATACTAAACATGAAAAAAACCTGACTGGATTGAGTATATTTTCAGATATGCTAGATGAGTATATTTTTCATAACATATAGACTGATATCAAATCCTTATGAAAATAGACTGTATTAATAAATCTACATACTTGATTCTTTTTCCTCAGTTGCTCTTTCTCTCTCCTCTTCCCTTATTTCATCTTCTGCATTGAGTAAGTCTAACACAAGATCATTGACTAGTCTATAATTCTCTCCAGTTGCTAGGATTTTTCTCTGAACTGTCTGTTTTACCAGGCTTCTACTAAAGCCCATTTCCACGGCAGCATTAATCACAGGAGTATTCATCATGATTGCATCTTCTGAATGGTCTTCTCCAGGTTCAAAATGGATAACTATATGGAACAAAGAATTTAACACATATTAGGATAGCCTTATATTTCTTAAAAATTGAAATTTGAAATGAAATCAAAAATTGAAAGGTTTTATAATATTAAAAATGTAAAACCAACAAAATGTATAGGCATTATTTTGTATGAACATTGTTAAATTTAAAATGATATACACGTTCAGTCATTAAATAACAACTTGGAATATTGTACTTAGATGCAAAATACACATTACCTGTCATAACTGGATATACATATGTGAGCAGGAGAAGGAAACAGAATGGCAGGGATTACCTCCCACTAGAATTGAGATTATTTTTCCCTATGTTGAATGAACAAATGAGTTTTCAATCAAGAATAATTCACATATTTTTCAGAGAGGCTATGGTTATAAAATATTGCTTCCTTGGAATTCATTCTCAACAGTGCAATCAGAGTGACTTTTTAAAAACACAAATATGATGTGTCACACTTCTTAAATTCCATCAACAATTCCATTGCTCTTAGGATAAAATCCAAAATAAAGTGTCTTACAAAGTCTCATACAATCTGAACCTTGTTTACCTCTTCAGCCTCATCTCTTGCCACTGAATCATTCACATTCTGCACTCTAGCCCAGAAGTCACAAACTGATGGCTCTAGTGTCAATTCTGCCTGTAGTGCTGACCACTCATACAGCTGGCCTGCTTCCCTGATTTATCTATTAGCAACTCCTACTTCTGGCCATATGGAATTTTGTTCAGTTCTTCAAAGGTGCCTATTCTCCTTTGTCACTTCGGTCTTTCATATGCTGTTCCCTCTGCCTGGAATACTCTTTTCTTCCATTTGTCACTCGGTTAACTCCTACTCTTCCCTTGGATTTTCTGCTAAGACAAGTACTTCCTTTGGAAAGCCTTTTCTGACCCTCCAAGTCTGGGTTAATTGTCCTATATGCACTCTCATATTACACTTTACTTTTGCTGCCATATCCCTTTCTCCTGTCTGTGTATTTGTCTGTTTCCAGTAGATACATGAGACCAGGAGTTATGTTTATCCTGTTCTGTATTCTTTTTTTCCTTTTTTTAAATTATTTTACTTTAAGTTCTAGGGTACATGTGCATAATGTGCAGGTTTGTTACATATGTATACATGTGCCATGTTGGTGTGCTGCACCCGTTAACTCGTCATTTAACATTAGGTGTATCTCCTAATGCTATCCCTCCCACATCCCCCTACCCCACAACAGGCCCTGTGTGTGATGTTCCCCTTCCTATGTCCAAGTGTTCTCATTGTTCAATTCCCAACTATGAGTGAGAACATGCGGTGTTTGGTTTTCTGTTCTTGTGATAGTTTGCTCAGAATGATGGTTTCCAGCTTCATCCATGTCCCTATAAAGGACATGAACTCATCCTTTTTATGGCTGCATAGTATTCCATGGTGTGTATGTGCCACATTTTCTTAATCCAGTCTATCACTGATGGACATTTGGGTTGGCTCTATCCTGTTCTCTATGCTTTCCTCAGAACAGGCGATATACAATATACAATAAATATATACTGAATTGAATTGAACATGAGATAATGGAGTAGAGGGGCTTGTACAAATATTAGCTCTGTTGCATTTTAGGTGTAAGGTGATGTACAAGTCATTTAACCTTTCTGAGCCTCAGCGTCCCTATTTAAAAAGGTGACTAACGTGTTCTATTCTTTCCCTTTCACAGAAAGAATATGTGAGCAATCTAATATCATAGTACATCTGCTCCCACACTGGCCCAAGAACAAGTGTTAGGCTGGATGTATGTAGTTTGTTAAAACTATACATGCCTGAGCCCCACCTTTAGATACTCAGATTTAATTCAGTAGGTCTGAAGTAGAAACTGGAAATCTGTCATATTTTTTAAAGTTCTCCAGGCAACTCTGATATGCACTGAAGTTTGGGAAATACCAACACAGTATATTTGAAAATGCATTCATCGTAAATTATAAATCAATATACAGGTACATTACTATTATCAACTTTCAATATTAACAGTACCAAATGACTCTATTTAAATGCATTCATTATTATCCATTGTACTTACTTGATGACTCTGCATTTTCATCTCCTGGGCTGTCTGATGTGGATAGCAGCTGCAGAAAAAAAAAATATATATATATATATATATATAAATTAAAATAGAAATCTTATCTTACCCATTGCAATGAAAATGACCCAACAGACATATTTTATTCAACTTGTTGCAAACCACTTGCTTACTGGCAAAATAATTTTTTAACCAAAAGCAATATTTCATTTATATTTGATAGTTATTCCCTAGGCCATAAACTAATAGAGTTTCAGTGTGTGTATATAATAACAAAACCCATTTTCATTAAGGCAGGAAACGGACTATATCTTTTCCATAATCCATGTGACAATCAATTTTCCTTTCATCCACAGGTCTTACCTACCCTGGGTCATCCTTTGGGATAAGTTGGACCCTGTATCAGTTTCATTGCTCATGGCTAGGATGGGTTTGACCATCAAACTATTATGTAAGTTATTTGCTTTCTCAAGGTTAGAAAAAGCAATAAAATTCTCTTTCTCAGATCTTTTGAAGGAAAATTTATATAGTGAAACTGTTAAATACTACTATCCCAGTCATTTTTTCTCGAAGTTTGATTTATTGCAACTTGTTTGAAAAACATCACAAGTGTCATTATCAGGAGACTACCATTTATGGATCTATTTTTCTCCAAAGAATAATACTTTCTAAAATCATGTCAGGTTTGATAAGAAAAAGAAAATGTATTTCTAAAACAACTCTTGTCTTTTCACTCAAATAGCACTCTCTGTAATTATCAGAAAGCAATTTCTCTGATGGCAACCAATATTTAAAAAAAGAACTTGCCCTACCTGTTCAAGTAGATGAGGGTAACTGGCTTGAACTTGACGGATGAACTCCTGTCCTTTAATTCTTATCAAGTACTCACACCTAAAATGTAAAGAAAATAAAATTTGAGGGATTATTTATACAAGTGAAATGAAAATGTAATAACATAAATTTCTCATCTCTAGGTGTTTATTCCATTTCAAATCTGGTTGTTTGCCTCAAATCACAGAATCATTTAAGATCATTTATTCTAAACTTAATGTTAGAAGAATAAATACATCCTAGCCCACTGGGAACTGATTCTATTGTATTGCTTTTAAAAAAAAAACTTTTTTTCTAAAACTAACCCATAGTTATCCTATGACAGGATTCAAATTTTTTGTGTGAATTTTTAATTGTTTTGTAAGATGCTTCTCATGACAGTCAACATTTTTCATACAGGTTGAATGTTTTACAAAATTAATATTTTTATATTTGCCAAGATACATTATGCTTCTGCTAATTTTTTTTTTTTTAGACAGAGTCTCGCTCTGTCACCCAGGCTGGAGGGCAGTGGGATGATCTCAGTTCACTGTAACCTCTGCCTCCCAGGTTCAAGTGATTCTGGTGCCTCAGCCTCCCGAGTAGCTGAGCTTGCAGGTGCCTGCCACCATGGCCGGCTAATTTTTGCATTTTTAGTGGAGATGGGGCTTTACCATGTTGCCATACTGGTCTCGAACTCCTGACCTCAAGTGATCCTCCTGCCTCAGCCTCCCAAAGTGCTGCGATTACAGGCATGAGCCACTGCACCCGACCACTTCAGCTAATTTTGAAAAGTTCTAAAGGTTTATCTTAATTTGGGCAGGACTAATCCAGCCATTTGTAGACTGGCTATTTCAAGTGAGTATAAACATACATATAATCAATTTACTCTTAATATATTGTGAAGTATAAATATTTCAAATGAGTATAAATGTACATATAATCAATTTACTATTCATTTAGCATATAGGGAATGGTCAGAGATATTGCAGTGAAAGGCAGGTTGATATAAGCAAGAGGAAGGTGATTACTAGTTATCTACCAAGGCTCAAGTGGACAAGGGTCAGGAGCCCCTCAGTCTACTGAGGTCAAGTAAGACCATCTCTCCTCAGAGCTCTTAGCTACTCTCTTCAACTCTTCTAAGATTCTTAAAACACACTGATGTTGGCCGGGCAAGCACCTCAAAGTCCTGAGGTCAGGAGTTTGAGACCAGCCTGGACAACATGGTGAAACCCTGTCTCTACAAAAATACAAAAATTAGCTGGGCATGCTAGCGTGCACCTGTAATCCCAGCTACTAGCGAGGCTCGAGGCATGAGAATTGCCTGAACCCAAGAGGCGGAGGTTGCAGTGAGCTGACATCACACCATCGCACTCCAATCTGGGCAACAGAGCCAGGCTCCATCTCAAAAGAAAAGAGGAAAAAAAGTAATCAAAATAAGTTAAGATGCCACATTTATTAATCGATATTAACCCATTTCCCATTTAGAAAAAAAACAGTGCAGCTTGTTGCCAGTGCAGTATTCTCAGGGCAAATGGGAAACGGGTTGAATAATAGCAAAAGTTTTGACCATGAAAAAATGTAATTGTAGGCCACATGATTTAGATGAAAAAGGAGAGTGTAAAAAACTTTTTGAAGCTGATATTTTAGTTAGTACATTAAGTTTCTTACCCACGTGATAAAAACCCACACTTGCAAGCTAATCAGGATTAACTAGAACACTAGGTGGCCAGTTAAACAATCAAAAGGGTAACACATCACATTAAAATGCTGCGTGGCGACTAAAACAGATGAGATGAGTCTATACTTACCCTGACCACCCAATTTAATATTGTAACCTGCCTGGCATTTCTAAACTCCTCTTTGTTCTTTTTATTGATTGTACTTATTTTCCAACATGCTATAGAACTTATTCAAGTTTTTATTAGTTGTCTGTTCTCTCGTGCTATAATAAAAACTTAGGAGACCAGGGGTCTTTGTTTTGTTCAACTGATTTTATGCACCCAGAACAATGCCTGCCAATAGGTGATCAATTATTATTGAATACCGAATGAATGGAAATATATCCAAGACAAATGTTGACTGAAAAAACTTCAAAACTAGATATAATATTTAACTTATGTAAAATGGTGTACATTTATTTCTATATGTATATGTATTTATTTCTATATGTATATGTATCATATACATTTATTTCTATATGTCTGGAGGGATGTTCACTAAAGTGGTAACCATGCTCATCCTTAGGCGGTAAGATTTCTGGACATTTTAATTTTCCTTCTCTGTGCTTTTCTACAATGTGTGACTTTGTTTTTATAATGAGCATGTATTATTTAAATATATATATATTTCTTTAAAAATTAAACAAAAATCCCCAAATCTATTTCTTCGTTGTCTTAAGTCCATCGAAACTTTTTAAGTAAGTATTTTACTAAGTAATCCATCCTAAACTTATTCACAAATATATATTTGGAACAGAGTAAAGTAACAACTGATTTCAGGTGAACACATATAAGCAATCTCATGATAATCACAAGAATTTGCAAAGAGAATTTCAAAACAATTACCTTGGAAACCACTTGGCATGTTGAACCCATGGATCATCTCCAGATTCCCAACACCTGAGTCCACCATCACAGCAAAAGCATTTGACATCATCACTGTTACCTAAAATTAATTTTAGACCAAAACTTATGAATACACATAATTTGCCCACTAAAATGTATAAAATGAAATATATTTTTTTTAATTAGCAGATTCAGTTTCTTACCCACATAATAAAAACCCGCACTTGCAAGCTGCTCAGGATTAACTAGAACACTAGAGGGCCAGTTAAAGAATGTTTTAAAGCGGGCTGCATGTGTCTGCATGCTCAGATTAGAAACTGTGTATCTTGAAGTGTCTTGAAGCTGATTTTCTATAAATGGGCATTTGGGAAAATGTCTCAGGTGTTCTGACATAGCATTATCCTTCGGTTCCCAATTGCTCAATTTTCCACCACAGGCAAAGCAAGCCACTCTGTCTCCAGGTCCTATGTAGTAAAAGCCTGCTTTTGCCAGATCTGTTGGCGACAGAAAAGTCAATGGCCATGTCTGAAAAGTAAGTAATCTGGCATTTTCGTTATTCATTGCACAGTGGTAGGAACTTCTCATCAAGGCAGAAAAATCTTGATTTGCTCTGGAGTTTACAGGATTTGATGGAGAGTTTGAATAAGAGCCACGGAAATATCCACTGTTTTCTGTACCCGGAAGTAATGAGTGTGTGGAATTTGTTACTGAAGAAGGAAAAGTAGGCTGAGAGGTAGCTTCCAAGTTGTTAACGGAATTTAGACTCTGAACGAATCTGCAGCTAGGATACAACTTTTTATGCTTTTCAGTAGGACTGTCTCCTCTTTTCCAGTTATCCAGCATCAGGCCACAACAGAAGCATTTGACCTTGTCATTCACACCAGTGTAATAGAAACCAGCACGAGCAAGACTCCTTTCTGAGACAGGAACCCCAGCAGGAAAAGTGGAATACGTAGACATTCGGTACAGTTCACATGACAAGTCGTATTTCAGTTCAAACGTGTTGGCGCTTTTCATCAAATTTGATAAGAATATGCTGTTTTCTACTATGTTCATAATGAAATGAATGGGGAAGAAAAGGGACTAGCCTTTCTCTAGGGAGGTAGTTTTGTGCATGGCTTTGCTTTTATCAGTTTTAATACTAGGCTGAAAAGCCAAAATGAAAAATTTTTTATTATTTTTATTTCTATGCATTTAGAGTTTCAACATGGAGATTCTAAATCCTATACTGATACATTTTAAGGAAGAAATACACAATTGCACCTTTGTATAATCTTTATACATACAATGTAAACATGATGCTACAGAGTAAGCTGTGTTGAAAATTAAAACCCTTCACAGAAGAGTGATGTGTATTAAGCCATCAGGATGCCATTTAATGGCAGGCATCTCCACAGGTAGGTCAACTTCTCCAGGCTACTAGAATGTTTCAGTGGCATTCAATCAACCCAAAGATGTAATGTGTGACTCATGAAGCTTCTTTTCATGGTGGAAAGCTCTGCTGTCAAGTGTTTCACAGCAAAAATATTCAGAATATGTTTATTTTGCTTTTTGGAAATTGTGAAATTTAGTGGCCAGGAAAAAAAAGCACAAGACCTAACTCAAAGGAGGAAAATAATACATTAC